>NC_000017.11:22426544-22763679 GCF_000001405.40 Homo sapiens | reverse complement strand
GAATTCCTCAGACAGGTCCAAATATCCACTTGCAGATTCTACAGAAAGTGTGTTTCGAAACTACTCCATCCCAAGGAAAGTACTGCTCTGTGAGTTCAACTGAATCATCTGAGAGAATTTTCTGAGAAAGCTTCTGTCTTGTTTTTATAGGAAGTTATTTCCTTTACTACGATAGGCCTCAAAGAAGTGCAGTTATACTCTTGCACTTTCTACAAAAAGAGTGTTTCAAACCTGAACTATCAAAGAAAGGTTCAACACTGTGGGTTGAATGCAAACGTCACGAAGAAGGTTCTGAGAATGCTTCTGTTTAGTTCTGTGCGGTTTATCCCGTTTCCAACGAAATCCTCAGAGAGGCCCAAGTATCCGCTTGCAGATCTTACAGATAGTGTGTTTCCAAACTGCTCCATCAAAAGGAATGTTCAACCCTGTGAGTTACACTCAGTCGTCAGAAAGAGTTTTCTGAGAATGCTGCTGTCTAGTTTTTATATGAAGCTGTTTCCTTTACTGCCGTAGGCCTCAAAGCGGTCCATATCTCCACTTGCAGATTCTACACAACGAGAGTTTCCAAAGTGCTCTGTGAAAGGGAATGTTCACCTCTGTGACTTGAATGCAATCGTCACAAAGTAGTTTCTGAGAATGCATCTATCTAGTTCTAACGGGAAGATAATTCCTTTTCCACCACAGTCCTCAAAGCCCTCCAAATATCCACTTGCAGATTCTAGAAAAAGAGTGTTTCAAAGCTTCTCTCTCAAAAGGAAAGTTCAACTCTGTGAGTTTAAAGCAAACATCAAAAAGAGGTTTCTGAGAATGCTTCTGTTTAGCTTTTCTGTGAAGATTATCCCTTTTCCAACGAAATCTTCAAAGAGGCCCAAACATCCACTTGCAGATGCCACAGAAAGAGTGTTTGGAAACTGCTGTTTGAAAAGGAACCTTCAACTCTGTGAGTTGAATGCAGTCATCACAAACAAGTTTCTGACAATGCTTCCCTCTAGTTTTTACGTGACGATAATTCGTTTTCCACCACAGGCTTGAAATCTCTCCAAATGTCCACTTGCAGACCCTACGAAAAGCATGTTTCTCATCTGCTCTATGAAAAGCAACGTGAAACTCTGTGATTTGAACACAAACATCACAGAGAAGTTTCTGAGAATGCTTCTGTTTAGTTTTTATGTGAAGATATTCCCGTTTCCAAAGACATCTTCAAGGAGGACGACATATCCACTTGCAGATTCCACAAAAAGAGAGATTCTAAACTGCTCTATCCATAGCAGGGTTCAACTCAAAGTTGAATGCAATCATCCCAGAGAAGTTTCTGAGAAGGCTTCTGTCTAGATTTTATTTGAAGATGTACCCGTTTCGAAGGAAGGCCAAAGAGTGGTCCAAATATCCACTTGCAGATCCTACAAAAAGAGTGTTTCAAACCTGAACTATCAAAGGAAGGTTCAACTCTGGGATTTGAATGCAAACATCACGAAGAATTTTGTGAGAATGCTACCGTTTAGTTAGGTGCAGTTATCCCGTTTCCAACGAAATCCTCAGAGAGGTCCAAATATC
Source organism: Homo sapiens (assembly GCF_000001405.40). NCBI lineage: Eukaryota > Metazoa > Chordata > Mammalia > Primates > Hominidae > Homo > Homo sapiens. The sequence goes on along the minus strand of NC_000017.11, from coordinate 22,762,125 downwards.
CACTCGCAGATTCTATAGAAAGTGTGTTTCAAACCTGCTCCATCCAAAGGAATGTTCAGCTCTGTGTGTTAAACTCAATCATCACAAAGTATTTTCTGAGAATGCTTCTGTCTTGATTTTATGTGAAGCTCTTCCCTTTACTACCATAGGCCTCAAAGCGCTCCAAATCTCCACTAGCAGATTCTACAACAAGAGTGTTTCCAAACTGCTCTGTCAATAGGAATGCTCCACTCTGTGAGGTGAATGCAATCATCACAAAGTAGTTTCTGAGAAGGCTTCTATCTAGTATTTACGTGGAGATATTTCCTTTTCCACCACAAACCTCACAGCCCTCCCAATGTCCACTTGCAGATTCTAGAAAAAGAGTGTTTCATAGCTGCTCTTTCCGAAGGAAAGTTCAACTCTGGAAGTTGAATACAAACATCACCAAGGAGTTCCTGAGAATGCTTCTGTGTAATTTTTATGTGAAGATGATTCCGTTTCCAACGAAACCTTCAAAGAGGTCTGCATGTCCCTTTGCAGATTCCAGAGAAAGAGAGTTTCAAAACTGCGCTCTCAAAAGGAGTGTTCAACTCTGTGAGTTGAATGCAGTCATCACAGAAAAGTTTCTGAGAATGCTTCTGTCTAGATGTTATGTGAAGATATACCCGTTTCGAACGAAGTCCACAGAGTGGTCCGAATATCCACTTGTAGATCCTGCAAAAAGAGTGTTTCCAACCTGAACTTTCAAAGGAAGGTTCAATTCTGGGATTTGAATGCAAACATCACAAGAAGATTCTGAGACTGCTTCTGTTTACTTAGCTGAAATTATCCCGTTTGCAACGAATTCCTCAGACAGGTCCAAATATCCACTTGCAGATTCTACAGAAAGTGTGTTTCGAAACTACTCCATCCCAAGGAAAGTACTGCTCTGTGAGTTCAACTCAATCATCCCAGAGAATTTTCTGAGAAAGCTTCTGTCTTGTTTTTATAGGAAGTTATTTCCTTTACTACGATAGGCCTCAAAGAAGTGCAGTTATCCACTTGCAGTTTCTACAAAAAGAGTGTTTCAAACCTGAACTATCAAAGAAAGGTTCAACACTGTGGGTTGAATGCAAACGTCACGAAGAAGGTTCTGAGAATGCTTCTGTTTAGTTCTGTGCGGTTTATCCCGTTTCCAACGAAATCCTCAGAGAGGCCCAAGTATCCGCTTGCAGATCTTACAGATAGTGTGTTTCCAAACTGCTCCATCCAAAGGAATGTTCAACCCTGTGAGTTACACTCAGTCGTCAGAAAGAGTTTTCTGAGAATGCTGCTGTCTAGTTTTTATATGAAGCTGTTTCCTTTACTACCATAGGCCTCAAAGCGGTCCATATCTCCACTTGCAGATTCTACACAAAGAGAGTTTCCAAAGTGCTCTCTGAAAGGGAATGTTCACCTCTGTGACTTGAATGCAATCGTCACAAAGTAGTTTCTGAGAATGCATCTATCTAGTTCTTACGGGAAGATAATTCCTTTTCCACCACAGGCCTCAAAGCCCTCCAAATATCCACTTGCAGATTCTAGAAAAAGAGTGTTTCAAAGCTTCTCTCTCAAAAGGAAAGTTCAACTCTGTGAGTTGAAAGCAAACATCACAAAGAAGTTTCTGAGAATGCTTCTGTTTAGCTTTTCTGTGAAGATTATCCCGTTTCCAACGAAATCTTCAAAGAGGCCCAAACATCCACTTGCAGATGCCACAGAAAGAGTGTTTGGAAACTGCTGTTTGAAAAGGAACCTTCAACTCTGTGAGTTGAATGCAGTCATCACAAACAAGTTTCTGACAATGCTTCCCTCTAGTTTTTACGTGACGATAATTCGTTTTCCACCACAGGCCTGAAATCTCTCCAAATGTCCACTTGCAGACCCTACGAAAAGCATGTTTCTCATCTGCTCTATGAAAAGCAACGTGAAACTCTGTGATTTGGACACAAACATCACAGAGAAGTTTATGAGAATGCTTCTGTTTAGTTTTTATGTGAAGATATTCCCGTTTCCAAAGACATCTTCAAAGAGGACCACATATCCACTTGCAGATTCCACAAAAAGAGAGATTCAAAACTGCCCTATCCATAGGAGGGTTCAACGCCTTCAGTTGAATGCAATCATCACAGAGAAGTTTCTGAGAAGGCTTCTGTCTAGATTTTATATGAAGATGTACCCGTTTCGAAGGAAGGCCAAAGAGTGGTCCAAATATCCACTTGCAGATCCAACAAAAAGAGTGTTTCAAAGCTGAACTATCAAAGGAAGGTTCAACTCTGGGATTTGAATGCAAACATCACGAAGAATTTTGTGAGAATGCTTCCGTTTAGTTAGGTGCAGTTATCCCGTTTCCAACGAAATCCTCAGAGAGGTCCAAATATCCACTCGCAGATTCTATAGAAAGTGTGTTTCAAACCTGCTCCATCCAAAGTAATGTTCAGCTCTGTGTGTTAAACTCAATCATCACAAAGTATTTTCTGAGAATGCTTCTGTCTTGATTTTATGTGAAGCTCTTCCCTTTACTACCATAGGCCTCAAAGCGCTCCAAATATCCACTAGCAGTTTCTACAACAAGAGTGTTTCCAAACTGCTCTGTCAATAGGAATGCTCCACTCCGTGAGTTGAATGCAATCATCACAACGTAGTTTCTGAGAAGGCTTCTATCTAGTATTTACGTGGAGATATTTCCTTTTCCACCACAAACCTCACAGCCCTCCCAATGTCCACTTGCAGATTCTAGAAAAAGAGTGTTTCATAGCTGCTCTTTCCGAAGGAAAGTTCAACTCTGGAAGTTGAATACAAACATCACCAAGGAGTTCCTGAGAATGCTTCTGTGTAATTTTTATGTGAAGATGATTCCGTTTCCAACGAAACCTTCAAAGAGGTCTGCATGTCCCCTTGCAGATTCCAGAGAAAGAGAGTTTCAAAACTGCGCTCTCAAAAGGAGTGTTCAACTCTGTGAGTTGAATGCAGTCATCACAGAAAAGTTTCTGAGAATGCTTCTGTCTAGATGTTACGTGAAGATATACCCGTTTCGATCGAAGTCCACAGAGTGGTCCGAATATCCACTTGTAGATCCTGCAAAAAGAGTGTTTCAAACCTGAACTTTCAAAGGAAGGTTCAATTCTGGGATTTGAATGCAAACATCACAAGAAGATTCTGAGACTGCTTCTGTTTACTTAGCTGAAATTATCCCGTTTGCAACGAATTCCTCAGACAGGTCCAAATATCCACTTGCAGATTCTACAGAAAGTGTGTTTCGAAACTACTCCATCCCAAGGAAAGTACTGCTCTGTGAGTTCAACTCAATCATCCCAGAGAATTTTCTGAGAAAGCTTCTGTCTTGTTTTTATAGGAAGTTATTTCCTTTACTACGATAGGCCTCAAAGAAGTGCAGTTATCCACTTGCAGTTTCTACTAAAAGAGTGTTTCAAACCTGAACTATCAAAGAAAGGTTCAACACTGTGGGTTGAATGCAAACGTCACGAAGGAGGTTCTGAGAATGCTTCTGTTTAGTTCTGTGCGGTTTATCCCGTTTCCAACGAAATCCTCAGAGAGGCCCAAGTATCCGCTTGCAGATCCTACAGATAGTGTGTTTCCAAACTGCTCCATCCAAAGGAATGTTCAGCCCTGTGAGTTAAACTCAGTCGTCAGAAAGAGTTTTCTGAGAATGCTGCTGTCTAGTTTTTATATGAAGCTGTTTCCTTTACTACCATAGGCCTCAAAGCGGTCCATATCTCCACTTGCAGATTCTACACAACGAGAGTTTCCAAAGTGCTCTGTGAAAGGGAATGTTCACCTCTGTGACTTGAATGCAATCGTCACAAAGTAGTTTCTGAGAATGCATCTATCTAGTTCTTACGGGAAGATAATTCCTTTTCCACCACAGGCCTCAAAGCCCTCCAAATATCCACTTGCAGATTCTAGAAAAAGAGTGTTTCAAAGCTTCTCTCTCAAAAGGAAAGTTCAACTCTGTGAGTTGAAAGCAAACATCAAAAGAAGTTTCTGAGAATGTTTCTGTTTAGCTTTTCTGTGAAGATTATCCCGTTTCCAACGAAATCTTCAAAGAGGCCCAAACATCCACTTGCAGATGCCACAGAAAGAGTGTTTGGAAACTGCTGTTTGAAAAGGAACCTTCAACTCTGTGAGTTGAATGCAGTCATCACAAACAAGTTTCTGACAATGCTTCTCTCTAGTTTTTACGTGACGATAATTCGTTTTCCACCACAGGCCAGAAATCTCTCCAAATGTCCACTTGCAGACCCTGCGAAAAGCATGTTTCTCATCTGCTCTATGAAAAGCAACGTGAAACTCTGTGAGTTGAACACAAACATCACAGAGAAGTTTCTGAGAATGCTTCTGTTTAGTTTTTATGTGAAGATATTCCCGTTTCCAAAGACAACTTCAAAGAGGACCACATATCCACTTGCAGATTCCACAAAAAGAGAGATTCAAAACTGCTCTATCCACAGGAGGGTTCAACGCTTTGAGTTGAATGCAATCATCCCAGAGAAGTTTCTGAGAAGGCTTCTGTCTAGATTTTATTTGAAGATGTAACCGTTTCGAACGAAGGCCAAAGAGTGGTCCAAATATCCACTTGCAGATCCTACAAAAAGGGTGTTTCAAAGCTGAACTATCAAAGGAAGGTTCAACTCTGGGATTTGAATGCAAACATCACAAAGAATTTTGTGAGAATGCTTCCGTTTAGTTAGGTGCAGTTATCCCGTTTCCAACGAAATCCTCAGAGAGGTCCAAATATCCACTCGCAGATTCTACAGAAAGTGTGTTTCAAACCTTCTCCATCCAAAGGAATGTTCAGCTCTGTGTGTTAATCTCAATCATCACAAAGTATTTTCTGAGAATGCTTCTGTCTAGATTTTATGTGAAGCTCTTCCCTTTACTACCATAGGCCTCAAAGCGCTCCAAATCTCCACTAGCAGATTCTACAACAAGAGTGTTTCCAAACTGCTCTGTCAATAGGAATGCTCCACTCCGTGAGGTGAATGCAATCATCACAACGTAGTTTCTGAGAAGGCTTCTATCTAGTATTTACGTGGAGATATTTCCTTTTCCACCACAAACCTCACAGCCCTCCCAATGTCCACTTGCAGATTCTAGAAAAAGAGTGTTTCATAGCTGCTCTTTCCGAAGGAAAGTTCAACTCTGGAAGTTGAATACACACATCACCAAGGAGTTCCTGAGGATGCTTCTGTGTAATTTTTATGTGAAGATGATTCCGTTTCCAACGAAACCTTCAAAGGGGTCTGCATGTCCCCTTGCAGATTCCAGAGAAAGAGAGTTTCAAAACTGCGCTCTCAAAAGGAGTGTTCAACTCTGTGAGTTGAATGCAGTCATCACAGAAAAGTTTCTGAGAATGCTTCTGTCTAGATGTTATGTGAAGATATACCCGTTTCGAACGAAGTCCACAGAGTGGTCCGAATATCCACTTGTAGATCCTGCAAAAAGAGTGTTTCCAACCTGAACTTTCAAAGGAAGTTTCAATTCTGGGATTTGAATGCAAACATCAGAAGAAGATTCTGAGACTGCTTCTGTTTACTTAGCTGAAATTATCCCGTTTGCAACGAATTCCTCAGACAGGTCCAAATATCCACTTGCAGATTTTACAGAAAGTGTGTTTCGAAACTACTCCATCCCAAGGAAAGTACTGCTCTGTGAGTTCAACTCAATCATCCCAGAGAATTTTCTGAGAAAGCTTCTGTCTTGTTTTTATAGGAAGTTATTTCCTTTACTACGATAGGCCTCAAAGAAGTGCAGTTATCCACTTGCAGTCTCTACAAAAAGAGTGTTTCAAACCTGAACTCTCAAAGAAAGGTTCAACACTGTGGGTTGAATGCAAACGTCATGAAGAAGGTTCTGAGAATGCTTCTGTTTAGTTCTGTGCGGTTTATCCCGTTTCCAAAGAAATCCTCAGGGAGGCCCAAGTATCCGCTTGCAGATCCTACAGATAGTGTGTTTCCAAACTGCTCCATCCAAAGGAATGTTCAGCCCTATGAGTTAAACTCAGTCGTCACAAAGAGTTTTCTGAGAATGCTGCTGTCTAGTTTTTATATGAAGCTGTTTCCTTTACTACCATAGGCCTCAAAGCGGTCCATATCTCCACTTGCAGATTCTACACAACGAGAGTTTCCAAAGTGCTCTGTGAAAGGGAATGTTCACCTCTGTGACTTGAATGCAATCGTCACAAAGTAGTTTCTGAGAATGCATCTATCTAGTTCTTACGGGAAGATAATTCCTTTTCCACCACAGGCCTCAAAGCCCTCCAAATATCCACTTGCAGATTCTAGAAAAAGAGTGTTTCAAAGCTTCTCTCTCAAAAGGAAAGTTCAACTCTGTGAGTTGAAAGCAAACATCACAAAGAAGTTTCTGAGAATGCTTCTGTTTAGCTTTTCTGTGAAGATTATCCCGTTTCCAACGAAATCTTCAAAGAGGCCCAAACATCCACTTGCAGATGCCACAGAAAGAGTGTTTGGAAACTGCTGTTTGAAAAGGAACCTTCAACTCTGTGAATTGAATGCAGTCATCACAAACAAGTTTCTGACAATGCTTCTCTCTAGTTTTTACGTGACGATAATTCGTTTTCCACCACAGGCCTGAAATCTCTCCAAATGTCCACTTGCAGACCCTACGAAAAGCATGTTTCTCATCTGCTCTATGAAAAGCAACGTGAAACTCTGTGAGTTGAACACAAACATCACAGAGAAGTTTCTGAGAATGCTTCTGTTTAGTTTTTATGTGAAGATATTCCCGTTTCCAAAGACAACTTCTAAGAGGACCACATATCCACTTGCAGATTCCACAAAAAGAGAGATTCAAAACTGCTCTATCCATAGGAGGGTTCAACGCTTTGAGTTGAATGCAAGCATCCCAGAGAAGTTTCTGAGAAGGCTTCTGTCTAGATTTTATTTGAAGATGTACCCGTTTCGAATGAAGGCCAAAGACTGGTCCAAATATCCACTTGCAGATCCTACAAAAAGGGTGTTTCAAAGCTGAACTATCAAAGGAAGGTTCAACTCTGGGATTTGAATGCAAACATCACAAAGAATTTTGTGAGAATGCTTCCGTTTAGTTAGGTGTAGTTTTCCCGTTTCCAACGAAATCCTCAGAGAGGTCCAAATATCCACTCGCAGATTCTACAGAAAGTGTGTTTCAAAACTTCTCCATCCAAAGGAATGTTCAGCTCTGTGTGTTAAACTCAATCATCACAAAGTATTTTCTGAGAATGCTTCTGTCTAGATTTTATGTGAAGCTCTTCCCTTTACTACCATAGGCCTCAAAGCGCTCCAAATCTCCACTAGCAGATTCTACAACAAGAGTGTTTCCAAACTGCTCTGTCAATAGGAATGCTCCACTCCGTGAGGTGAATGCAATCATCACAACGTAGTTTCTGAGAAGGCTTCTATCTAGTATTTACGTGGAGATATTTCCTTTTCCACCACAAACCTCACAGCCCTCCCAATGTCCACTTGCAGATTCTAGAAAAAGAGTGTTTCATAGCTGCTCTTTCCGAAGGAAAGTTCAACTCTGGAAGTTGAATACACACATCACCAAGGAGTTCCTGAGGATGCTTCTGTGTAATTTTTATGTGAAGATGATTCCGTTTCCAATGAAACATTCAAAGAGGTCTGCATGTCCCCTTGCAGATTCCAGAGAAAGAGAGTTTCAAAACTGCGCTCTCAAAAGGAGTGTTCAACTCTGTGAGTTGAATGCAGTCATCACAGAAAAGTTTCTGAGAATGCTTCTGTCTAGATGTTATGTGAAGATATACCCGTTTCGAACGAAGTCCACAGAGTGGTCCGAATATCCACTTGTAGATCCTGCAAAAAGAGTGTTTCCAACCTGAACTTTCAAAGGAAGTTTCAATTCTGGGATTTGAATGCAAACATCACAAGAAGATTCTGAGACTGCTTCTGTTTACTTAGCTGAAATTATCCCGTTTGCAACGAATTCCTCAGACAGGTCCAAATATCCACTTGCAGATTTTACAGAAAGTGTGTTTCGAAACTACTCCATCCCAAGGAAAGTACTGCTCTGTGAGTTCAACTCAATCATCCCAGAGAATTTTCTGAGAAAGCTTCTGTCTTGTTTTTATAGGAAGTTATTTCCTTTACTACGATAGGCCTCAAAGAAGTGCAGTTATCCACTTGCAGTTTCTACAAAAAGAGTGTTTCAAACCTGAACTATCAAAGAAAGGTTCAACACTGTGGGTTGAATGCAAACATCACGAAGAAGGTTCTGAGAATGCTTCTGTTTAGTTCTGTGCGGTTTATCCCGTTTCCAACGAAATCCTCAGAGAGGCCCAAGTATCCGCTTGCAGATCCTACAGATAGTGTGTTTCCAAACTGCTCCATCCAAAGGAATGTTCAGCCCTGTGAGTTAAACTCAGTCGTCACAAAGAGTTTTCTGAGAATGCTGCTGTCTAGTTTTTATATGAAGCTGTTTCCTTTACTACCATAGGCCTCAAAGCGGTCCATATCTCCACTTGCAGATTCTACACAACGAGAGTTTCCAAAGTGCTCTCTGAAAGGGAATGTTCACCTCTGTGACTTGAATGCAATCGTCACAAAGTAGTTTCTGAGAATGCATCTATCTAGTTCTTACGGGAAGATAATTCCTTTTCCACCTCAGGCCTCAAAGCCCTCCAAATATCCACTTGCAGATTCTAGAAAAAGAGTGTTTCAAAGCTTCTCTCTCAAAAGGAAATTTCAACTCTGTGAGTTGAAAGCAAACATCACAAAGAAGTTTCTGAGAATGCTTCTGTTTAGCTTTTCTGTGAAGATTATCCCGTTTCCAACGAAATCTTCAAAGAGGCCCAAACATCCACTTGCAGATGCCACAGAAAGAGTGTTTGGAAACTGCTGTTTGAAAAAGAACCTTCAACTCTGTGAGTTGAATGCAGTCATCACAAACAAGTTTCTGACAATGCTTCTCTCTAGTTTTTACGTGACGATAATTCGTTTTCCACCGCAGGTGGGAAATCTCTCCAAATGTCCACTTGCAGACCCTACGAAAAGCATGTTTCTCATCTGCTCTATGAATAGCAACGTGAAACTCTGTGAGTTGAACAGAAACATCACAGAGAAGTTTCTGAGAATGCTTCTGTTTAGTTTTTATGTGAACATATTCCCGTTTCCAAAGACATCTTCAAAGAGGACCACATATCCACTTGCAGATTCCACAAAAAGAGAGATTCAAAACTGCTCTATCCATAGGAGGGTTCAACGCTTTGAGTTGAATGCAATCATCACAGAGAAGTTTCTGAGAAGGCTTCTGTCTAGATTTTATTTGAAGATGTACCCGTTTCGAACGAAGGCCAAAGAGTGGTCTAAATATGCACTTGCAGATCCTACAAAAAGAGTGTTTCAAAGCTGAACTATCAAAGGAAGGTTCAACTCTGGGATTTGAATGCAAACATCACAAAGAATTTTGTGAGAATGCTTCCGTGTAGTTAGGTGCAGTTATCCCGTTTCCAACGAAATCCTCAGAGAGGTCCAAATATCCACTCGCAGATTCTACAGAAAGTGTGTTTCAAACCTTCTCCATCCAAAGGAATGTTCAGCTCTGTGTGTTAATCTCAATCATCACAAAGTATTTTCTGAGAATGCTTCTGTCTAGATTTTATGTGAAGCTCTTCCCTTTACTACCATAGGCCTCAAAGCGCTCCAAATCTCCACTAGCAGATTCTACAACAAGAGTGTTTCCAAACTGCTCTGTCAATAGGAATGCTCCACTCCGTGAGGTGAATGCAATCATCACAAAGTAGTTTCTGAGAAGCCTTCTATCTAGTATTTATGTGGAGATATTTCCTTTTCCACCACAAACCTCACAGCCCTCCCAATGTCCACTTGCAGATTCTAGAAAAAGAGTGTTTCATAGCTGCTCTTTCAGAAGGAAAGTTCAACTCTGGAAGTTGAATACAAACATCACCAAGGAGTTCCTGAGAATGCTTCTGTGTAATTTTTATGTGAAGATGATTCTGTTTCCAACGAAACCTTCAAAGAGGTCTGCATGTCCCCTTGCAGATTCCAGAGAAAGAGAGTTTCAAAACTGCGCTCTCAAAAGGAGTGTTCAACTCTGTGAGTTGAATGCAGTCATCACAGAAAAGTTTCTGAGAATGCTTCTGTCTAGATGTTATGTGAAGATATACCCGTTTCGAACGAAGTTCACAGAGTGGTCCCAATATCCACTTGTAGATCCTGCAAAAAGAGTGTTTCCAACCTGAACTTTCAAAGGAAGGTTCAATTCTGGGATTTGAATGCAAACATCACAAGAAGATTCTGAGACTGCTTCTGTTTACTTTGCTGAAATTATCCCGTTTGCAACGAATTCCTCAGACAGGTCCAAATACCCACTTGCAGATTCTACAGAAAGTGTGTTTTGAAACTACTCCATCCCAAGGAAAGTACTGCTCTGTGAGTTCAACTCAATCATCCCAGAGAATTTTCTGAGAAAGCTTCTGTCTTGTTTTTATAGGAAGTTATTTCCTTTACTACGATAGGCCTCAAAGAAGTGCAGTTATCCTCTTGCAGTTTCTACAAAAAGAGTGTTTCAAACCTGAACTATCAAAGAAAGGTTCAACACTGTGGGTTGAATGCAAACGTCACGAAGAAGGTTCTGAGAATGCTTCTGTTTAGTTCTGTGCTGTTTATCCCGTTTCCAAGGAAATCCTCAGAGAGACCCAAGTATCCGCTTGCAGATCCTACAGATAGTGTGTTTCCAAACTGCTCCATCCAAAGGAATGTTCAGCCCTGTGAGTTAAACTCAGTCGTCACAAAGAGTTTTCTGAGAATGCTGCTGTCTAGTTTTTATATGAAGCTGTTTCCTTTACTACCATAGGCCTCAAAGCGGTCCATATCTCCACTTGCAGATTCTACACGAGAGCTTCCAAAGTGCTCTCTGAAAGGGAATGTTCACCTCTGTGACTTGAATGCAATCGTCACAAAGTAGTTTCTGAGAATGCATCTATCTAGTTCTTACGGGAAGATAATTCCTTTTCCACCACAGGCCTCAAAGCCCTCCAAATATCCACTTGCAGATTCTAGAAAAAGAGTGTTTCAAAGCTTCTCTCTCAAAAGGAAAGTTCAACTCTGTGAGTTGAAAGCAAACATCACAAAGAAGTTTCTGAGAATGCTTCTGTTTAGCTTTTCTGTGAAGATTATTCCGTTTCCAAAGAAATCTTCAAAGAGGCCCAAACATCCACTTGCAGATGCCACAGAAAGAGTGTTTGGAAACTGCTGTTTGAAAAGGAACCTTCAACTCTGTGAGTTGAATGCAGTCATCACAAACAAGTTTCTGACAATGCTTCTCTCTAGTTTTTACGTGACGATAATTCGTTTTCCACCACAGGCCTGAAATCTCTCCAAATGTCCACTTGCAGACCCTACGAAAAGCGTGTTTCTCATCTGCTCTATGAAAAGCAACGTGAAACTCTGTGAGTTGAACACAAACATCACAGAGAAGTTTCTGAGAATGCTTCTGTTTAGTTTTTATGTGAAGATATTCCCGTTTCCAAAGACAACTTCAAAGAGTACCACATATCCACTTGCAGATTCCACAAAAAGAGAGATTCAAAACTGCACTATCCATAGGAGGGTTCAAAGCTTTGAGTTGAATGCAATCATCCCAGAGAAGTTTCTGAGAAGGCTTCTGTCTAGATTTTATTTGAAGATGTACCCGTTTCGAACGAAGGCCAAAGAGTGGTCCAAATATCCACTTGCAGATCCTACAAAAAGGGTGTTTCAAAGCTGAACTATCAAAGGAAGGTTCAACTCTGGGATTTGAATGCAAACATCACAAAGAATTTTGTGAGAATGCTTCCGTTTAGTTAGGTGCAGTTATCCCGTTTCCAACGAAATCCTCAGAGAGGTCCAAATATCCACTCGCAGATTCTACAGAAAGTGTGTTTCAAACCTTCTCCATCCAAAGGAATGTTCAGCTCTGTGTGTTAATCTCAATCATCACAAAGTATTTTCTGAGAATGCTTCTGTCTAGATTTTATGTGAAGCTCTTCCCTTTACTACCATAGGCCTCAAAGCGCTCCAAATCTCCACTAGCAGATTCTACAACAAGAGTGTTTCCAAACTGCTCTGTCAATAGGAATGCTCCACTCCGTGAGGTGAATGCAATCATCACAAAGTAGTTTCTGAGAAGCCTTCTATCTAGTATTTATGTGGAGATATTTCCATTTCCACCACAAACCTCACAGCCCTCCCAATGTCCACTTGCAGATTCTAGAAAAAGAGTGTTTCATAGCTGCTCTTTCCGAAGGAAAGTTCAACTCTGGAAGTTGAATACAAACATCACCAAGGAGTTCCTGAGAATGCTTCTGTGTAATTTTTATGTGAAGATGATTCCGTTTCCAACGAAACCTTCAAAGAGTTCTGCATGTCCCCTTGCAGATTCCAGAGAAAGAGAGTTTCAAAACTGCGCTCTCAAAAGGAGTGTTCAACTCTGTGAGTTGAATGCAGTCATCACAGAAAAGTTTCTGTGAATGCTTCTGTCTTGATGTTATGTGAAGATATACCCGTTTCGATCGAAGTCCACAGAGTGGTCCGAATATCCACTTGTAGATCCTTCAAAAAGAGTGTTTCAAACCTGAACTTTCAAAGGAAGGTTCAATTCTGGGATTTGAATGCAAACATCACAAGAAGATTCTGAGACTGCTTCTGTTTACTTAGCTGAAATTATCCCGTTTGCAACGAATTCCTCAGACAGGTCCAAATATCCACTTGCAGATTCTACAGAAAGTGTGTTTCGAAACTACTCCATCCCAAGGAAAGTACTGCTCTGTGAGTTTAACTCAATCATCCCAGAGAATTTTCTGAGAAAGCTTCTGTCTTGTTTTTATAGGAAGTTATTCCCTTTACTACGATAGGCCTCAAAGAAGTGCAGTTATCCACTTGCAGTTTCTACAAAAAGAGTGTTTCAAACCTGAACTATCAAAGAAAGGTTCAACACTGTGGGTTGAATGCAAACGTCACGAAGAAGGTTCTGAGAATGCTTCTGTTTAGTTCTGTGCGGTTTATCCCGTTTCCAACGAAATCCTCAGAGAGGCCCAAGTATCCGCTTGCAGATCCTACAGATAGTGTGTTTCCAAACTGCTCCATCCAAAGGAATGTTCAGCCCTGTGAGTTAAACTCAGTCGTCACAAAGAATTTCCTGAGAATGCTGCTGTCTAGTTTTTATATGAAGCTGTTTCCTTTACTACCATAGGCCTCAAAGCGGTCCATATCTCCACTTGCAGATTCTACACAAGGAGAGTTTCCAAAGTGCTCTGTGAAAGGGAATGTTCACCTCTGTGACTTGAATGCAATCGTCACAAAGTAGTTTCTGAGAATGCATCTATCTAGTTCTTACGGGAAGATAATTCCTTTTCCACCACAGGCCTCAAAGCCCTCCAAATATCCACTTGCAGATTCTAGAAAAAGAGTGTTTCAAAGCTTCTCTCTCAAAAGGAAAGTTCAACTCTGTGAGTTGAAAGCAAACATCACAAAGAAGTTTCTGAGAATGCTTCTGTTTAGCTTTTCTGTGAAGATTATCCCGTTTCCAACGAAATCTTCAAAGAGGCCCAAACATCCACTTGCAGATGCCACAGAAAGAGTGTTTGGAAACTGCTGTTTGAAAAGGAACCTTCAACTCTGTGAGTTGAATGCAGTCATCACAAACAAGTTTCTGACAATGCTTCCCTCTAGTTTTTACTTGACGATAATTCGTTTTCCACCACAGGCCTGAAATCTCTCCAAATGTCCACTTGCAGACCCTACGAAAAGAATGTTTCTCATCTGCTCTATGAAAAGCAACGTGAAACTCTGTGATTTGGACACAAACATCACAGAGAAGTTTCTGAGAATGCTTCTGTTTAGTTTTTATGTGAAGATATTCCCATTTCCAAAGACATCTTCAAAGAGGACCACACAACCACTTGCAGATTCCACAAAAAGAGAGATTCAAAACTGCTCTATCCATAGGAAGGTTCAACGCTATGAGTTGAATGCAATCATCACAGAGAAGTTTCTGAGAAGGCTTCTGTCTAGATTTTATTTGAAGATGTACCCGTTTCGAAGGAAGGCCAAATAGTGGTCCAAATATCCACTTGCAGATCCTACAAAAAGAATGTTTCAAAGCTGAACTATCATAGGAAGGTTCAAATCTGGGATTTGAATGCAAACATCACGAAGAAGTTTGTGAGAATGCTTCCGATTAGTTAGGTGCAGTTATCCCGTTTCCAACGAAATCCTCAGAGAGGTCCAAATATCCACTCGCAGATTCTACAGAAAGTGTGTTTCAAACCTGCTCCATCCAAAGGAATGTTCAGCTCTGTGTGTTAAACTCAATCATCACAAAGTATTTTCTGAGAATGCTTCTGTCTAGATTTTATGTGAAGCTCCTCCATTTACTACCATAGGCCTCAAAGCGCTCCAATTCTCCACTAGCAGATTCTACAACAAGGGTGTTTCCAAACTGCTCTGTCAATAGGAATTCTCCACTCCGTGAGGTGAATGCAATCATCACAACATAGTTTCTGAGAAGGCTTCTATCTAGTATTTACGTGGAGATATTTCCTTTTCCACCACAAACCTCACAGCCCTCCCAATGTCCACTTGCAGATTCTAGAAAAAGAGTGTTTCATAGCTGCTCTTTCCGAAGGAAAGTTCAACTCTGGAAGTTGAATACAAACATCACCAAGGAGTTCCTGAGAATGCTTCTGTGTAAATTTTATGTGAAGACGATTCCGTTTCCAACGAAACCTTCAAAGAGGTCTGCATGTCCCCTTGCAGATTCCAGAGAAAGAGAGTTTCAAAACTGCGCTCTCAAAAGGAGTGTTCAACTCTGTGAGTTGAATGCAGTCATCACAGAAAAGTTTCTGAGAATGCTTCTGTGTAGATGTTATGTGAAGATATACCCGTTTCGAACGAAGTCCACAGAGTGGTCCGAATATCCACTTGTAGATTCTGCAAAAAGAGTGTTTCAAACCTGAACTTTCAAAGGAAGGTTCAATTCTGGGATTTGAATGCAAACATCACAAGAAGATTCTGAGACTGCTTCTGTTTCCTTAGCTGAAATTATCCCGTTTGCAACGAATTCCTCAGACAGGTCCAAATATCCACTTGCAGATTCTACAGAAAGTGTGTTTCGAAACTACTCCATCCCAAGGAAAGTACTGCTCTGTGAGTTCAACTCAATCATCCCAGAGAATTTTCTGAGAAAGCTTCTGTCTTGTTTTTATAGGAAGTTATTTCCTTTACTACGATAGGCCTCAAAGAAGTGCAGTTATCCACTTGCAGTTTCTACAAAAAGAGTGTTTCAAACCTGAACTATCAAAGAAAGGTTCAACACTGTGGGTTGAATGCAAACGTCACGAAGAAGGTTCTGAGAATGCTTCTGTTTAGTTCTGTGCGGTTTATCCCGTTTCCAACAAAATCCTCAGAGAGGCCCAAGTATCCGCTTGCAGATCCTACAGATAGTGTGTTTCCAAACTGCTCCATCCAAAGGAATGTTCAGCCCTGTGAGTTAAACTCAGTCGTCACAAAGAGTTTTCTGAGAATGCTGCTGTCTAGTTTTTATATGAAGCTGTTTCCTTTACTACCATAGGCCTCAAAGCGGTCCATATCTCCACTTGCAGATTCTACACAACGAGAGTTTCCAAAGTGCTCTCTGAAAGGGAATGTTCACCTCTGTGACTTGAATGCAATCGTCACAAAGTAGTTTCTGAGAATGCATCTATCTAGTTCTTACGGGAAGATAATTCCTTTTCCACCACAGGCCTCAAAGCCCTCCAAATATCCACTTGCAGATTCTAGAAAAAGAGTGTTTCAAAGCTTCTCTCTCAAAAGGAAAGTTCAACTCTGTGAGTTGAAAGCAAACATCACAAAGAAGTTTCTGAGAATGCTTCTGTTTAGCTTTTCTGTGAAGATTATCCCGTTTCCAACGAAATCTTCAAAGAGGCCCAATCATCCACTTGCAGATGCCACAGAAAGAGTGTTTGGAAACTGCTGTTTGAAAAGGAACCTTCAACTCTGTGAGTTGAATGCAGTCATCACAAACAAGTTTCTGACAATGCTTCCCTCTAGTTTTTACTTGACGATAATTCGTTTTCCACCACAGGCCTGAAATCTCTCCAAATGTCCACTTGCAGACCCTACGAAAAGAATGTTTCTCATCTGCTCTATGAAAAGCAACGTGAAACTCTGTGATTTGGACACAAACATCACAGAGAAGTTTCTGAGAATGCTTCTGTTTAGTTTTTATGTGAAGATATTCCCGTTTCCAAAGACATCTTCAAAGAGGACCACACAACCACTTGCAGATTCCACAAAAAGAGAGATTCAAAACTGCTCTATCCATAGGAGGGTTCAACGCTTTGATTTGAATGCAATCATCACAGAGAAGTTTCTGAGAAGGCTTCTGTCTAGATTTTATTTGAAGATGTACCCGTTTCGAACGAAGGCCAAAGAGTGGTCCAACTATCCACTTGCAGATCCTACAAAAAGGGTGTTTCAAAGCTGAACTATCAAAGGAAGGTTCAACTCTGGGATTTGAATGCAAACATCACAAAGAATTTTGTGAGAATGCTTCCGTTTAGTTAGGTGCAGTTATCCCGTTTCCAACGAAATCCTCAGAGAGGTCCAAATATCCACTCGCAGATTCTACAGAAAGTGTGTTTCAAACCTTCTCCATCCAAAGGAATGTTCAGCTCTGTGTGTTAAACTCAATCATCACAAAGTATTTTCTCAGAATGCTTCTGTCTAGATTTTATGTGAAGCTCTTCCATTTACTACCATAGGCCTCAAAGCGCTCCAAATCTCCACTAGCAGATTCTACAACAAGGGTGTTTCCAAACTGCTCTGTCAATAGGAATGCTCCACTCCGTGAGGTGAATGCAATCATCACAACGTAGTTTCTGAGAAGGCTTCTATCTAGTATTTATGTGATTTAGCTTCCATAGATTCTCAGGAAGCTTCTGTGTAGTTCTTATATGAAGATATTTCCTTTTCCACCATAGGCCTCAAACTGCCTACATATTTCTCTTTGCAGATTCTGCAAAAAGACTGTTTCCAAACTGCTCCATGAAAAGAAATGTTCAAATCTCTGTGATGAATGCATACATCACAAAAAGTTTCTCAGAAAGCTTCTGTCTAGGTTTTATGTGAAGACATTTCCTTTTTCACCATGGGCCACAAAGGGATCACAAATATCCTTATGCAGATTTTAAAAAAGACTGTTTCAAAACTGCTCAATCAAAGGAAAGTTTGAACTCTGTGAGATGAATGCACCCATCACAAAGAAGTTTCTCAGAAAGCCTCTGTCTATTTTTTGTGTGAAGATATTTTCTTTTTCACCATTGGCCTCAAAGCACTCAAAAATGTCCCTTTGCAGATTCTAGAAAAAGACTGTTTCCAAACTGCTCAATCGAAACAAAGGTTCAACTCTGAGATGAATTCACACATCACAAAGAAGTTTCTTGGAATGCTACTGTCTAGTTTTTATGTGAAGATACTTCATTTTTCACCATGAGCATAAAAGCGTTCTCAAATATCACTTTACAGATTCTGCAAAAAGACTGTTTCCAAACTGCTCAATCAAAACAAAGGTTCAACTCAGTGTGGTGAATGCACACATCACAAGGAAGATTCTCAGAAACCTACTGTCTAGTTCTTATATGAAGATATTTACTTTTTCAAAATTAGCCTATAACTGCCTGCATATATCTCTCTGCAGATACTACAAAAACACTGTTTCCAAACTGCTCAACAAAAGAATGGTTCAACTCTGTGAGATGAATGTACACATCACAAAGTAGTTTCCTAGAAAGGGTCTGTCTAGATTTTATTTGTCAATATTTCCTTTTTCAACATCGGCATCAAACAGCTCACAAAAATCCTTTTGCAGAATTTACAAAGAGACTTTTTACAAACTGCTCAAAAAAAAGAAAGGTTCAGCTTTGTGAGATGAAAGCACACATCACAAAGAAGTTCCTCAGAAAGCTTCTGTCTAGTTTTTATATGAAGATATTTCCCTTTTCACCATATGCCTCAAACCCCTACAAATATCCCTTGGCAGATTCTACAAAAAGACTGTTTCATAACTGCTCAATCAAAAGAAAGGTTGAACTCTTTTAGATGAATGCACACATTATAAAGAAGTTTCTCTGAAAGCTTCTGTCTAGGTTTTATATGAAGATATTTCCTGTTTCACCCTAGGCCTTAAAGCGCTCACAAATGTCCCTATGCAGATTGTACAAAAAGTCTGTTTCCAAACTGCTCAATCAAACGAACTGTTCAAATCTGAGAGAGAAATGCAAATATCACAAAGAAGTTTCTCAGAAACTTCTGTCTAGTTTTTATGTGAACATATTTCCTTTCTCACCATAGGCCTCATACCGCTCACAAATATCCCTTTTCAGATTCTCCAAAAACACTGTTTACAAACTGCTCAATCAAAAGAAAGGCTCATCTGTGTGTGATCAATTCACACAACACAGGGAAGATTCTCAGAAAGGTTGTGTCTAGTTTTCATATGAAGTTATTTCCTATTTCACCATCAACCTCAAATCGCCTACATATTTCCCTTTGCAGAATCTACAAAAAGATGGTTTGCAAACTGCTCAATCAAAAGAAACATTCAACTCTGCAAGGTGAATGCACACATCACGAAGAAGTTCTCAGAAAACTTCTCTCTAGGTTTTATATGAAAATGTTTCCTTTTCACAGTAGTCCTCAAAGTGCTCACAAATGTACCTTTGCAGATTGTACAAAAAGACTGTTTCCAAACTGCTCAATCAAAAGAAAGGTTGAATCCTGTGAGATGAATGCACACATCACACAGAAATTTCTCAGAAGGTTTCTGTTTAGTTTTTATGTGAAGGCATATCCTTTTTCACCATAGGCCACAAAGGTATCACAAATATCCCTTTGCAGATTCTACAAAAACACTGTTCCCAAACTGCTCAATCAAGAGAATGGTTCCACTCTGTGAGACGAATGCACACATCACAAAGAAGTTTCTCAGAAAGCTTCTGTGTGGTTTTTATGTGAATATATTTCATTTCTTGCCAAAGGACTTTAACTGCTAACAAATATCCCTGCACAGAATATACAAAAAGACAATTTCAAAAGTGCTCAATCTAAGGAAAGATTCAGCTCTGTGATATGAATGCACACATCACAAAGAAGTTTCTCAGGAATCTTCTGTCTAGTTTTTATTTGCAGATATTTCCTTTTTCACCATAGGCCTCAGAGGGCTTACTTGTATCCATCTGTGGATTCTACAAAAACAGTGTTTCCAAACTGATTAATCATAAGAAAGTTTCAACTCTGTGAGATGAATGTACACATCATAAGGAAGTTTCTTAGAAGGCCTCCGTCTAGTTTTTATGTGAAGATATTTCCTTTCTCAGAGTAGGCCTCAAATCCCACCAAATATCCTTTTGCAGATTCTACAAAAAAACTGTTTCCAAACTGCTTGATCAAAAGAAAAGTTCAACTCCATGAAATGAATGCACACATCCCAAAGATATTTCTCTGAAAGCTTCTGTCTAGTTTTTATATGAAGATATTTCCTTTTTCATCATAGGCATCAAATGGCTCACAAATATCTCTCTGAAGATTCTACAAAAAGACTGTTTCCAAACTCCTCAATCAAAACAAAGTTTCAACTCTGTGAGATGAATGCACGCATCACAAAGAAGTTTCTCAGAAAGCTTCCACGTAGTTTTTAGGTGAATATATTTCCTTTTTCACCATAGGCCTCAAAGCGCTCAAAAACATTACTTTGCAGCTTCTACAAAAAGACTATTTCCAAACTGCTCAATCAAAAGAAAGTTGCAAGTCTGTGAGATGAATGCACACATCACAAAGTAGTTTCTCAGAAAGCTTCTTTCTAGTTTTCTTTTTTTTTTTCATTTTTCTTTTTTTTTCTTTTTTTTTTATTGATCATTCTTGGGTGTTTCTCACAGAGGGGGATTTGGCAGGGTCATAGGACAATAGTGGAGGGAAGGTCAGCAGATAAACAAGTGAACAAAGGCCTCTGGTTTTCCTAGGCAGAGGACCCTGCGGCCTTCCACAGTGTTTGTGTCCCTGGGTACTTGAGATTAGGGAGTGGTGATGACTCTTATGGAGCATGCTGCCTTCAAGTATCTGTTTAACAAAGCACATCTTGCACCACCCTTAATCCATTTAACCCTGAGTGGACACAGCACATGTTTCAGAGAGCACAGGGTTGGGGGTAAGGTCACAGATCAACAGGATCCCAATGCAGAAGAATTTTCCTTAGTACAGAACAAAATGAAAAGTCTCCCATGTCTACTTCTTTCTACACAGACATGGCAACCATCCGATTTCTCAGTCTTTTCCCCACCTTTCCCCCCTTTCTATTCCACAAAACCGCCATTGTCATCATGGCCCGTTCTCAATGAGCTGTTGGGTACACCTCCCAGATGGGGTGGTGGCCGGGCAGAGGGGCTCCTCACTTCCCAGTAGGAGCGGCCGGGCAGAGGCGCCCCTCACCTCCTGGATGGGGCGGCTGGCCGGGTGGGGGGCTGACCCCCCACCTCCCTCCCGGACGGGGCGGCTGGCCGGGTGGGGGCTGACCCCCCACCTCCCTCCCGGACGGGGCGGCTGGCCGGGCCGGGGGCTGACCCCCCCACCTCCCTCCCGGATGAGGCGGCTGGCGGGGCGGGGGGCTGACCCCCCCCACCTCCCTCCCGGGCGGGGTGGCTGCCGGGCGGAGATGCTCCTCACTTCCCAGATGGGGCAGCTGCCAGGCGGAGGGGCTGTTCACTTCTCAGATGGGGCGGCTGCTGGGCGGAGGGGCTCCTCACTTCTCAGACGGGGCGGTTGCCAGGCAGAGGGTCTCCTCACTTCTCAGATGGGGCGGCCGGGCAAAGATGCTCCTCACCTCCCAGACGGGGTCACGGCCGGGCAGAGGGGCTCCTCACATCCCAGAAGGGGCAGCGGGGCAGAGGCGCTCCCCACATCTCAGACGATGGGCGGCCGGGCAGAGACGCTCCTCACTTCCTAGATGGGGATGGCGGCCGGGAAGAGGCGCTCCTCGCTTCCTAGATGGGATGGCGGCCGGGCAGAGACGCCCCTCACTTTCCAGACTGGGCAGCCAGGCAGAGGGGCTCCTCACATCCCAGACGATGGGCGGCCAGGCAGAGACACTCCTCACTTCCCAGACGGGGTGGCGGCCAGGCAGAGGCTGCAGTCTCGGCACTTTGGGAGGCCAAGGCAGGCGGCTGGGAGGTGGAGGTTGTAGCGAGCCGAGATCACGCCACTGCACTCCAGCCTGGGCACCACTGAGCACTGAGTGAATGAGATTCCGTCTGCAATCCCGGCACCTAGGGAGGCCGAGGCTGGCGGATCACTCGTGGTTAGGAGCTGGAGACCGGCCCAGCCAACACAGCGAAACCCCGTCTCCACCAAAAAAATGCAAAAACCAGTCAGGCGTGGTGGCGCGTGCCTGCAATGGCAGGCACTTGGCAGGCTGAGGCAGGAGAATCAGGCAGGGAGGTTGCAGTGAGCCGAGATGGCAGCAGTACAGTCCAGCTTTGGCTCGGCATCAGAGGGAGACCATGGAAAGAGAGGGAGAGGGAGACTGTGGGGAGAGGGAGAGGGAGAGAGAGAGGGAGAGAGCTTCTTTCTAGTTTTCATGTGAAGATAATTCTCTTTTCACCATAGGCATCAAAGAGCTCAAATATCCATTTGAAGATTCTTCAAAAAGACTGTTTTTAAACTGTTCAATCAAAAGAAAGTTTCAACTCTGTGAGATGAATGCACACATCACAAAGAAGTTTCCCAGAAAGCTTCTGTCTAGTTTTGATGTGAAGATATTTCCTTTTCACCATAGGCCTCAAAGGGCTCACATTTATCTCTTTACAGATTCTACAAAAAGACTGTTTCAAAACTGCTCGATCAAAAAAAGGTTCAAATGTGTGAGATGAATGCACACATCACAAAGAATTTTCTCAGAAAGCTTCTGTCTACTTTTTATGTGGAGATATTTCCTTTTTCACCAAAGGCTTCAAATCGCTCCAAATATCCCTTTGCAGATTCTACAAAAAGACTGCTTCCAACCTGCTAAATCAAAAGA
This sequence comes from Homo sapiens, assembly GCF_000001405.40. Taxonomy (NCBI): domain Eukaryota; kingdom Metazoa; phylum Chordata; class Mammalia; order Primates; family Hominidae; genus Homo; species Homo sapiens. The sequence continues at coordinate 22,740,021 of NC_000017.11, read as the reverse complement.
AAGTTTCAAGTCTGTGAGATGAATGCCCACATCACAAGGAGTTTCTCAGAAAGCTTCTCTCTAGTTTCTATGTGACGATAATTCCTTTTTCAACATAGGCCTCAAACCACTCAAAATATCCCTTTGCAGATTCTACAAAAAGACTGTTTCCAAACTGCTAAATCAAAAGAAAATTTCAGCCCTGTGGGATGAATGCACACATCATAAAGAAGTTCCTCAGAAATCTTCCATCTGGTTTTTATGTGAGGATGTTATCTTTTTCACCATAGACCTCAAAGCGTACCAAATATCCTTTTGCAGATTCCACAAAAAGACTGTTTCCAAACTGCTCAATCAAAAGAAAGTTTCAACTCTGTGAGATGAATCCACACATCACAAAGAAGTTTCTCAAAAAGCTTCCATCTAATTGTTATGTGAAGATATTTCCTTTTTCACCACAGGCCTCAAAGTTCTCCAAATATCCCTTTACAGATTTTACAAAAAAAACTGTTTCTAAACTGCTCAATCAAAAGAAAGGTTCAACTCTGTGAGATGAATGCAGCCATCACAAAGAATTTTCTCATTAAGCTTCTGTCTAGTTTTTATGTGAAGATATTTTCTTCTTCACCAAAGACCTCAAAGCACTCCAAATATCCTTTCGTAGATTCTACAAAAGACTCTTTCCCAATGGTTCAATCAAAAGTAAGGTTCAACTATTTGAGATGAAAGCACACATCACAAAGAAGTTTCTCAGAAATCTTCTGCCTAGTTTTTATGTGAAGATATATCCTTTTTCAAAATAGGCCTCAAACTGCTCTCCAATATCCCTTGGCAGATTCTTCAAAAAGACTGTTCCCATACTGCTCAAAGGAAAGGTTCAACTCTTTGAGAAAAATGAACACATCACAACGAAGTTTCTCAGAAAGCTTCTGTCTAGCTTACATGTGAAGATATTTCCTTTTTCACCATAGCCCTCAGGGTGCTCCAAATATCATTTTACCAATTCTACAAAAAGACTGTTTCCGAACTGATCAATCAAAGGAAATGTTCAACTCTGTGAGATTAATGCATACATACATAGAATTTTCTGAAAAACCTCTATCTAGTTTTAATATGAATATATTTCCTTTTTCACCACAGGCATCAAAGCGCTCCAAATATCCCTTGGCAGATTTTACAAAAAGATTGTTTCCAAACTACTCAATCAAAAGAAATGTTCAACTCTGTGAGATGAATGCACACATTACAGAAAAGTTTCTCAAAAATCTTTTGTCTATTTTTAAGGTGAAGACATTTCCTTTTTCAACATAGGCCTCAAACCATTCATGAATATTCCTTTGCAGATTCCACAAAAAGATTGTTTCTGATCTGCTCTATCAAAAGAAAGATTCAACTGTGTGAGATGAATGAATACATCACAAGGAAGTTTCTCAGAATGCTTCTTTCATGTTTTTATGTAAAGATATTTCTTTTTTCACCATAGGCCTCAAAGGGCTCACAAATATCCTTTTGCAGATTCTACAAAAAGACTGTTTCAAAATTGCTCAATGAACAGAAAGATTCAACTCTGTGAGATGAATACACACATCACAAAGAAGTTTCTCTGAAAGCTTCTGTCTAGTTTTGACGTGAAGATATTTCCTTTTTCACCATAAGCCTCAAAGGGCTTATGCATATCCCTTTACAGATTCTATAAAAATACTCTTTCCAAACTGCTCAATCAAAAGAAAAGTTCAACTCCATGAGATGAATGCAAACATCACAAAGAAGTTTCTCAGAAAACACCTGTCTAGTTTTCATGTGAAGATATTTCCTTTTTCACCTCAGGCCTAAAAGCTATCCCAATATCACGCTGCAGATTCTACAAAAAGACTGTTTCCATACTGTTCAATCAGAAAGCAGGTTTAGCTCTGTGAGATGAATGCACAGATCACAAGGAAGTTTCTCAGAAATCTTCTGTCTAGTTTTTATGTGAAGATATTTCCTTTTTCACCAAAGGCCTCAAAGGGCTCACAAATATCCCTGTGCAGATACTACAAAAAGACTCTTTCCAAACTGCTAAATGAACAGAAAGGTTCAACCCTGTGAGGTGAGTGCACAGATCACAAGGAAGTTTCTCAGAAAACTTCTCTCTAGTTTTTATGTGAAGATGTTTCCTTTTTCACCACAGGCCTCAAAGAGCTCACAACTATCCCTTTGCAGATTATACAAAAAGACAGTTTCCAAATTGCTCAATGAACAGAAAGATTTAACACTGTGAGATGAATGCACACATCACAAAGAAGTTTCTCAGATAGCGTCTGTCTAGTTTTTATGTAAACATATTTCCTTTTTCACCATAGGCCTAAAAGTGGTTCAAATATCACTTGGCAGATTCTACAAAAAGACTGTTTCCAAACTTCTCAATGAAAAGAAAGGTTGACCTCTATGAGATGAATGCAGACATCACAAAGAAGTTGCTCAAAAAGCTTCTGTCTAGTGTTTATGTGAAGATATTTCCTTTTTCACCATAGGCCTGAAAGTGCTCATATATCCCTGTACAGATTCTACATAAAGACTGTGTCCAAACTGCTCAACCAAAAGGAAGATTCAAATCTCTGAGATGAAAGCACACATCACAAAGAAGTTTCTCAGAAAACTTCTCTTTAGTTTTTATGTGAAGAAATTTCCATTTTCACCATAGGCCTCAAAGCGCTCACAAATATCCTTTGCAGATTCTAGAAAAAGACTGTTTCCAAACTGCTCAATCAAAACAAAGGTTCAACTCTGTGAGATGAATTCACACATCACAAAGAAGTTTCTCGGAATGCTACTGTCTAGTTTTTATGTGAAGATACTTCATTTTTCACCATGAGCATAAAAGCGTTCTCAAATATCACTTTACAGATTCTGCAAAAAGACTGTTTCCAAACTGCTCAATCAAAACAAAGGTTCAACTCAGTATGATGAATGCACACATCACAAGGAAGATTCTCAGAAACCTACTGTCTAGTTCTTATATGAAGATATTTACTTTTTCAGAATTAGCCTATAACTGCCTGCATATATCTCTCTGCAGATACTACAAAAACACTGTTTCCACAACTGCTCAACAAAAGAATGGTTCAACTCTGTGAGATGAATGCACACATCCCAAAGTAGTTTCCTAGAAAGGGTCTGTCTAGATTTTATTTGTCAATATTTCCTTTTTCAACATCGGCATCAAACAGCTCACAAAAATCCTTTTGCAGAATTTACAAAAAGACTTTTTACAAACTGCTCAATAAAAAGAAAGGTTCAGCTTTGTGAGATGAAAGCACACATCACAAAGAAGTTCCTCAGAAAGCTTCTGTCTAGTTTTTATGTAAAGATATTTCCTTTTTCACCATGGCCTCAAAGCACTCCAAATATCCCTTGGCAGATTCTACAAAAAGATTGTTTCCAAACTGTTCAATCAAAGAAAACATTCAACTCTCTGAGATGAATGGAAAAATCACAAAGAAATTTCTCAGAAATCTTCTGTCTAGTTTTTATGTGAAGATATTTCCTTTTACATCATAGGCCTCAAAGCACTCCAAATATCCCTTGGCAGATTCTATAAAAAGACTTTTCCAAACTGTTCAATCAAAAGAAAAGTTTAATTCTGTGAGATGAATCCACGCATTACAAAGAAGTTTCTCAGAAAGCTTTTGTCTAGTTTTTATGTGAAGATATATCCTTTTTCACCCTAGGGCTCAAAATGCTCACAAGTATCCCTTTGCAGACTCTACAAAAAGACTGTTTCCAAAGTGCTCAATCAAAAGAATGGTTAAACTGAGTGAGATGAATGCACAGATCACAAAGAAGTTTCTCAGAAATCTTCTGTCTAGTTTTATGTGCAGATATTTCCTTTTTTACCATGAGCCTCAAAGTGCTCACATATATCCCTTTACAGATTCTACAAAAAGACTGTTACAAAACTGCTCAATCAATAGAAATGTTCAACACTGTGAGATGAATGCACACATCACAAGGAAGTTTCTCAGAAAGGTTCTCTGTAATTTTTATGTGAAGATATTTCCTTTTTCACCATAGGTCTCAATGCGCTCCAAACATCCCTTTGCAGATTCTGCAAAAAGACTGTGTCTAAACTGCTCAATCAAAAGAATGGTTCAAATCTGTGAGATGAATGCACACATCACAAAGTGGTTCCTCAGAAAACTTCCGTCTACTTTTTAGGTGAAGATATTTCGTTTTACACCATAGGCCTCAAAGTGTGCCAAATATCCTTTTGCATATTCTACAAAAAGACTGTCGCCAAACTGCTCGATCAAAAGAAACGTTCAACTCTGTGAGATGAATGCACACATCATAAGGAAGTTTTTCTGAAAGCTTCTGTCTAAATTTTATGTGAAGATATTTCCATTTTCACCATAGTCCTCAAAGTGCTCCAAATATTCCTTTGCAGATTCTACAAAAAGACTGTTGTCAACTGCTCCGTGAAAGGAAGGTTCAACTCTGTGAGATGAATGCACACATCAGAAAGAAGTTTTTCAGAAAGCCTCTGTCTAGTTTTTATATGTAGATGTTTCCTTTTTCACCATAGGCCTCAATGCGCTCCAAATATCCCTTGGCAGATTCTACAATAAGAGTGTTTGCAAAATGTTCAATCAAAAGAAATGTTCGAATATGTGAGATGAATGTACACATTACCAAGAAGTTTCTGAGAAATCTTTGGTCTAGTTTTTATGTGAAGATATTTCCTTTTTCACCATAGGCCTCAGACCACTCACAAATATCCATGTGCAGATTCTACAAAAAGACTGTATCCAAACTGCTCAATCAAAAGAAAGTTTCAACTCTCTGACATGATTGCAGAGATCACAAAGAAGTTTCTCAGAAAGATTTTGTTTAGTTTTTATGTGAAAATATTTCCTTTTTCAACATAAGCCTCAATGCACTCCATATATCCCCTGGCAGATTCTACATAAAGAGATTTTCCATATTGATCAATCAAAGGAAAATTTCTCCTCTGTGAGATGAATCCACGCATCACAAAGAAGTTTCTCAGAAAGCTTCTGGCTAGAAGTTATGTGAAGATATTTCCTGTTGCACCAGAGGCCTCAAACGACTCAGAAATATCCCTTTGCAGATTCTACAAAAAGACTGTTTACATACTGCTCAATTAAAAGAAATGTACAACTCTGTGAGATGAATAGAGCTATCACAAAGAAGTTTCACAGAAAGATTCTGTCTAGATTTATTTGAAGATATTTCCCTTTTCACCATAGGCCTCAAAGTATTCAAAATATACATTTGCAGGTTCTACAAAAAGTCTGTTATCAGACTGCTCAATTCAAAGAAGGCTTCTAATCTGTGAGATGTATCCACACATCAAAAAGCAGTTTCTCAGAAAGCTTCTGTCTATTTTTAATGTAAAGATATTTCTTTTTCACCACAGGTCTCAAACTGCTCACAAATATCCCTCAGCAGATTCTTCAAAAAGACTGTTTCCACACTTCTCAATCAAAGGAAATGTTCAGCTCTGTGCGATGAATGGACACATCACAAAGAAGTTTCTCAGAATGTTTCTGTCTTGTTTTTATTTGAAGATATTTCCTTTTTCACCCCAGGCCTCAAGAGGCTCACATATATCCCATTACAGATACTACAAAAGGACTGTTTCCAAACTGCTCAATCAAAAGGAAGGTTTTGCTCTGTGAGATGAATGCACAGATCACAAAGAAGTTTCTCAGAAAGCTTTTGTCTAGTTTTTATGTGAAGATACTTCGTTTTTCAAGATAGGTCTCATAGCAATCCAAATATCTCTTTGCAGATTCTACAAAAAGACTGTTTCCAAACTGATCAATCAAAAGAAAGGTTCACCTCTGTGAGATGAATGCACACATAACAAGGAAGTTTCCCAGAAAGCTTCTGTCTAGTTTTTATATGAAGAAATTTCATTTTTCACCACAGGCCTCAAAGCACTCAGAAATATCCCTCTGCAGGATCTACAAAAAGGCTGCTTCCAAACTGCTGAATCAAAAGAAAAGTTCAACTGGGTGAGAGGAATGTGCAGATCACAAGGAAGTTTCTCAGAAAGCTTCTGTCTAGTTTTCATGTGAAGATCGTGTCTCTGAGATGTATGCACACATCACAAAGAAGTTTCACAGAAAGCTTCTGTATAGTTTTTATGTGGAGATATTTCCTTTTTCACCATAGGCCTCAAAGGACTCCAAATATCCCTTTGCCAATTCTACAAAAGACTCTTTACAAACTGCTCAATCAAAAGAAAGGTTCAGCTCTGTGAGATGAATGCACACATCACAAACAAGTTTCTCAGAAAGCTTCCATCTACTTTCTTGTGAAGATATTTCCTTTCTCACCATAGGCCTCAAAGTGCGGCAAATATCAATTTACAGATTCTACAAAAAGACTGTTGCCAACCTGCTCAATCAAAAGAAGGTTCAACTCTGTGAGATGAATGCAGACACCATAGAGAAGTTTCTCAGAAACGTTCAGTCTAGTTGTTATGTGAACATATTTCGTTTTTACCACAGGCCTCAAAGAGTGGCAAATATCAATTTGCAGATTCTAGAAACGACTGCTTCCAAACTGTTCAATCAAAAGAAAGGCTCACCTATGTGAGATGAATGCACACATCACAAAGAAGTATCTCAGAGATTTTCCATCTAGCTTTGATGTGAAGATATTTCCTTTTCACTATAGGCCTCAAAGTGCTCACATATATCCCTTTACAGATTCCACAAAAAGACTCTTTGAAAACTGCTCCATCAAAAGAAATTTTCAACTCTGTGAGATGAATGCACACATCACAAAGAGGTTTCTCAGGAACATTCTGTCTAGTTTTTATGTGAAGATATTTCCTTTTTCACCAGATGCCTCATAGCGCTCCATGTATCTCTTTACAGATTCTACAAAAACACTGTTTCCAAACTGCTCAATTCAAAGAAAGCTTCAACTGTGTGAGATGAATGCACACATCACAAAGTAGTTTCTAAGAAAGCTTCTGTCTAGTTTTGATGTGAAGATATTTCCTTCTTCACCAAAGACTTCAAAGTTCTCCAAATATCCCTTTCCAGATTCTACAAAAAGACTGCTTCCAAACTGCTCAAAAAAAGGTTTAAGTCTGTGAGACGAATGTACACATCACAAAGAATTTCTCAGACAGCTTCTGTCTAATTTTTATGTGAAGATATTTCCTTTTTCACCACAGGCCTCAAAGAGTGGCAAATATCAATTTGCAGATTCTACAAAAAGACTGTTTCCAAACTGTTCAATCCAAAGAAAAGTTCAACTCTGTGAGGTGAATGCACACATCACAGAAAAGTTTCTCAGAAAGCTTCTGTCTAGTTTTTATGTGAAGATATTTCCTTTTTCACCATAGACCTCAAACAGCTCAAAACATCCCTTTGCAGATTCTACAAAATGACTGTTTCCAAACTGCTCAATCAAAAGAAAGGTTCAACTCTGGGAGATGAGTGCTCACATCTTAAGTAAGTGTCTTAGAATGCTTCCATCTAGTTTTTATGTGAAGATATTTCCATTTTCACAGTAGGTCTCAAAGCACACCAAATATCCTTTTGCAGATTCTACAAAAAGACAGTTTCCAAACTGCTCAATGAAATGAAAGGTTCAACTCTCTGAGATGAATGCCCACATCACAAAGAAGCTTCTCAGAAAGCTTCTGTCTAGTTTTTATGTGCAGATATTCCCTTTTTCAACTTAGGCCTCAAAGCGCTCCAAATATCCCTTTGCTGATACTACAAAAAGACTGTTTCCAAATTGCTCAATCAAAAGAAAGGTTCAGCCCTGTGAGTTGAATGCACACATAAGAAAAGTTTCTCAGAAAGCTTCCATATACTTTTCATGTGAAGATATTTCCATTTTCACCATAGGACTCAAAGCGTGACAAATACTGAATTGCAGATTTTACAAAAAGACTGTTTCCAAACTGCTCAATCAAAGGAAGGTCCAACTCTGTGAGATGAATGCGCACATCATAAATAAATTTCTCAGAAAGCTTCTGTCTACTTTTTATGTGAAAATATTTCCTTTTTCACCACAGGCCTCAAAGAGCGGCAAATATTGATTTGCAGATTCTACAAAAAGACTGTTTCCAAACTGTTCAATCCAAAGAAAGATTCAACTCTGTGAGATGAATGCACACATCACAGAGAAGTTTCTCATAAAGCTTCTCTCTAATTTACATATGAGGAATTTCCTTTTTCACCATAGGCCTCAAACTGCTTCACAAATATCCCTTTGCACATTCTATAAAAAGACTGCTTCCAAACAGCTCAATTAACAGAAAGGTTCAAGTCTGTGAGATGAATGCACACATCGCAAAGAAGTTCCTCAGAAAGCTTCTAACTAGTCTTTATGTATAGATATTTCCTTTTTCACCATTGGCCTAAATGCAGTCCAATTATCACTTGGCAGATTCTATAAAAAGACTGTTTCCAAACTGCTCAATCAAAAGAAAGGTTCAACTCTCTGAGATGAATGCACACATCACAGAGAAGTTTCTCAGAAAGCTTCCATCTAGTTTTTCTGTGAAGATATTTCCTTTTTCACCATAGATGTCAAAGCACTCACAAATATCCCTTAACAGATTCTACAAAACGACTCTTTCCAAAATGCTCAATCAAAATAAAGTTTCAACTCTGTGAGATGAATGCAGAGTTCACAAACAAGTTTTCCAGAAAGCTTCCATATAGTTTTTATGTGAAGATATTTCTTTTTTCACCATAGACCTCAAAGCACTCCAAAGTATCCCTTTGCAGATTCTACAAAAAGACTGTTTCAAAGCTGCTCTATCAAAAGACAGGTTCAACTCTGTGACATGAATCCACAGCTCACAAAGAAGTTTCTCAGAATGCTTCTGTTTAGTTTTTATGTGAAGATATTTCCTTTTCACCATAGGCCTCAAAGCACTCACAAATATCCATTTGCTAATTCTACAAGGAGACTTTTTCCAAACTGCTCAATGAAAAGGAGCATTTATGTCTGTGAGACAAATGCCCACGTCATAAATCAGTTTCTCAGAAACCTTCTGTCTAGTTTTTATGCGAAGATATTTCCCTTTTCACCGTAGGCCTAGAACTGCTCACTAAAATCCCTTTGCAGATTCTACAAAAAGACTTCTTCAAAACTGCTCAATCAAAAGTAGGGTTCAACTCTGTGAGATGAATGGACATATCACAAAGAAGTTTCTCAGAAGGCTTCTGTCTAGTTTTTATGTGAAGATATTTTCTTTTTCACCATAGGCTTCAAAGGGCTCACAAATATCCCTTTGCAGATTATACAAAAAGACTGTTTCCAAACAGCTCAATGAAAAGAAAGTTTCCAATGTGAGAGATGAATGCACACATCACAAAGAAGTTTCTCAGAAATGTTCAGTATAGTTTTTATGTGAAGATATTTCCTTTTTCACCATAGGCCTCAAAGCCCTCACAAATATCCATTTGCAGATTCCACAAGAACAGAGTTTGCAAACTGCTCAATGAAAAGAAGCATTTACGTCTGTGAGATGAATGCACACATCAAAAATCAGTTTCTCAGAAACCTTCTGTCTAGTTTTTATGTGAAGATATATCCTTTTTCACCAAAGGCCTCCAAGTGCTCAAAAATATCCCTTTGCAGATTCTACAAAGAGACTGCTTCCAAACTGCTCAATGAAAAGAAAGGTTCAACACTGTAAGATGAATGAACACATCCCAAATCAGATTTTGCGAAAACTTCTGTCTAGTTTTTATGTGAACATATTTCCTTTTTCACAATAGGCCTTAAAGCACTCCAAATATCTCTTGGCAGATTCTACGGAAAGACATTTTCCAAACTGCTCAATCAAAAGAAAAGTTCAACTCCGTGAGATGAATGCACACATCTCAAAGGAGTTTCTCAGACAGCTTCTGTCTAGTTTTAATGTGAAGATATTTCCTTTTTCAACATAGGCCTCAAACCTCTCACAAATTTCCTTATGCAGATTCTATAATAAGATTGTTTCCAAACTGCTCAATTGAAAGAAATGCTCAAGTCTGTGTGTGTTGAATGGACACATCACAAAGAAGTTTCCCAGAAAAATTTGTCTACTTTTAAAGTGAAGATACTTTCTATTTCACCATAGTCCCCAAGTGCTCCAAATATCCATTTGCAGATTCTAAAAAAAGACTGTTTCCAAACTACTCAATCAAAAGAAAGTTTCAACCCTCTGAGATGAATGCACACATCACAAAAAAAGAGTCCAGGACCAGATTGATTCACAGCCGAATTCTTCCAGAGGTACAAGGAGGAACTGGTACCATTCCTTCTGAAACTATTCCAATCAATAGAAAAAGAGGGAGTCCTCCCTAACTCATTTTATGATGCCAGCATCATCCTGATACCAAAGCCTGGCAGGGACACAACCAAAAAAGAGAATTTTAGACCAATATCATTCATGAACATTGATGCAAAAATCCTCAGTAAAATACTGGCAAACTGAATCCAGCAGCACATCAAATAGCTTATCCACCATCATCAAGTAGGCTTCATCCCTGGGATGCAAGTCTGTTTCAACACACACAAATCAATAAATGTAATCCAGCACATAAACCGAACCAAAGACAAAAACCTCATGACTATCTCAATAGATGCACAAAAGGCCTTTGAAAAAATTCAACAACTCTTCATGCTAAAAACTCTCAATAAATTAAGTATTGATGGGATGTATCTCAAAATAATAAGAGCTATCTATGACAAACCCACAGCCAATATCATACTGAATGGGCAAAAACTGGAAGCATTCCCTTTGAAAACGGGCACAAGACAGGGATAAACTCTCTCACCACTCCTATTCAACATAGTGTTGGAAGTTCTGGCCAGGGCAATTAGGCAGGAGAAGGAAATAAAGGGTATTCAATTAGGAAAAGAGGAAGTCAAATTGTCCCTGTTTGCAGACGACATGATTGTATATCTAGAAAACCCCATTGTCTCAGCCCAAAATCTCCTTAAGCTGATAAGCAACTTCAGCAAAGACTCAGGATAGAAAATCAATGTGCAAAAATCACGAGCATTCTTATACACCAATAACAGACAAACAGAGAGCCAAATCATGAGTGAACTCCCATTCACAATTGCTTCAAAGAGAATAAAATACCTAGGAATCCAACTTACAAGGGATGTGAAGGACCTCTTCACGGAGAACTACAAACCACTTTCCAATGAAATAAAAGAGGATACAAACAAATGGAAGAACATTCCATACTCATGGGTTGGAAGAATCAATATCATGAAAATGGCCACACTGCCCAACGTAATTTATAGATTCAATGCCATCCCCATCAAGCTACCAATGACTTTCTTCACAGAATTGGAAAAAAACTACTTTAAAGTTCATATGGAACCAAAAAAAGCCTGCATCGCCAAGTCAATCCTAAGCCAAAAGAACAAAGCTGGAGGCATCACCTTACCTGACTTCAAACTATACTACAAGGCTACAGTAACCAAAACAGCATGTTACTGGAACCAAAACAGAGACATAAATCAATGGAACAGAACAGAGCTCTCAGATATAATGCTGCATATCTACAACTATCTGATCTTTGACAAACCTGACAAAAACAAGAAATGGGGAAAGGATTCCCTATTTAACAAATGATGCTGGTAAAACTGGCTGGCCATATGTAGAAAGCTGAAACTGGATCCTTTCCTTACAACTTATACAAAAATTAATTCAAGATGGATTAAAGACTTACATGTTAGACCTAAAACCATAAAAACCCTAGAAGCAAACCTAGACAATACCATTCAGGACATAGGCATGGGCAAGGACTTCATGTCTAAAACACCAAAAGCAATGGCAACAAAAGCCAAAATTGACATATGGGATCTAATTAAACTAAAGAGCTTCTGCACATCAAAAGAAATACCATCAGAGTGAACAGGCAACCTACAAAATGGGAGAAAATTTTCACAACCTACTCATCTGACACAGGGCTAATATCTAGAATCTACAATGAACTCAAACAAATTTACAAGAAAACAAAACCCATCAAAAAGTGGGCAAAGGATATGAACAGACATTTCTCAAAAGAAGACATTTATGTAGCCAAAAGACACATGAAAAAATGCTCATCATCACTGGCCATCAGAGAAATGCAAATCAAAACCACAATTAGATACCATCTCACACCAGTTAGAATGGTGACCATTAAAAAGTCAGGAAACAAAAGGTGCTGGAGAGGATGTGGAGGAATAGGAACACTTTTACACTGTTGGTGGGACTGTAAATTAGTTCAACCATTGTGGAAGTCAGTGTGGCAATTCTTCAGGGATCTAGAATGAGAAATACCATTTGACCCAGCCATCCCATTACTGGGTATATAACCAAAGGACTATAAATCATGCTGCCAAAAAGACACATGCACACATATGTTTATTGTGGCACTATTTACAATAGCAAAGACTTGGATCCAACCCAAATGTCCAACAACAATAGACTGGATTAAGAAAATGTGTCACATATACACCATGGAATACTATGCAGCCATAGAAAATGATGAGTTCATGTCCTTTGTAGGGACATGGATGAAACTGGAAATCATCATTCTCAGCCAACTATCACAAGGACAGAAAAACCAAACACTGCATGTTCTCACTCATAGGTGGGAATTGAACAATGAGAACACATGGACACAGTAAGGGGAACATCACACTCTGGGGACTGTTGTGGGGTGGGGAGAGTGGGGAGGGATAGCATTCGGAGATATACCTAATGCTAAATGATGAGTTAATGGGTGCAGTACACTAACATGGCACATGTACACACATGTAACAAACCTGCACATTGTGCACATGTACCCTAAAACTTAAAGTATAATAATATTACACTTTAATATTTTTATTAAAGTATGGTAATAATATTATACTTTAATATTTTTAAGTATAGTAATAATATTATACTTTAATATTTTTATTAAAGTGTAATAATACTATAATATTTTTATTAAAGTATAATACTTTAATATTTAATGCTAACCCTAAAACTTAAAGTATAATAATAATAAAAGAAAAAAATAAGTACAGCTAAAGTGGAAAACAAAATTATGTTGTGGAACAACATATAAAGTGGAAACAAAATTATGTTAAATTTACATGGCCAATTGCCTTGACTTATTTTGGTAATGACAACTCTACTTACTTTCTTTGAAGATATTATTAAATCATCATTTCTTAGCATAAAAGACTATGATAGAATCAGCGTAAGCCACGTGTCACATTAAAATCCTGTATGATACTTTTCCTAATAATACATTCTTTCATTAGCAGCTCAAAAAGACAGAGTTTACATATTCTACATTGAAGAATATTTACTTCCCTTCCATATTCTGTGTTGGTTTTACAAATATAAATGTTGTTTTCAAATTAATCCCTATGAATTTCAAAAAACAACAAGTATTTTGTTTCACACAATAATTTGATACATTTCACATGACAAAGATAAATTCTCTAACAGCTCTGTAATTGGGACTGACAGAGTCCCAACCAGAATTTTCTGTGTCTGTAAAAGTAGGCAAGCAAGTATCTAGTGTTTCCTGAGGAAGTTACATCAGCTAATTAATTCCCCATGAGTGGAAAAGTAGTATTAAATCCAGTGCCAGAAATAGCAACAAAAGCTCTTATATCTAAGTTTTGCACCACAGCTGCATTCATGCAAATGTATACACACTTTTGTTAAAGGAAAGAGAAAAACGGTTTTTTACAATCTATACAGTTTTCCTTTCTCTTCAACATAGTAAGACTTACTCCATGTTTGTAATACTTTCAGAACTCTTATTAAATAAAGACTGAGAAATTATTTTTAAAAAAAAGCTTCTGTCTAGTTTTAATGTGAGGATATTTCCCTTTTCACCATGGCCTCATACCGCTCACAAATATCTCTTTGCAGATTTTTCAAAAAGACTGTTTTGAAGTTGCTCAATGAAATGAAATTTTCAACTCTTTGTGATGAATGGACACCTCACAAAGAAGTTTCTCAGAAATGTTCTGTCTAGTTTTTATGTGAATGTATCTCCTTTTTCACAGTAGGCCTCAAAGCTCTCACAAATATCACTTTGTAGATTGTATAAGAACAGAGTTTCCAATCTGTTCATTGAAAAGAAGCGTTTATTTCCGTGAGATGAATGCACACACCATGAATCAGTTTCTCAGAAAACTTCTGTCTAGTTTTTATGTGAAGATATTTCATTTTTCACCATAGACCTCAAAGCACACACAAATATCCCTTTGCAGATTCTACAAAAAGACTGTTTCCAATCTGCTCAATCATAAGAAATGTTCAACTCTGTAAGATGAATGCACACATCACAAAGAAGTTTCTCAGAATGCTTCTGTCTAGTTCTCACGTGAAGATATTTCCTTTTTCACCATAGGCCTCAAAGGGCTCACAAATATCCCTTTGCAGATTCTACAAAAAGACTGTTTCCAATCTGCTCAATCATAAGAAATGTTCAACTCTGTAAGATGAATGCACACATCACAAGGAAGTTTCTCTGAAAGCTTCTGTCTCGTTTTCATGTGAAGATATTTCCGATTTCTCCATAGGCCTCAAGGTGCTCACAAATATCCCCTTGCAGATACTACAAAAAGACTGTTTGCAAACCGCTCAATCAAAAGTAACTTTCATCTCTGTGAGATGAATGGACACATAATAAAGAAGTTTCTCAGAAAGCTTCTCTCTACTCTTTATGTGAAGATATTTCCTTTTTCACCATAAGCCTCAAAGTGCTCACAATTATCCCTTTGCAGATTCTAAAAAAAATACATTTCAAAACTACTCAATCAAAAACAAGGCTCAAATTTGTGAGATGAATGCACACATCACAAAGAAGTTTCTCAGAAATGTTCTGTCTAGTTTTTATGTGAAGGTATTTCCTTTTTCACCATAGGCCTAAGAACACTCACAAATATCCCTTTGTAGATTCTACAAGAAGAGAGTTTCCAATCTGTGCAATGAAAAGAGTCATTTACCTCTGTGAGATGAATGCACACATCACAAATCAGTTTCTCAGAAAACTTCTGTCTAGTTTTTATGTGAATATATATCCTTTTTCACCATAGGCCTCCAAGGGCTCACAAATATCCCATTGAAGATTCTACAAAAAGACGCTTCCAAACTGCTCAATCAAAAGAAAGTTTCAACTCTGTGAGATGTATGCACACATCACAAAGCAGTTTCTCAGAAAGCTTCTGTCTAGTTTTTATGTGAAGATATTTCCTTTTTCACCATAGGCCTCAATGGGTTCACAAATATCCCTTTGCAAAATCTACAAAAAGACTGTTTCCAAACTGCTGAATCAAAAGAAAGATTCTACTCTGTGAGGTGAATGCACACATCACGAAGATGTTTCTCAGAAAATTCAGTCTAGTTCTTGTGTGAAGATATTTGGTCTTTCACCATAGGCCCCAAAGCACTCACAAATATGCCTTTGCAGATTCTACAAAAAGACTGTTTCCAAAGGGCTCAATCAAAAGAAATTTCCAACTCTGTGAGATGAATGTACACATCACAAAGAAGTTTCGCAGAAAGCTTCTACCTGTTTTTTACCTGAAGCTATTACCTTTTTCAACATAGGCCTCAAAGCACTCCGAATATCCATTTGCAGAATCCACAAAAAGACTGTTTCCAAACTGCTCAATCAAAAGAAAATGTCAACTCTGTGAGATGAATGCACACATTACAAAGAACTTTCTCAGCGTGCTTCTCTCTAGTTTTTACGTGAAGATATTTCCTTTTTCATCTTAGGCCTCAAGGAGCTCACAAATATCCCTTTGCAGATTCTACAAGAATGGAGTTTCCAGTCTGCTCAATGAAAAGATACATTTACATCTGTGAGATGAATGCACACATCGCAAAGTAGTTTCCCAGAAACTTTCTGTCTAGTTTTTATGTGAAGATATTTCCTTTTTCACCGTAGGCCTCAAAGGGCTCACAAATACCACTTTGCAGATTCTACAAGAATAGAGTTTCCAATCTGCTCAATGGAAAGAAAGCATTACCTCTGTGGGATAAATGCACACATCACAAAGAAGTTTCTCAGAAAGCTCCTGTCTGGTTTTTATGTGAAGATATTTCCTTTTTCACCATAGGCCTCAAAGCGCTCACAATATCCCTCTGCAGATACTACCAAAAGACTTTTTCCAAAATGCTCACTCAAAAGAAAGATTCAACTCTTTGAGATGAATGCACACATCACAAAGAAGTTTCTCAGAAAGCTTCTGTCTGGTTTTTATGTGAAGATATTTCCTTTTTCACCATAGGCCTCAAAGCACTTGCAATATCCCTCTGCAGATACTACCAAAAGACTTTTTCCAAAATGCTCACTCAAAAGAAAGATTCAGCTCTTTGAGATGAATGCACACATCACCAATAGTTTCTCAGAAAGCTTCTGTCTAAATTTTATGAGAAGACATTTCCTTTTTCACCATAGGCCTTAAATCGCTCACAAATATCCCTTTGCAGATTCTACAAGAACAGAGTATCCAATCTGCTCAATGAAAAGAAACGTTTACTTCTGTGAGATGAATGCACACATCACAAAGCAGTTTCTCAGAAACATTCTGTCTACTTTTTATGTGAAGATATTTCCTTTTCAACAATAGGCCTCAAAGGGCTCACAAATATCCCTTTGCAGATTCTACAAGAACAGAGTATCCAATCTGCTCAATGAAAAGAAACGTTTACTTCTGTGAGATGAATGCACACATCACAAAGCAGTTTCTCAGAAACATTCTGTCTACTTTTTATGTGAAGATATTTCCTTTTCAACAATAGGCCTCAAAGGGCTCACAAATATCCCTTTGCAGATTCTACAAAAAGACTGTTTGCAAACTGCTCAATCAACAGAAAAGTTCAACTCTGAGAAATGAAAGCGCACATCATAAAGAAGTTTCTCAGAAGTCTTCTGTCTAGTTTTTATGTGAAGATATTTTTCAGCATAGGCCTCAAAGTGCTCACAAATATGCCTTTGCAGATTCTACAAAAAGACTGTTTACAAACTGTTCAATAAAAAGGAAGGTTCAACTCTGTGCGATGAATGCACACATCACAAATAAGTTTCTCAGAAATCTTCTGTCTAGTTTTTATGTGAAGATATTTCCTTTTTCATCATAGGCCTCAAAGCGCTCACATTTATCCATTGCAGATTCCACAAAAAGACTGTATCCAAACTGCTCAATCAGTAGAAAGGTTGAGCTCTGTGAGATGAATGCACACATCACAAAGAAGTTTCTCAGAAAGATTTTGTCTAGTTTTAATGTGAAGATATTTCTATTTTCACCATAGGCCTCAAACCACTCACAAATATCCCTTTGCAGATTCTGTAAAAAGACTGTTTCCAAAGTGCTCAATCTTAAGAAAGGTTCAGCTCGTGAGATGAATGCAAACATCACAAACATGTTTCTCAGAAATCCTCTGTCCAGTTTTCATATGAAGATACTTACTTTTTCACCACAGGACTCAAATCGCTCACCAATATCCCTTTGCAAAGGTTCAACTCTGTGAGATTAATGCACAAATCACAAAGAAGTTTCTCAGAAAGCTTCTGTCTAGTTTTTAGTAGAATATATTTCCTTTTTCACCTTAGGCCTCAGTGCGCTCAAAAATATCCCTTTTCAAACTCTACAAAAACACTCTTTCTAAACTGCTCAATCAAAAGAAATTTCAACACTGTGACCTGAATATCCATATCAAAAAGAACGTTCTCAGAAAACTTCTGTCTAGTTTTTATGTGGAGATATTTCCTTTTCCACAATAGGTCTCAAAGCACTCACAAATATCCCTTTGCGGATTCTACAAGAACAGATTTTCCAATCTGCTCAATGAAAAGAAACGTTTACCTCTGTGAGATGAATGCACACATCACAAAGCTGTTTGTCAGAAACCTTCTGTTTAGTTTTTAAGTGAAGATATTTCCTATTTCATCATAGGCCTCAAATCGCTCAAAAACATCCCTGTTTGGATTCCACAAAAAGACTGTTTCTAAACTGCTCAGTGAAAAGAAGAGTTCAACTCTTTTAGATGAATGCACACATCACAAGGAATTTTTTTCAGAAAGCATCGTTCTAGTTCTTATGTGAAGATATTTCCTTTTTCACCATAGGCCTCAAAGCACTGACAAATAAACCATTGCAGATTCTACAAGAACAGAATTTCCAATCTGCTCCAGGAGAAGAAGTGTTTGACTCTGTGAGGTGAATGCAGAAATCTCAAATCTGTTTCTCAGAAACTTTCTGTCAGCTTAAGGATATTTTGGGCTGAGACAATGGGGTTTTCTAGATAAACAATCATGTCGTCTGCAAAGAGGGACAATTTGACTTCCCCTTTTCCTAATTGAATACCCTTTATTTCCTTCTCCTGCTTAATTGCCCTGGCCAGAACTTCCAACACTATGTTGAATAGGAGTGGTGAGAGAGGGCATCCCTGTCTTGTGCCAGTTTTCAAAGGGAATGCTTCCAGTTTTTGCCCATTCAGTATGATATTGGCTGTGGGTTTGTCATAGATAGCTCTTATTATTTTGAAATACGTCCCATCAATACCTAATTTATTGAGAGTTTTTAGCATGAAGCATTGTTGAATTTTTTCTAAGGCCTTTTCTGCATCTATTGAGATAATCATGTGGTTTTTGTCTTTGGCTCTGTTTATATGCTGGATTACATTTATTGATTTGCGTATATTGAACCAGCCTTGCATCCCAGGGATGAAGCCCACTTGATCATGGTGGATAAGCTTTTTGATGTGCTGCTGGATTCGTTTTGCCAGTATTTTATTGAGGATTTTTGCATCAATGTTCATCAAGGATATTGGTCTAAAATTCTCTTTTTTGGTTGTGTCTCTGCCTGGCTTTGGTATCAGAATGATGCTGGCCTCATAAAATGAGTTAGGGAGGATTCCCTCTTTTTCTTTTGATTGGAAAAATTTCAGAAGGAATGGTACCGGTTCCTCCTTGTACCTCTGGAAGAATTCGGCTGTGAATCCATCTGGTCCTGGACTCTTTTTGGTTGGTAAGCTATTAATTATTGCCACAATTTCATATCCTGTTATTGGTCTATTCAGAGATTCAACTTCTTCCTGGTTTAGTCTTGGGAGAGTGTATGTGTCTAGGAATTTATCCACTTCTTCTAGATTTTCTAGTTTATTTGTGTAGAGGTGTTTGTAGTATTCTCTGATGGTAGTTTGTATTTCTGTGGGATCGGTGGTGATATCCCCTTTATCATTTTTTATTGCATCTATTTGATTCTTCTCTCTTTTTTTCTTTATTAGTCTTGCTAGTGGTCTATCAATTTTGTTGATCTTTTCAAAAAACCAGCTCCTGGATTCATTAATTTTTTGAAGGGTTTTTTGTGTCTCTATTTCCTTCAGTTCTGCTCTGATTTTAGTTATTTCTTGCCTTCTGCTAGCTTTTGAATGTGTTTGCTCTTGCTTTTGTAGTTCTTTTAATTGTGATGTTAGGGTGCCAATTTTGGATCTTTCCTGCTTTCTCTTGTGGGCATGTAGTGCTATAAATTTCCCTCTACACACTGCTTTGAATGCGTCCCAGAGATTCTGGTATGTTGTGTCTTTGTTCTCGTTGGTTTCAAAGAACATCTTTATTTCTGCCTTCATTACAGCAATAGCAAAATATGCCTATCAATTGGAGATCATTTAAGTAAATTATGGTTGATTCATAATTTGAATCAATATGGCTGATTTGAATATGTTTGAGTCTATGGAATATTGGCTAAAGAGAAAGATGTAAATATATTTGTGCTAACTTAGAAAGATCTCCACCATTAACTAGCAAGATGGAGAGCTGTATGTAATATGCTTGTAAACAGTATTTTAACAGATACACAAGAAACTGCTAACATTGGTTCTCTGGGTTGTGGAATTGGGAGGATTTGGATTAAGATGAAGATTTAATTTTATTGTATGCATGGGATTGTTTTACTTGTTTTCTTATATGTATGTGTTAATTTTTCCAATTAAAAACAAAAATAATTTAGACAGTAGACAGAGGAGCTCAGTAGCCTGGTATTCACTGTAAAATACTATGTCAGAAGTCTCTTTGTGGTCTCAAAATAGAAAAATCTATCAACTTAGGCTTTTTTATCTCTAATAACATTTCTAATTATATTTCCTGGTTCTGGAGCTCCAGTGAACCAGGGAGAGTTCATCAAGATCTACCACATGCTGAAATCCAACCCTAAGGGAAGAATATTTTACTGAATGACTATGATGAAATGCTAGGATGGGTCTCTAAGATGGAGGAGATAGCATTGTGGTATTGCTTGTTTTATTTTATTGACTTAAAAACATGTCATTTAAAGGGGAGCAACTAAACATCACCTAGTTAGTACTCTTCCCAAAATCTAAGCATGAGGAAACAAGCAAATAGAAATTTAGGGACATTCTACAAAAAACCAACTTGTCTTCTTAAAAAAAAAACCAATGTCACAAAACTAAAAAAAGAAGGGATTTATAATAAAGGGCACTAAAGAAACAACAAAAAAAGAAACTTTCTGTCTAGTTTTTATGTGAAGATAGTTCCTTTTTCAACAATAGGCCTCAAAGGCCTCACAAATATCCTCTTGCAGATTCAACAAAAAGACTGTTTCCAAACTGCTCAAGCAAAAGAATGGTTCAACTCTGTGAGGTGAATGCACTCATCACAAAGAAGCTTCTCAGAAAGCTTCTTTCTAGTTTTTATGTGAAGACATTTCCTTTTTCACCATAGGTCTCAAAGCACTCACAAATATCTCTTTGCAGATTCTACAAAAAGTCTGTTTCCAAACTGCTGAATAAAAAGAATGGTTCAAATCTATTTGATTAATGTGCACATCACGAAGAAGTTTCTCAGAAACCTTCTGTCTAGTTTTTATGTGAAGAATATGATATACATTTTTATATAATTATGTGAATTATATCTATACAATTACATATATAATCATATATGCAGAATATTTTACACATATTACGTATGTTTTTATTAAAATAACAAATAAAGACTTAAGGACTCAGGAGATGAGTGAGTTTTTTAGGACAGCATCCATGGTCCACTGGATGTTTGGGCTTGATGATTAATTGAGACCAGAAGGCACGTGTGTTTCTCTCTGGCTGTGCTCAGCCACCTGAGTGCAGGAGCAGAGGGAGTGTGTGGCTGGGTTTCAGGGGAGTGTGGTTTTGCCCTGGGAGTACAATCAATAGTGGGGCAAGAGAGTGGAGAGTGTTAAGAGGATGGATGACAGGCTGGACCATATAGTCTCAGCTGGGAGGAGGGGAAATTTGAAAGAAGGTGAGTAAGACACAAAGTGAAAATTTGGAGTCATTGAAGTGTGTTGGAGTTGGGAGGCAGCTGGAAAAAGGAAAGTGGTTGGTCAAAAAAATGGTGTTTTAAATTCAGGGTCTGGAGTAGCTACAGTTTCTGCAGTGATATGGTCAAGAATATACAGGTAGGAGTGGGTGACTCAGGGAGGGTGCAGACAATGTCTCTAGAGGTGGAGGGACCAAGAGCCAGAGCATGAGAAGGGCTCTGTATGTGCATGTTGGCATCCTCCCCACAGGAGAAAGTGCCCATGAACTGGGAGCTAAGTCTTCAGTGAATAGGGATGTGGTCCTGGGTGCAATCTGAGAGCAAGAGCTTCAATATTGATTCCCTTCATGTGTCACCATCTCCTTTGGTAAATTTTCTTTGTGCAAACTTCACAGAGTGTGCTTACACACATCTGAATATTGTACCTACCGCACACCTAGGCTCTATGGCACAGCCTACTGCTCTCAGGCTGCACACCTGGGCACAGTTTACTGCAGTGAATACTGTTGGCAGTTGTAGCACAATTGTCAGTACTTGTACATCTAAACATATCATGAAAGGTACAGTAAAAACAGAGTATTGCACTATATAAAAATATAGTATGGTACCTAGACATGGTGCACTGGTCTAGGACACTTATGATTGATGCAACGTGCAGGGCTGGAAACTTCTCTGGGTGAATCAGTGAGTGGTGAGTGAAGGTGAAGTCATAGGGCATGACTGTGCACTATTATAGATTTTATAAACACTGGAAGCTTAGGCTACACTACGAGATATATATTTCTTTTTCTATAGTATTATAAATCTTTTTTAATAAATATATTTTTAAAGTAACTCTGCCATAATATTACACTTGTTATGTCACTGGGCTAAGCAGTAGGTGTCTTTCAGCTCCATTATAGTTTCATGGGTCCACCATTGCACATGTGGTCTATGTTGACCGAAACATCATTTCGTGGCACATGAATGTCTTTATATGGGAGAGAAGTATGATGAGCTGAAAGAGGGAGGCAATGAGAAGCAAGGAGGATCTACCCTGCTCAGGCCCAGGGAAGGGCTGCAGCAGAGGACAGCAAGGGAGCAGTGTCCTCAGGGGATTGGGCCTCTTACTCACAGCAAGGAACAAAAGGAAGAGTTCCCTGAGGCTGCTGAAAACCAGGGGGCTGCTGGTGCTGGAGCAGGATTTTGAGGACATGCAAAAGGGTTTCGGCAAGGGACAGAGGGAGGAAGGAACTGGGGAGTGAGGGTCAGCCCAAGATAACCAGGCCTCTCCCAGGAATCTTCGGGACACTCAGAAGCAGTGGCCATGCCCAGTTGGGCCCACAAAGGGCACCCAGTGCCTAGCATGAGAAACAGGCCTGCCTATTGCCCAGGCCTGACAAAGCCCAGCCATTGCTGGCACCTGCTGTAGCCCCTAAGATGGATCAGCCTGGCCCAGTCCTCAACAGCCCACACTGAGGAAGGTAAAACCACAGGCACCTGTGATAAGAGGCAGGCAGATGCAAGTCACATAGTAGGGACAGACCAGGTGCTGCAGGAGCCCACTCAGATGGGCACTCAATCCAGGTAGGCTTTCTAGAGGCGGTGACTCAGGATTTGTGTTCCAGTTGTGATGGTGGCACATCCAGGAAGCAGCACATGGTCCAGCTGGGCACATTGGGACTGGAGGCTGGTTTTTTGTTTTTGTTTTTGAGATGGAGTCTCACTCTGTCTCCAGGCTGGAGTGCAGTGGCATGATCTAAGCTCACTGGAGGAGTCTGGTTTTTAATGAATCTTGAGGCCAAGGCAAGGGTCATGACCAGAGTCCAGCCTCAGTAATGCATTCACCCCTTCACCCTGGGGCACTGCTCCTGGCCCACCATCACCAGCCTACACTTGTTCCCCTCCTACCCTCTCTTCCAAGGAAACCCCTCACCTGTCACTTCATGAAGAATATGGAAGCCAAGGAGGTCTTCTTCAGGCATTCCTCTCCACCCATGCACTTCCTCCCTCCCTGCCAGCTTCAAAGGAATTGATGTCCAGAGAGACCCTCCCCAGTTGCCTTACCTTTCCGTCAGCCTCTTCCAGGAACTGTCCTCTGACATCTCTCCATCTAGGTCTCCCTGTCACTCTTGTGCACACCAGGACTGTTCTTCCTTTTCCTGTCAGCCACTGAGTCCAATCAGATATCTTCTGCTTCCCAAAATTAAAATTACAAACCAAAACATAAAAAGCTTCCATGAACTCACACATTGTAGATGCTTGGCTACAGCAGTGAATGACATACATAAAGTCCCTTTCCTCATGTAGCCCTCATGCTAATAGAGTAAAACAGGTAATAACTGAACTAGTCAAATGGTCAGCATGTGAGTTGGTGACGAGAGCATGATGCTTCATGCCTGTAATCCTAGTGCTTTGGGAGGCCGAGATGTGAGGATGGTTGAGGTCAGGAATTTGAGACCTGTCTGGATAACATAGGGAGACCCTGTATCTACAAAAAGTAAAATAAAATAAAGGAAAAGTGAAGGAGGATAGAATGTGTCAGTGGGAGAGGGGGATGGGAGAGCCATATTTTAGACAGGGTCATACAGGAGGGTATAGATCTAACCACTATTCCTCTGGCCCATTCCACATCTATCCCCATCCCACCCCCTGCACAGTGCTTGGGTCAAAGCCTCTCAGTCCTGCTTGTATTTCTCCAAGAGTGATCCGGGGACCAACTGCATCAGAACTGTGGGGCGAGGTCACAGCCCCTGCCTGTGAGAAGTGCAGATTCCTCTGCCTGGACCAGAATCCCTGGGAACTGGACCCAGGAATTTCCCAAGATCTCTGGGGGATTCTGAGACAGCCCAAAGTATGGGAACTGCAGATGTCCTCCTAAAAGGGGAGCACTGTCTCAAGGGGTCCAGGTCACCTAGCTCTACCCTGCAGTGACCACACCAGTCTGAGCCTTGGAGAATGCTGCTCTTTCCTCCTGGAATTCCCTTCCCAGCATTCCTCACCTGGTAACTCTTACACATCCCTCAAGACCCAACTCAAGGGCCACCTCCTCCTGATGTCACTTCCTGAACTTTCTCCTGTGCTTCCACTCTCCTCTACCAAGTGATGTTGACATTTCTACGGGACCATCTCCCTCTCTAGACCAGAAACGCCTACAGTTGGGGCCCCCTGTAGTGCAATTTGTGTCAGTCTGGGGAGGGTAGATTTGGAGCCCAACCACCATTGAGGAAAATCTGTCTGATGGACATGGTGGGATCCAACCAAGATGCAGGGGTCAGCGAAGGGTGGTGTGACAGTGAGCACAGGCTCTGGGTGGTGGTGACAGTGGTTGTCATGGGGAGGAAAGGAATGGAAAAGGGACCTCATGGGAGCAGAAAGACAGGCCTTAGCTGCAAATGGGCCAGGACCCCGCCAGGAATCCAGAACACGCATCCTAATCCCAGCTCCACTATAAGTCCACAGCGGAACCCTGGGCAACGACTTTCCCCTTTCTGAGACTCATTTTACTCATCAGTAAAATGGTGACAATAACTCCAACTTCACCAAGGAGATGCAAGTCTCAATGAGATGATGGATCTGAAAATGCCTTCTATTTCATGGCACAAAGGAGAGGGATTCCTGACATGCGACAAGCATGGGGAGAGAGGAAGGACAGGGTCTGTAAATGGTCAGAGGGCAGCCCCACCCCTCCACACACACAAACACTCACCATATCACCCACACTGGTGATTTTCCCAGGAGGGCCCCTGGCCTGGAATTAGCACTGCCAGATGGGCAGGGAGGACTGCAGTCCCATTACAGGGGTGAGGAAACAGGCTGTGGATGGTCCCACAGGGAAAAAGGAGTAGGGTCTAGCTCCTCACTGCAAGCAGGGAAGATTGAAGTTGCTCCCTGGGAAGAGGAAGGGAGGCATTGACTGGCACTCCGTGATTTAGATGAGAAGCCCAGGCTTAGCTTGGTGACTTGAGCTTCCTGATGTAGAAGGTGAAGAATGCAGAGGAGGCAGAGGGCAGGAGGAAGAAGATAAGGAAGAGAGCAGCAAACTGGAGTCACTACAGGACACTAGCTGCTCGAGGCTGCTCTGTCCCATTCTAAGAGAAAAGGAAAAGTGGGATAGGGGATTACAGATTGCGTCCCGATTCCTCACTGGTGTTGATGCTGCTATGGAAACGTCCCTGATGGTCCAGGTTTATGGTGGGAGAGATTGCAATGCTCTGCCTCCTAGAAATCTGTGTTTACAGCCAACAGAGTTGCTGCCCGAGACAGCCCCACCTGAGGACCCCAGAGCTGCCCCAGCATGCCAGGCTTCCCCTCGTCCTGTTATCACCCCATGCTGCTGAGAACCTGCCTAGCATGCTGCCCAGCCAAGGCCAGGGCCTAATCTCAAGTGAAACTGACATGTCCTTGTGAGGGCTGAGGAACATCCTCTCTCCCCACAGAGCCTCACTCAGCTTCTCATCTACTTCCCTGGGGTCTGCCCCGCTGCCCTCAGGAGTTTGGAACCACATACTGTTCTGGAGGGGACCTCTCACTGCTGCCGAACCTGTCATCCAGGAAACCCACAAGTGTTCTTCTCGGTTGTGGCTAATTAACTTATCATATGGTAGTGAACTACCTTCTGGAGCCCCAATATTTTGTTTATTTTTAAAAAATAAAATTAGTACCATTGTTTATTTTCTGAATGTACAGAAATATGTGTTTGATTATTATTTACACGCCGTTTGGGAAAACTTTATAAAATAAAAAATATGAAGGAGAATCCTACCACACAGAGATAATCACTTTAATTATTTTTCTATTCATACTTGCACATACAGGTATATATGGGATCATGCTCTGTATCTGTTGGGAGTGCGTTAATCTGAAAGTTCAGTCACCTAAACAAATACAGGTTCATTTTTCTTACATAGTTAGAGTATCTATGGTCCCTGGCTATGGTGCACTGGTTCAACAATGTTAGGCCCAGCATCTTTGTGAGTCTATTGGAATTTAGCTCATGGCTGTAAGATGGTTGCTGCAGCTCCAACCACTACAAGTGTTTCCAAGGCCAGCAAAAGCAGTCACTTCTACATTTTTATTAGAAAAGCAAGAACTTCTGAGGTGACCACCAGAGGATTTCTCTTTAGGTCTGGAAATCTGTGTTTAGATTGGCCAGAACCTGATCTCATGACCAACCCTAGCATCAGAGAATAGCATTGTCATGATTGACTTTGTGCTACAGCTAGGCAAGGGGCAATCATAATTTATTGACTGAGAGTGCACATTTGGTCCCCCAAAGAAGATCAAGAAAGGAGGGAATTTGCAGTGTGTACTACAGCATGCATGCTGTTTTATAATCTGCTCTTTCTCTTAATTGCATATTTCAAACATCTTTCCATACTAAGAAATATGGACTCAGTCATTCATTTAACAACAAATTATTGAGAGTGTACTGTGTTCCAGGAACTTAACTTGGTACGGAAGACACAATAATGAGCATAGTATACTCCTTGCCTCCATGGAGCTTGGCAACTAATGAGGGATACAGAAAGTCATCAAAGAGGTTCACAAAGAAATGTAAAATTATGATGGTAATTTGTGCTGAAAAGGAGGGAGGTGTGTGAGAGCAGTGACAGGAGGTTTGACTCAATCAGGAGGGTCTGTGTCCTGAATGGCCATAAGCCAGCCCCTTGCCTAGCTGTAGCACAATTATTTGGCCAATCTCTTATTGCTGGACATTTACATTCTTCCCACATCTTACCTACTATCATCAATGCAACAATAAATACCCTTCTCTAAGTACCGCTTGGCACACTTGTCTGATTATATCCTCAGGATAAATTCCTAAGATAAAACCAGGCACCACTGTTCATGCCTGTAATCACAGCTACTCAGGAGGCCAAAGTGGGAAGATCACTAGTGGCCAGTAGTTCATGGCCTGCCTGGGTAACGTAGGGAAGTCTTGACTCAAAAAAAACCCTAGAAGAAATGAACAATTCTCAGATGTCGAATTGCCAAATCAAGGGGTGCATCATCACCATCCCCATACTCACCATCACCATCCTCATTATCATCATCAGTCTCACCCTCACCATTCTCACCAGCATCAGCAGCAGCATCCTCACCATAATTATCACTATCATCCCCAACTCCACCATCACCATCCTCACCATCACCATCATCATCATTATCACCGTCACCATTTTCACCATCACCATCCAGACCATCACCATTATTATCACCTCACCATCACCATCCTTATCATCACCATCACCATACTCACCTTCACCATTCTCAGCATCATCATCATCATCACCATCATCCTCAGCATAACTATCACTATCATTATCACCACCTTCACCGTCATCTTCCTCACCATCACCATCATTATCACCATCACTATCCTCACCATCATCCTCAACTTAACTATCACTATCATTATCACCACCTTCACCATCCTCACCATCATCCTCAACTTAACTATCACTATCATTATCACCACCTTCACCATCACCATCCTCACCATCATCATCATCATCACAACCACAATTATGAAAATCTTGGAGGAAAAGGAGAGGAGGTAGCATATTAAAATACATGTACTTTGATGAGGAGGAAAAGGCAGAGTTGAAGCTGGGGAGGGGATATCAAAGAATGCAGACCCCCAGAACATAAAACTAAGAAGCTCAGGCTTTGCCCAGAATCAGAGGCATCCTTGAAGATTTATCAGCAGGAGAGTATGCCGTCAGATTTATGGTTAGGCAGAACACTGAGCAATCCTCAGAAGGAAGAAGCAGAGGGAGGGAGGCCCACAGGGGAGACAGAACCTTTAACACCAACCAGGGTCCTGGTCCTGGGTCCAGCAGATCTGGCAGGAATGAGGAATGGGAGGCTTATGGGTAAGGGCTTCAGCCAGGCAGGGAAAGGCCTCACTCTCCCTTCCACTCCTTTCCCTGCTCCCCACTTTCCTGTCCCATCTTTGGTAACAGGCTCAGCATCTCCAGCTGCACCCACCCACTAGATTTGCCCCAATTCCTTCTCCTCTCTCATGCCTGAGGCCCAGGTGGCTTCCAGAGCTGACCAGGTCTACTTTAGAATTTTAATGAAATAACCTGGGTAGAAGTGCTGGTGCCCTGCCAGCCACAGCAGGTACTCCACATATGGTAAACTGGAACTGTCTTCTCAGTTTCTACAGCCTTGGGTTCAAATTCTCCCTAATCCAGATGACCACCATCTCTCACCTGAGCAGAGAAGCCTCCCATTGGTCTCGCTGCCCCAGACCTTCCTCTTTCCAGATATCAGCCTGATAATTTTCTCAAACTGCAAACCTGGTCATGCCCCTCCCTTGTCCTATCAACTAAAGGGTAAGATCCAAATTTCTTAGCATGACACCCCAGGCACTGAGGAGCTAAGGCCCCTCCATTTCCACCTTGACTTGTTCTCCTCCCCCTCTAGTAGCATTGCTGACCCACTTGCCTTCTCCTTTCACCACATGGCTTTGATCCTGTTGCTCTTCTTCCTGAAGTGTCTTCCTACATCTTCTCTGCCTGGTGAATTTCTACTTAACCTACAAAGCCAAACTCACCTTCTCTGTGAATCCTACTTCTTCCCCATCATGCAGCAAATTGTCTCTCTCACTAGACCTCCAGCCCCTAAAAATCAGGGACAGCTTAATGTATGTTGGAAATGGCTACTCCTCACTTAATTACCCTAATTAGCTAGTTATATTCCCTTATATTTATGTTTCCCCATTTACTGAAGCTTTCCACAGGCCAGGCACTGAGGTCCAAGGGAGGACCCTGAGGGTAGGACATGCATGAGCACCGAAGGCTACAATGGCACAGGCACCAAGAGGCCATGAGGGGTGCCGGAAGCCTCATCTCTAGAGCGTCTTCCTGGTTTACCATGCGCTTTCCTCCCTTCCCTTATTAGAGTCAACTTGTGCTGGTTTGAATAGCCTGTGTCCCTGAAACATGCACTCCCACACACACAAACCGACCCACACCTATCCACATGTAACTGCCCATACATACAGAGACCTCTGTGTGTATCCCCTAGAGCTACAAATGCCAATCTTGAGAATGAAGATTTTGCAAACTCTCTGTGCCAGGCATGATGCCAGGTCCCCGACAACACAAGACCCTTCTGGTTTCTCCCACTCAGCTATGCAAGGTTCGGGGTTGAGGAGCTTCCCCTGCCAAGGTCACAGATGTGGAACATGAGGTAACAGCTATTTGAATGTAAGCCTGTAGGTCACCAAAACATACGCCATCTGCACCCCACCACACTGCCTCCACAGCACATGAAGACATGAATCTATCAACTGTGACTCATTAGTATCCAGCAATATTTCCTCCTCCACTTTGCTTCCCACTGCCACTCCTGTATCCCTGCCCAGAGCCCCAGAGCCACCTCTGGTTAACAGGGAGGTCAGGACAGATGCTTCGTTCCACCCGATGCCATCTCCCAGGGTGCACCCTCCTCACGGGGAAGAGGACTACCATGGCTAGTGGTGACACGGGTGGCTCTGGCCCCCAGGACTTCTTCTCTCTGGGGCCTCTGCTCAGGACATGGCATGGACAGAGGTGAGGCGACCATAAACTGCCTCGGAAATGACTACAAACCAGCTCAGACCATTCCAGCACCTAACACGCTGACAGCCTAGGGTGGGCCCACAGAAGGGGAATGGCTAGGGAGTCCAGGGCCACAGGAGTCCCCCCTCCCTGAGCCCTTGAGTACAGCCACCCAGGTGTAAAGGACAATATGGGGGTTCTGGGGATTCCCAAGCCTGGGCCGTAGAGGTGAGCTCTAGCAGGTCCCTCCCTCCATCTTCCATCCCCTCATCCTGTCTCACATATTGTACTAACAAGGTAACTGAGGCCCAGAGAGGGAAGGAGCTTGAGCAGTATCCCAGGCAGTTAGAGACAGAGCCCAAGTTAGAATCCATGTTTCTCTTCTTTTTTCCCCTAGGTCTGTCTCTGACTAGCTATGTGACCTTGGAAGAGTCACTCCACCTCTCTGGGCATTGAAGGTTTACAATTTCTGACATCTTCATTCCAGAGGGTTATCAGGATCTGACAGCCCTTCACCTAAACAAAACACTCTACAATCTACAAATATTCATATGTCTCTTCTCTTCTCTGACCTCTGCAACAACCCTATGAGGCTATGAAAATTAGTGCTTGTGTCCTATTGTGCAGATGCAAATACTGGGCTCAGAAAGACAAAGATCACACAGCAAGTTTGGGACAGAACTGGAACTAGAACCCAGGTCTCCCAAAGCAGGGTCCTTGCCATCACTAAGGCTAAGAATACATTAAGACTCCAAAATATGGAGAGTTGCTCAATGCATGCCACCAAGGTTAGAGCTGACCAACCCCAGAATGCTCAGCAGCTCTGGGACCCTGGAGTGGAGGACTCAAGGCAGAGGGTGATGTCTAAGTCACACACATCTGAGCTCCAATCTAAACTCCACTATGCAGCTGAGTGACCACATATTGTGAGGCTCAGCATTCTCTACTACAAAATGAAACTACAGAAGGTACCAAAAACTCAGGATGAGGGGAGAACTGCACCCTGAATGCAGGACTGCCAGGCAGGTGGTAAGCACTCATTAACTTTTGTTTCAAGCACACAAATTATATCTTCTTTTTCATCATGTCTCCCCATGGTGTCTGGTCCATGGCTCCAGAACCAGGAGGCTTATGATCAATCTTTATGCTAAATGATGGACAGATAGATGGATGGGTGGTTGGATAAATAAATGGATGGATGCATGGATTGATAGATTAATGCTGAAATGAATGGAGGGATGAATAGATGGATGAATGGATAAATGAATGGATGGATACTCAGAAGAGAAGACAGAATAAAACAGGGAGTCAAAATGAAAAGAACAAGAAGATGATTGAAGGATGGGGCTCATACACGGAAGAGAGGAACAAGATCCAGCCCTTCTGGCTCCACTCAGCCCCACCACCATATACCTTGGGGTAGCACTGGCACATGCTACAGATTATACCCCTGGACACCATGATGCTGCCGCAGAAGGTGTCATTGAACTGGGGCCAATCATGGCTCAGGAGGAATGTACTGAGAGCTAGGAGAAGACCCATACATTGAAGCTGAAGCAGAAGGTCTTCTCATCTGCCAAGGTCTCCTCACCTGCCATGGCTGCCAGCCAGGCCCTGACCTTTGCAGCCCTGCCAGAAGGGGCCCGTGCCATCCAGCATAAACATCCAGACAGGCTCACAGGAAGAAGTGAAGCTCTTGGGTCACTGCAAATGAAGGCTTAAAGTTAAAGGGAGATCAAGACCCCTTCAGCTCCAGGCCCATTCCCTGGACCCACCAGTTTAGCAGGGCTGGAGGCAGCATGCTCCAGTGGACCAGTGAACCCACTCCCCACCCTCTCTCCTTCCCTTTGGGCCCAGAAGACCTGGAGTGCATGTGTGAATCTGGGTGAGGGAGCATGCAAAGGAGGGATGGGGGAGGTTACAGGGGCTGGGCCCCAGACAAGCCTGTGACAAAACTTTCTTTTCCTACTTTGGGGCTGAACTGGGTAGCAGGTTACCCCACACCTTCTAGCCCTGGGAAGCAGGGTACAATTCTGCAGTCAAAAGATGTTAGAATGCTGCCAGAGGATTTCAGGATACCACTTCCAGGTATTTCAGGATCCTGGATTTTAGACCCTTCAAGGATATGTGTCCATCTGGGATTCAGGTATGATGGCCTATATGTAGTGGATGGTGATGATGGACATGACACCATTCTAAGCATGTTACAGCTATTAACTCACTTAAGGGACTCCATGAGGCAGGTACTGCTACACCCACTGTATAGAGGACACTGAGCACAGACAAGTAACTTGCCCAAGGACACACACCTTGAAGTGGTAGAGCAGCTAGAATGTGAACCCAGAGGCTGTGACCCTGGCCACAGGGCAATCCTGCTTAACAGCAGCATGAGGTTATGGGTGAGAGCTCTGATAGCAAGGCAGGCTGCCTGGGTTTAGATCCTGGCTCCTCTACTGTGGGGCAGCGTGGTCTTGATCATATTACCTGCCTGTGTCTCAGTTTCCTCCTCTGTAAAATGGGGATAATAACAGTACCTCCCGGGATTGGAGCTATCTCCAGGCCTAGGTGTCCTGGGTCTTTCTGCTCCCTTTACACTCTGTGCAGCATCCAGACCTGCCTGCAGTGAGCTCCTCTACTCCCCCACCAAAGCTCTGTTGAATTAATGTCCCTGTGGGGTTTAAGTGACTGACAGTAACTTCCTCAGTCTCCTTGCAGCCTAGTCTAGGAAGGTGCCTTCTAAAGAATAGCATTCTAATGTGAAATTTTAGTACTGTGAAAGTCTAATGGGAGAAATCAGATTCCTTTACAAGATTACAGAAAAAAAACAGGGCAATGAGTATCTCTAAAAGAGAATGCTCACTTGGAGTGTCGATGGGGTTAGGTGGCCGATACAGGATGAAAGGCTTTCATTTGGCTCCCTGACTTGCTGGGTTTGGGGATTTCCCTGGTCCGCGTCATTATCTCTTCCCTCCTGCCCAGCATGTGCTCACACTAGCCCCTCTGCCTGGTTGTCCTTCCCACAGGCCCTTTTTCTTACATTTTTTTAGACAATTAAGGTAAACTCAGAGGGACTTTTAATATGCCAATCTATGTTAATAAAATGCAAGTCAAAGACAAGTGCAAATATGCTTTCAACCAACATTAATGAGGAAACAAACAAGACACAAATTCTTTTTAATTTTATATTTTATTTTATTTTATTTTATTTTATTTTTGAGACAGAGTCTCGCTCTGTCGCCCAGGCTGGAGTGCAGTGACGCGATCTCCGATCACTGCAAGTTCTGCCTCCTGGGTTCACACCATTCTCCTGCCTCAGCCTCATGAACAGCTGGGACTACAGGCGCCTGCAACCACGCCCGGCTAATTTTTTGTATTATAGTAGAGATGGGGTTTCCCCGTGTTAGCCAGGATGGTCTGCATCTCCTGACCTCGTGATCCACCTCCCTCAGCCTCCCAAAGTCCTGGGATTACAGGTGTGAACCACTGAGCCCAGCCACTTTTTTTATTTTATTTTTTGTGACATCTTTTAGCTGATATTATTAGTCAAGTGACTAATCACAAATAAAATATATTTTGTGAAAAACCTGGAATGTCAGAAATCATTCTGGCATTGCAAACAGCCATGTACAGGATCACCAGGATCAATTTATATACATGAATATTGAGGATAAACTAAGTAAAACATTTAGAATCAGACTAACCACAGTCTAGTATAAAACTTGGGAGGAGGGAAGGGACATTTTTAAAGAGTCAGAGAAGAACATTACCAGAAAAAAAATTACAAAACCAGTAATTATTATACTTCATTAATATAGCATTACAAGGGAAGGGAAAGGAGCATTTTTCAATGAACTAGCTTCAAAGTTCCTCAAGAACAGCTGTACATTTCACATAATTGTTTCAAAGAGAAAGCCTATTAACTACAATGTTTGTTTAATGCTACAAGCTTACAGCAAAGACAGCAAATTCCCAAGGCAATGCTTCCATGGAATTATCATATCAGGCTTCACGCAATGCTTACAAAGCACTAAAAGTATACTTTTGGACCTAAAAGTATATTTTACAGTTTTGTATAAAAAAAGAAATATAAGATTGACACACAGGTGTATTGAAGTCTGAGTAGTAATGAGTCTTTTAGCTTTTCTCTTTTTGAAGGGAGAATATTTTTGTAACAATGCCCTTGAGTTCTTCTTACAAATCACGACAGGGAAAGATATCTTTTATTACAATACAAGAGCAAGCTATAAGCAGCACACCACCACAGTGGCTAGCCCTGGACAGGATGGTGTAATATCCAACAGTGACTGCCATCCTACAGAGGAAAGACTGGTAAGGCCAGATGAAAGCCTGACATAGGTAAAAATGCAGCTTTCAACTGTAATTCACAAATAAAAGTCCCAAGCAGTAAAACTACTGACACCAAGAGTGAAAGTCATTACAAACGGGATTCCAGCAGTGATTTCAACCTAGCTCCCTTTTGTCACAGTTTCTAGAAGAGGTGGGACATGAGTAGGTGAGTATGCAGGAAGGTTGATGGAGCAGCTCATGTGCCTTCCACTAGGCTGAATGGCCCATTACTCTGGGTGCTGGACACGATGGCTGTCCCGCCAGCAGAGCGCTCTGCTTCAGCTGCAGCCTCTGCCATCTGTGCTTCCTTGAGTTATCCTTCTAAAAGCAAATTTTTGAACTTTCCAGGCTTCGATTCTATTTGTTACTGTTCTTCTCTCTTTCTAGAAGCAGACAGCAGTACCGAATGCTTACCAGGGCCATTGCTTGAAGGTCTTCTCTCTGGATCTGGAGGAATCATAACTTTTATCAACTCTGTAAACTTTTGGGAAAGCCCTTGTGGTATCAGGGTAACCTGGCCTGTGTGAATTCATGCACTGGTCTCTATTTCTGGGAAGAGGTTCAGCAGCAGGAACACATCTCTTTGGGTAGATGGGTATAATTCTCCTGTAAAACTTCATTTGCAGGAAAACACCTATCACCCTCTTCAAACTGTGGACTAGAGATGCTTGTTACAAGTCCAAGATCACCTGTGTTTAACATAATTTGGTTGGATCCCCAGTCATCTTCCTCTTCTTCAGAGGCAGCATCTGGTATTGAGACTCGAGAAGTAAAAACAGTACTAGATTTTATATCCCTGTGAACCAAAGACATTGAATGAATATAGGTCAAACCCCAGCTACCTTGCAAAAGGAGACCCTTCAACTCTGCTTCTTTGAAGTAACTCATGATTCTGCAGTTTTCACTGCAGCATAGCTAAACTTCCACTATGACAGTATTCATCCTGAGTAAGCATAGCACCATCTTCTGCCCAGGCAGAGAAACACGGAACTGCATGAGGAAGACGTCCAGGCACTGCAGTAGAGCCTGTGCTCCTCTCAGAGCGCTTTGCTCACTGTAGAATTGGCCTAAGGCTTTTCTGATCACCTAATGCGGTGCATGCATCCATCCTGCCTCTTCACACAGTAAACACAGAACCAAAACCTCCAGAGCAATTATCTGCAGCTCCTGAAACTGCTGTGCGCCTTAACCTCGCTTTGCTCTCAGTCACTGCAGTTCTCTCAGCAGGCCACGTTTCATCTCCCAGCTCCTGAGCACTGGCTTCCATGTCTTCATCACAAGAATCACCCCCATGACCCCAACAGAATCCGGAGTGAAAGGATCCGAATTCACTTGGAGTCTGTTGCACATCCAATTCCCCTTTTCCTGACTTTTCTGTATCACGAAGAAGAACCGTCCCGGAGTTTAACAGAGCTGGGATTAATTCCTCCAGTTCTGGAGAGGAAAACCGGGAGTGCAAGTGGCAGGTGGCAGAGCCGAAGCTTGCAGGAGGTCCACTAGGGAGCCCGGATCCCTCAGCGCCCAGCACAGCCCTCCCCGCCTGGGGCCCCTACAGTCCCGCGAAGCCTCCCCCAGGCGCCCCCAGAACTCGCCAGAACCAGTGGCCCAGGAAGCAGGTGCCGCTGGCCACCAGGAGCCCAAGCACCCTCCCCTCACCGGTCGCACTGGGACCCGCTGCCAGGCCGGTCAGCGCTGGGCAGGACCCCAGCAGCTCCTCAGGCTCCAGCTCCTGGGGCTGCTGAGCCTGAAGTACAAGGTTCCGCTCACTCCGCCCCCCGAAAAGGAGACGAAGAGCCGCAGAGACCTCAGCCAGTCTGGTGCTAGAGCCTGGGCTGCCAGAATGCAGCTCTGTGTTGCGGCCAGCGGCAGCCTCGCGCGCCCCCTTCTGGCCGCGGTCAGAATCTGTCACAGCCTGTGGGAGGGGGTGCTTCAGACCAGCAAGGGGAGGGCTGGGGGTGCCACCCCCATTCATAGACCAGGAATCAAAGCCCTCGGGTGGCAGGGTCTGGTCAAGATTCTCCCAAACTGAGCGGGGACGGAGACCAACTCAACCCCAGCCGCACTGTATGCAGTGTAGGCAGATCAGGACTTCAGCCACTCCTGAGACTCCCCCCTTGCCTCGCCGGTACATGCCCAGCCCACCTTTCCCTTCCTCTCCAGTATTCACACCCCGCGCTCTGAGTCGCTTATTTCTTTTAAACAAATAGGAGTTATAGCGGGTAACACTTCAGTAACAAGAAACTAGCAGGTGCTCAGTAAAATGGTCTACACTGGCCTCTTCCACAGTCAAGGTGAGCATTAACAGGAAAATGAATCCACTTTCCAGGAAGTGGACAGTCACCGGAAGCCCCTCCGCCTCCCTCTGGCTTTGCCTTCCCCCAGCACCAACTGGGGCACGGAAAGGGTGTGGGCGAAGACCCCGTCACCTCCCAGCAGAGGGCGCACTGCCCGCGGTTTTCAGGATCCTGGGCCTGGTGCCCTCCGCATAGGACCCTCAGACGTGGGGAGGAGAAAGAGCACACCCATTTAACAGGTGCAGAGACTGAGGTCCGTCGGGGAGGGGTGAGCGGCCTAGGGCGGCCAGACCTGTGAACAGTAGAGCAAGGAGTCCAACAGGCCCCCAGCCAGTCAAAGGGTGAGCCCCTGTTGTGTGGGGATCACTGAGGTGCAGGCATTCTGATAACCACCAGCATGAGGAACTCATGGCGCTCCATCCTGAATTCTGGGGCGCTTTCTGGGACACAATACAGTAAAGGCTGTGCAACATGTGTGAGGTCCAGCATGTGCACGAAGCAAAGAGGGATAGATAGGTGTGGGAGTACAGGGACAGAATCACAGTTGGGACCCTTGAGAAGGCAGTTGGAGTTTTTCTGCCAGGGCAGGAGAAGTCTTCTGGGCACCCAGACTGGCACGTGCAAAGGCATAGAGGCAAGCTTCCCCTGACACACGGCTGGAGGGGAAGCTCTAAGTGCTGCGCACAGGCTGTTCACACTGCATCCTTCTCCCTGGACTTGCTCCCCCCACAGCACCTCCATCCTTCCAGTTAGCTATCCAGACCACCCCCCTCACCCTCTCACACCCACATCCTGTGGGCCCCACATTTGAGAAACAAGAATTCAGTTGCTTCTCACCCCCCCACCCCATGGCTGCTCATCACCTGGTCTGAGTCCCCATCCCCTCTCTCCCCATACTTGGTCTCTGCTTCCATCCTTGACTCCTGACGTCTAATTGCAACTCAATACTAGGTCAGATCATGTCACACTTCTGCTCTGGTGCAAGAATTATGTGGTTCCTTCAGTTCAGTGTCCACCAGGATTTGATATTCCCAAGGTATGTCTCTCACTCCTTTGTTCTCATTTTACCTTTACACAGGAAGACACTTTTTCTTCTTGAAGTGTACTCTTATGTAGCTACTCTTGGTAATGAAATCTCTGTGTTATTACTTTTGAAGTTATTTTAATACTCCTTACCAAGAAAGATAGTTAGCTATATATTCAATGCTAGCTTGAATAATATTTTTTCTAAGCATGCTATTTGACTTCTTAAAATTTAAGATGACATTGGATGATTTTTATTACATACAGCATGATGTTTTGAACATTCCACATATAGATTGTTGAATGGTTAAATCTAAATCTAGCTAATAACAGAGGCATTATTTAACATAGTTATCATTTTCATTGTGAGAACACATCCACTATCGTTGCAATTTTCTAGAATGCAATATATCACCAGTAACTGTAGCCACTTTGCTATACGATAGATTTCTTGAAATTTACTTTATCTATCTAATTTTAATTACGTGACCTCTGACCAACATCTCCCCATCCTGTTCCCCTCTCTAACCACTCCAGCCTCTGGTAACCACCATTCTGCTCTCTACTTCTATGAGACCAACTTGTTTAGATCCCTCATATGCATGAAATAATGCAGCATTTTTCTTTCTGTGCCTGGCTTATTTCACTTAATATATCCTCCAGGATCATCCATGTTGACAGTAACGACAGCATTTTATTCTGTTGTATGACTAAGTATCATTCCATTGTATGTGTTTATGTATGTACATACATGTATGTATACAAGCATATGTAGACATACCATTCTTCAAATATATTATTTTGCATTTATTTTCATTAAAATATATCTCCCTTATCTAAATACTGATAAAAATTTGAGGTCTTTTCAGGCCTTCCTTTTAATAAAAGCCAAAGTTAAAGGGCAGTTTCCCCATTTTTTAATGATTCTTTTTTCTTGCCGATTTTTTTGAGTTCCCTGCAGAGTCTGCATATTACTGCTTAATCGTAAGTATAGTTTGGAATTTATTTCACATTCTATATAATGTCTGTTTCCTCTGTGATTTATTGTGAGTTTTTTATTAGGTTTCTCTTCTAGAATTTTACTGTCTCAGGTCTTAGATTTAGTCTCTAATCTACCAGGAGTTAATCTTTGGATATGGTGAGTTTCATTCTTCTACATGTGGCCACCCAATTTTCCAGCACCATTTATTATGTATGTGTTTGTTTTTGTCTGATTTGTCAAAGGTTGTTATTGTTTGGCTATATATCTAGATTCCCCATTCTGTACCATTGAACTATGTGTTTATTTTTATACCAGCAAAATGCTGTTTTTGTTACTGTATCCTTGCAGTATAAATTGAAGTCAAAGGAGAGATAAAGGAATGTTTTTGTCTTTCCTTTATTTTGAAGGAGAGTTTTAGCAAATATAAGTGTTCTTAATTAGAATTTTTTCTTTCAATACTTTGAATATGTTATCCCACTCTGCCCTGTCCTGAGAGCTTTCTTTCCAAATATTTTAGAATTTATTCATTCTACTGTTGACAAACATTTGGATACATTCCCTGTTTTAGCCATTATAAAGAAAGGTGCCATGATTATAAGGATACATTTCTGTGGTATATATATTTACAGGAACATTGCTTAGTCACAGGGAGAGCATCTGTTTGGCTTAAATAAATACTAAAATACAGTTTTTCTAAATGATTGCAGACATTCACTATGTTTTGAGCATGCTCCAATTGTCCCACACATTCTTCCATAGCATAATTTGAAATAATTTTATTGAGGTTCAATTTACATTCTTTAAAATTCATCAATTATAAATGAATAATTTGTAAAATTTTATACATTTTCATTTCAAAATGCATGTGACTGTATAATCACTACCACAAACATGTTGTAGAACATTCCCATGACCATGAAAAGCTCAATCTGGTCCTTTTCATTAAATTCTCTCCTTATACATGATGCCCATGACAAAACTATTATATTTTAGCTACTGTATTTGCCTTTTGAAAAATTTCACATAATTGCGATTTTAACATTTATGTAGTCTTTAGTGTCTTCTGTTAATTCATAATAATTCCTTTGAAATCATCCAAGTTGTACATATCATTAATTTCTTACTTGTTATTGCTGAGAAATAGTCCATCATATGGGCACGCCGCAATGTGTTTACCCATCAGCAGCTAATGGACCTTGCCCATTAATGTTTGTCAGGTCATTTGCCTTCTTTTAACGGAGCTGTATGATTTATGTATATACAAATCTGAACACCAACATTTATTAAATATATGTATTTCAATATTTCTCTCAGGCTATGGTTGTCAATTTATTTTTAACAGTGTCTCATGAAGACTCAATTTATACATTTTATTTTATGTTTTCTGCATGTGTAGGCTATCTAAGAAACCATTTCCTATCCCAGGGTCACAATAAATTTCTCCTATGCTTTATTCATACAAAATATATACTTTTATCTATTACACTTACATCTCAAATTCATTTGAAGTTAATTTTTCAGATGTACTTTGATTAATCAATGTTCACATATTTACATATGGGTATTCAACTTCTCCGAGAATATTTATGTAAATTTCTATTCTTCCCTTTGAATTGCCTTCATGCATTCCTTAATAAAAAATTATATATGTGTGTAAATATATACATCTATATACACACATATATGTGTGTGTTTATATGTGTGTGTATATATATATAATCTGAGCTTCCTATATCATTACAATTATTTATAATTATTTCCTCAAGTAACAACACACTGTTGTGAATACTGTAGCTTTATAGTATTTATTTCAGATATGTCTCTAAATGTGACTGTTTTTCATTATTGTTTTCACTAATTTAGATTATTTATATTTTCAAAGTACTTTAAGAATTGGTTTATCAAATTTTACAAAGCCCTTTGTTGAAATTTTACTGAATTGTGTTGATGCTGCGTATTAATTTGGGGAAAATTTACATATTAATTATATTGAATATTCTGACATGTGAACATGATAGCTCTATTTATGTAGGTATTCTTTAATTTTCCTCGGTATTTCCTTCAGGTTTTTCAGGGTAAGGTTTGATTTTCACTGCCAGTCTATAAAAATACACATTGACTTTTTTACACATTTGGCTTATATACTGTGGCTTCACTCAACTCATCTGTTAGTTTTAGTAATGATTTCTAGACATGTTTGTATTTTCCTATTTTACAAATTACTGAGAGATTGAGAGATGGAAGTGGTTGGATGTAGAGGGAGTCTGGTAAGATGGTGGAATAGTAGGTTCCCAGCCCTGTTTCCCTCAAAGAGACATCTATTTGGCAACTACCCACAGGAAAGAATGCTTTTGTGAGAACTCCAAATACCACTGTGAGATTGCAAAACCCAAAAAGAGCTCAAAAGCAAAGACAGACTCATTAAAAAGGATAAGAGGAATGATTTTACTTTGTTTGCTTTACCACTTCCATATCCAGAACAATACTGTGCTGAGAAGTATACCCTCAGCCCATTAT
Source organism: Homo sapiens (assembly GCF_000001405.40). Classification (NCBI taxonomy): domain Eukaryota; kingdom Metazoa; phylum Chordata; class Mammalia; order Primates; family Hominidae; genus Homo; species Homo sapiens. Next base: position 22,699,037 of record NC_000017.11, on the reverse strand, counting down.
TTTTCCAGTGGGAGAAAAGTAGATCAAAGTGGATATTCAATGTCTATCTGGGGAGTGCTGCCTGATGGACAAACTTCTGCTTTGCCTCAAAACAAACGCTGGAAGAATTTTAATACTTAGACCACATGAAGATAACTAGCACCAAAGAAATGGGGTGAAACACTCAGTGACTGGTACATGCAAATCTCAATGTGCCCCACAGTGCTTCAAGTGGCCTCACCCAACAAAGCTACCAAATCAGAGGGATTAAAACCAGCAGACATTTCTGACCCTGAAGCACCGCCAGTCAGCCAAATCCATCAACAGGCTCAACCACCTGACCGAACAAGAACACCAGGCCACACTTAATGGTGAAGAACTTTTCCTGCTGAAGCCAACCTGTAAAGACTAGAAAAAGTGACCACCTTCTCAAAAATATGTATACCAGCACAAGGCCACAATAATCATGAAGAATCAGGAAAATATCACACAATTTAAGTAAAGCAAAAAAGCTTCAATAGCAGACCCCAAAGAAATAGGAATTGACAATGTGCTTTTAAAAATTGGAAGTAATTATTTTAGATACTAAGCTCAGTGAACTATATGGGAACAAGTATAGACAACTAAACAAAATTAGGAAAGCAATACATAAAGAAAATCAGAAGTTACAGTAATAAATAGAAGCGATAAAAATAAACACAGAAATGTTAATGCTGAAGAATATAATGACTAAACTGAAAAATTTAATAGAGAGTTTTAACAGCAGGTTCAGTCATGAAGAGGAAATGGCAAAGTGGGAAACAGCTATCTTGAAATTATCCTGACAGAGGTGCAAAAAACAAAAAAAAAAATAGCAAAAGATAAAGAGTAAAAAAAATCTATGAGACTTATGAAACATCATCAAATAAAGCAATATATGCGTTATGTGGATACAAGAAGGTGAAATAGAGGAAAGAATAGAAAGCTTATTTTGAGAAATACTGACTGAGAATTTGCTGAATTTGAGGTGGGAGGTGGACATCCAGAATCATGAAGTTCAAGAGTCCTTAAGTAGATTGAACATGAAGAACCTTACACCAAGACATATTTTAATAAAGTTGTCAAAAGTCAAAGAGAAAAAGTGAATTTTAAAAGCAGCAAGAGAAAATCTACTCATCACATAACTATCAGCGCAATTCTCAAATTCTTCTTTCAGGCCAGGGCCAAAGGGGATAACATATTCAAAGTATTGAAAGAAAAAATTCTAATTAAGAACACTTATATTTGCTAAAACTCTCCTTCAAAATAAAGGAAAGACAACAACTTTCCTTTGTCTTTCCTTTGACTTCAATTTATTCTACAAGGATACAGTAACCAAAACAGCATTGTGCTGGTATAAAAATAAACACATACAACAATGTAACAGAATAGAGAATCTAACAAATACAGCCAAACAATAACAACCTTTGACAAATTAGACAAAAACATACACATACATAATAAAAGGTGCTGGGAAAATTGGGTGGCCAGATGTAGAAGAATGAAACTGTGTTTGTATCTCTCACCATATCCAAACATGAACTCCAGGTGGATTAGAGACTTAAATCTAAGACCTGAAACCATAACAATTCTAGAAGAAAAGCCTAGTAAAAACTCTTCCAGACGTTGGCCTAGATAAATAATTTATGACAAATACCCCAAAAGCAAATGCAACAAAAACAAAAATAAATAAATGGGACCGAATTAAACTAATAAAAAGTTTTGGCAAAGAAAACAAATAAACCACAGAGGAAACAGACATTATACAGAAAGGAAAAAAAAAATCCAAACCATGCTTACGATTAAGCAGTAATATGCAGAATGTGCAGGGAACTCAAAAAAATCAGCAAGAAATAGAATCTTATTAAAAAACAGGGAAACAGACCTTTAACTTTGGCTTTTATTAAGAGGAAGGACTGAAAATACCTCATATTTTTATCAGCATTTAGATAAGGGAGAAATATACTTTTAATAAAAATAAATGCAAAATAATATATTTGAAGAATGGTATATCTACATATGCTTGTATACATACATTTATGTATGTATTACATAAACAGATACAATGGAATGATATTTAGTTAGTCATACAACAGAATAAAATGCTGTCATTACTGTCAACATGGATGATCCTGGAGGACAGTATATTAAGTGAAATAATCCAAGTGCAGAAAGAAAAATACTGCATTATCTCATTCATATGAGGGATCTAAACTAGTTGGTCTCATAGAAGTAGAGAGCAGAATGGCGATGAGCAGAGGCTGGAGTGGTTAGAGAGGGGAACAGGATGGGGAGATGTTGGTCAGAGGGCACATAATTAAAACTGGATAGAAAAAAACAAATTTCAATAATTCTATTGTATAGCAAGGTGGCTACAGTTACTGATGATATATTGCATTCTAGAAAATTGCAACGATAGTGGATGATAAGTGTTCTCACAACAAAAATGATAACGATCTTAGATAATGCATTTGTTAATAGTTAGATTTAACCATTCAACAATCTATATGTGGAATGTTCAAAACATCATGATGTACATAATAAAATCATCTAATGTCATCTTAAATTTTAAAAAGTCAAAACGCATGCTTAGAAAAATTATTATTCAAGCTAGCATTGAATATATAGCTAAATATCTTTAGGGCATAAAGACAATTAAAATAATTTCAAAAGTAATAACAGAGATTTCATCGCCAAGAGTAGCTACATAACAGCACACTTCAAGAAGAAAAAGTGTTTTCCTGTGTGAAGGTAAAATGAGAACAAAGGAGTGAGAGATGTGCCTTGGGAATATCAAATCCTGGTGGACACTGAACTGAAGGAACCACATAATTCTTGCACCAGAGCAGAAGTGTGACATGATCTGACCTAGTATTGAGTTGCAATTAGACGTCAGGAGTCAAGGATGGAAGCAGAGACCAAGTATGGGGAGAGAGAGGATGGGGACTCAGACCAGGTGATGAGCACCCATGGAGGGTGAGAAGCAACTGAATTCTTGTCTCTCAAATGTGGGGCCCACAGGATGTGGGTGTGAGAGGGTGAGGGTGGTGGCCTGGATAGCTAACTGGAAGGATGGAGGTGCTGTGGGGGGAGCAAGTCCAGGGAGAAGGATGCAGTGTGAACAGCCTGTGCGCAGCACTTAGAGCTTCCCCTCCAGCCGTGTGTCAGGGGGAGCTTGCCTCTACGCCTTTGCACATGCCAGCCTGGGTGCCCAGAGGGTTTCTCCTGCTCTGGCAGAAAAATTCCAACTGCCTTCTCAAGGGTCCCAACTGTGATTCTGTCCCTGTACTACCACCCCAATCTATCCCTGTTTGCTTCGTGCACATGCTGGACCTCACACATGTTACACAACCTTTACCATATTGTATCCTAGAAAGCGCCCCAGAATTCAGGATGGAGCACCATGAGTTCCTCAAGCCGGTGGTTATCAGAATGCCTGCACCTCAGTGATCCCCACACAACAGGGGCTCACCCAGTGACTGGCTGGGGACCTGCTGGAATCCTAGCTCTACTGTTCACAGGTCTGGCTGCCCTGGGCCGCTCACCCCTGCCCCACGGACCTCAGTCTCTGCACCTGTCAAATGAGTGTGCTCTTTCTCCTCTCCACCTCTGAGGGTCCTGTGAGGATGGCTCCACGCCCAGGATCCCGAAAACCGCGGGCAGCACGCCCCCTGCTGGGAGGTGACAGGGTCTTCGCCCACACCCTTTCTGGGCCCCAGTTTGCTCTGCGGGAAGGCCAAGCCGGAGGGAGGCGGAGGGGCTGCCGGCGACTCTCCACTTCCAATGAGCATTTTCCTGTTAATGCTCACTTGACTGTGGAAGAGGCCAGGGTAGACCATTTTACTGAGCACCTGCTAGTTTCTTGTTACTGATGTGTTACTCGCTATCACCACTATTTGTTTCAGAGAGGAAGCGACTCAGAGGGAGGGATGTGGGGTCCTGGCGAGGAAGGGAAAGGTGGGCCGGGCATGTACGGGTGAGGCAAGGGGGGGCTCAGGAATGGCTAAAGTCCAGATCTGTCTACACTGCATACACTGCAGCTGGGGGTGAGTTGGTCTCTGTCCCCACTCAGTTTGGAAGAATTTTGACCAGACTCTTCCAGCCCAGGGCTCTGATTCCTGGTCTATGAATGGGAGTGGCACCTCCAGCCCGCCCCTTGCGGGGCTGAGGCGCCTGCGCCCATGGGATGTGACAGCTTCTGGCCGCGGCCACTAGGGGGCGCATGCGGCTCCCGCCTGCCGGAAGGCGGAGAGGCATTCTGACAGCCCAGGCCTCCAGCACCAGACAAGCTGAGGTCCTTGTGGGTCTCCGTCTCCTTTTCTGGGGGTGAGCGGAACCTTGCCCGCCAGGCCCAGCAGCCCCTGGAGCTGGAGCCTGAGGAGCTTCTGGGGCCCTGCCCTGCGCTGACCGGCCTGGCAGCGGGTCTCTGTGTGACTGGTGCGGGGAGGGTACTTGGGCTCCTGGTGGCCAGCGGCACCTGCTTCCTGGGCTACTGGTTCTGGCGAGTGCTGGGGGCACTGGGGGGAGGCTTCGCAGGACTGTGGGGGCCCGGGCGGGGAGGGCCCTGCTGGGCGCTGAGGGATCCCGGGGGTCCCAGTGGATCTCCTGCAAGCTTCGCCTCTGCCACCCGCCACTTGCACTCCCGGTTTTTCTCTCCAGAGCTGGAAGAATTGATCCCAGCCCTGTTAAACTCTGGGACCGTTCTTCTTCGTGATACAGAAAAATCAGGAAATGGGAATTGGATGTGCAACAGACTTCAAGTGAATTCGGATCCTTTCACTCCGGATTCTTTCACTCCGGATTCTGTTGGGGGTATGGGGATGATTGTTGTAGTGAAGACATGGAAGCCAGTGCTCAGGAGCTGGGAGATGAAACGTGGCCTGCTGAGAGAACTGCAGTGACTGAGAGCAAAGCGAGGTTAAGGCGCACAGCAGTTTCAGGAGCTGCAGAAAGTTGCTCTGGAGGTTTTGGTTCTGTGTTTACTGTGTGAAGAGGCAGCATGGGTGCATGCACCACATTAGGTGATCAGGAAAGCCTTAAGCCGACTCTGCAGTGAGCAAAGAACTCTGAGAGGAGCACAGGCTCTACTGCAGTGCCTGGACGGCTTCCTCATGCAGTTCCGTATTTCTCTGTCTGGGCAGAAGATGGTCCTATGCTTACACAGGATGAATATTGTCATGGTGGAAATTTAGCTGATACTGAAGTGAATGAAAACTGCAGAATCATAAATTACTTTAAAGAAGCAGAGTTGAAGGCTCTCCTTTTGCAAGGTAGCCAGGGCTTGAGGTATATTCATTCAATGTCTTTGGGTCACAGGGATACAAAATCTAGTATTACTTTTACATCTCGAATCTCAATCCCAAATACTGCCTGTGAACAAGACGGAGATGACTGGGGAGCCAACATAAATATGTTAAACACAGGTGATCTTGGACATGTAAGAAGGATCTTTATTCCACAGGTGGAAAAGGGTGATAGTGGTTTTCTTGCAAATGAAGCTTTACGGGAGGATTATATCCATCTACCCAAAGTGATACTTTTTCACTTGCCCTCACAGTGGTATGTGCTGCTGGTGCTGAAGCTCTTCCCAGAAATGGAGACTAGTGCATGAATTCACAAAGGCCAGGTTACCTTGCTAGCACAAGTGCTTTCCCGAGAGTTTACAGAGTTGATAAATATTATGATTCTTCCGGATCCAGAGAGAAGATCTTCATCCCGGGCCTCGCAGGGACTCCTGTTCTCAGCACGGCTCTCTGAGAAGGCAGGAACCAAGACAAAGGCAACTCCAAGGTGGAGCAGTGTTCTCACACTTCGAACTGGCCTCTCACGGGTTCAGATAAGGTTGAGAGAGTGTCTCAGAGGCCCACTGGGGCAATTGCAAGCCTGAAAAGGGTGTCCACAAGTTCTGTTCATTGGCACTGTGGAACCCCCATAAAATCAAAGAAAAATCAAGGCCCGCCTGGGAGAACGAGCGGACTTGTGCTTGACTCCAAGCCACGTTCAAGGATTCCAGCTAGAGGACCCAGATGCCTCCCGCAAACTGCAAACCACCCCAGACCCCTCAAGGAGACCACTAGGCATGCTTGGCGCATCCTGCAGTTCCTTTTGGATCCTTAGAAATTACGCGATTTATACCTGAAGCTTCACTAGATGTTTCTTTAGGCTTGCTTCCCCCTGCCAGTTCCTAGAATCGGGGGACTATCCCGTGGATCCCCCAGAGAGCACAGGCGAGAGTCCAACACCAATGCATGTCCACAGAGGTCTCCTCCACCAAGCCGCAGGGAGTTGTCTCCAGGCAACGGTGGCCACTGTGACGCGAGCCATTGCTCACCACTGGCGCCTGGTGCCTAGAGACTGACGCATTCGCATTCGTGAAGCAGTCTTGGGCGCCGGGTTGTCAGTGCTGTCAGCCTACCTAAGCAGAGGAAAATGGTGCAGGCAGAGCGCACCTGGTCTCGGGAAAATGCTGCCCGCGACAACCCACTGCGGGACCCTAAATGTCTCGACAATAAGGCCTCCTCGGCACGTCTCTGAGGTCGGGTCCCGCTGGAGGAGGAGGCGTTTCGAAACTGTGAGGTGGGTGCTGGAAATTGCTCTTCTGACTCTGTTCCAGAAAGAGGCTGTGTGCAAGAATCCGGTCGCATGGGAATGAAAATACAGTCCGGTGAGTTGTTGACGGGTGTCCACGTGATGGAATCATACCTGAGACCCCAGAGGCGGGGGTCAGTGGAAGATGGCCGGGCCCTTGAGCTCACTACGTCCCTTCATTCTGGGCCTTGCAGGGGCTCCTGCTTCTCAGCAGGGCACTCTAGAAGGCAGGAACCATGACAAAGGCAAGTCCGAGGTGAGGCAGTGTTCTCAAACCTCGAACTAGCATCTCACGGGTGCAGATGACGTTGAGAGGGTGTCTCAGAGGCCGTTTAGGGCAATTGCAAGCCTGAAAATGGTGTCTAGGAGTGCTGTTGAGGGGCACTGTGGACCCACCATGAAAGCAAAGAAAAATCAACGCTTGCCTGGGAGAACAAGCGGATTTGTGCTGGAGTCCAAGCCATGTTCAAGGATTCCTGTCAGAAGACCCAAAAGTCTCCTGCAAAGTGCAAACTAACCCAACCCCCTCAATGAGATCGCTATCCACAACTTGGAGCGCAGCCAGCCTACCTGAAATCCCTTTTGCTCTCTGAAATCCGTGACAGACAAAAGATCCCCAGTGAGAGGCAGTCCCACCCAGCAACAGCCCAGTGAAAGACCCCCTCTACAATGAGAGAGGATGGGCAGATGAAAGGAAACAGCCTAGATTACCAGGTAAAAGCCAGACATGGCTGCCTGTTTCTCATCCTACAGGAATCATGCAGCCCTCCGATAGAAGCTGGGAGAACAAGAGTTTCCTTGCTGGGGGATAAGGTGAAAATTCTTTAGGGTGTGTGGATTTGTTATACAGAGTTAAACGCTTGTTTTGATTCAGAAGGATGGATACACTCTTTTTGTACAATCAATGAAGGGACATTTAAAATTCTTTGAGGCCTATAGTGTAACACCGAATATCCCGTGATAAAAACTACAAAGAAGCCATCACTGAAAATGCTTTCCGATTTGTGGTTTCATTTCACAGTGTTAAACCTTTCTTGTGATTCAGCTGTTTGGAAGCACTCTTTTTCTAGAATCTACCAGGGTGATTCAGAAGCCAATTGAGACTATAGTGGAAAACAAATTATCCTGCGATAAAAACTAGAAACAAACTATCAGTGAGATGCTTTGTGATATCTGGATTAATCACACAAAGCTAAATCTTTGTTTTGATTCAGCAGCCTGTAAACACTTTTTTTTTTGTAGAACCTATGAAGGGACGTTTCAAAGCCCATTGGTGCCTATAGAGAAAAGCAGAATATCCCACAATAAAAACTTAATGAAAGCTATCTGTCAAATGGCTTTACTGCATGTTGATTTATCTCACAGAGTTAAAACCTTGTTTTGATTCAGCTATTTGGAAGCACATTTTTTGTAGATTCTAAGAAGGGACATTTCAAAACACATTGAGGTCTATAGTGAAAAACTGAATATCCTGCAATAAAAACTACAAACAAGCTATCCATGAAAATGCTTTGGGATGTGTAAAATTATGTCACACAGTCAAACATTTGTTTCAATTCAGCAGTTTGGAAACACTCTTTCTGTAGAATCTACAAGGGGACACTTTGGAGCCCATGGAGGCCTAGAGTGAAAAACAGAATATCTGGTGGTAAAAACTAGAAGCAAGCTATCTGTGAAAATGCTTTACGATATGTGGGCTAATCTCACAGAGTGAAATCTTTCTTTTGCTTCAATAAGTTGGAAACACTCCTTTTTTACAATCTACAAAAGAAAATTTTGGAGCCCATTGAGTTCTATAGTGAAAAACCAAATATTCCCAGTACAAACTAGAAACAAGCTATCAGTGAAAATGCTTTGTGATGTGTGGATTCATCTCAGAGAGTTAAAGTTTTTTTTGTTTGTTTGTTTGTTTTGATTTAGCACGTTGGAAACACTCTTTTTGTAGAATCAATGAAGGGACATTTTGAAGCCCATTGAGGCATTCAGTGAAAAACTCTATATCCCGCCATGCATGGTGGCTCATGCCTGTAATCCCAGCACTTTGGGAGGCCTAGGAGGGCGGATCACCTGAGGTTGGGAGTTCAAGACCACCCTGACCAATGTGGAAAAACCCCATCTCTGCTAAAAATACAAAATTAGCCGGGTGTGGTGGCACATGCCTGTAATCCCAGCTACTCGGGAGGCTGAGGCAGGAGAATGGCTTGAACTGGGGAGGAGGAGCTTGCAGTGAGCCAGAGATAGCACCATTGCACACCAGCCTGGGCAACAAGAGCAAAACTCCGTCCCCTGAAAAAAAAAAGAAAAAGAAAAAGAAAAACTATATATCCCACGATAGAACCTAGAAAAAACCTATCAATCAGTGAAAAGCTTTGTAATGTGTGGATTTATCTCATAGAGTTAAACCTTTGTTTTGTTTCAACAGGTTGAAAACACTTTAATTGTAGAATCTACAAAGGGCCTTTTCAAAGCCCATTGAGGCCTATAGTGAAAAATCGATTATCCCATGATAAAAACTAGAAAAAAAGCTATCTGTGAAAATGCTTTGCAATGTGTGTATTTATCTCACAGAGTGAAACCTTTGTTTCCATTTAGCAGGTTGGAAACATGTTTTTCATAGAATCTAATAAAATACTTTTTGAAGCCCAATGAGGCCTATAGTGAAAAACCAAATATCCCACGATAAAAAGTACAAACAAGCTTCCTGTGAAAATGCTTTGTGATGTGCGGATTCACCTCACAGGGTTAAACCTTTGTTTTAATTCAGCACTTCATAAACAGTCTTTTTGTAGAATCAACAAAGGGACACTTCAGAGCCCATTGAGGCCTATAGTGAAAAACTGAATATTTGCAGCAAAAACTAGAAGCAAGTTTTCTGTGAAAATGCTTTGTAATGTGAGATGCATCTTACAGAGTTGGAAACACTTTTTTTCGTAGAATCTAGGAGAAAACATTTCAGAGCCCATTGAGGCCTACAGTAAAATACAGAATATCCGACGATAAAAATTACAAGCAAACTATCTGTGAAAAGGCTTTGTGATGTTAGGATTTATCTGACAGAACTAAACCTTTGCTTTGATTCCACAAGTGGATACACTTTGTACAATCTGTGAAGGTACATTTCTGAGCCCATTGAGGCCTATAGTGAAAAAATGAATGTTCGTCGATAAAAACTAAAAAGAAACTATGTCTGAAAATGCTTTGCAATGTATGATTTCATCTCACAGAGTTAAAACTTTGTATTTATTCAGCCAATTATGAACACTTGTTTTATAGGTTATATGAAGGGACATTTAACAGCCATTGACACCTATAGTAATGAACCAAATATTTCATGATAGAAGCAATAAAAAATCTAACTCTGAAAATGCATTGCCATGTGTGGATTCACCTTACAAAGTTAAACCTTTGTTTTGATTCAGCAGGTTGGAAACAATGTATTTGTAGAATCTAAGAAGGGACATTTTGGAGCCCATTTAGACTTAGGGTGAAAAACAAAATATCCTGTAATAAAAACTAGAAGCAAGGCACCTGTGAAAATGCTTAGTGATGTGTGGATTTAGCTCACAGAGTTAAACCTTTTTTCTGATTTAGCAGAGTGGAAACCATGTTTCTGTAGAGTCAACGAAGAAACATTTTGGAGCCCATTGAGGCCTACAGTGAGAAACCAAGTATAAATATATATAATATATATAATAAAAAGTAGAAACAAGCTCTCTGTGAAAATGCTTTGAGATGTGTAGATTCATCTCATAGAGTTAAGCCTTTGTTTTGATTCAGGAAATTTGAAACACTCTTTTTGTAAAATCTACAAATGGGCATTTCTGAGCCCTTTGAGGTCTATAGTAAAAAAACGAATATCCCTCAATAAAAACTAGAATCCAGCTATCTGTGAAAATGCTTGGCAATGTCTGGAATTCATTTCACAGAGTTTAACATTTACTATGATTCCACAGGTTGGAAACACACTTTTCGTAGAAACAAAGAAAAGACATTTCAAACCTCTGAGGCCTACAGTAAGAAACCGAAGTAAACTATCTGTGAAAATGCTTTGTGATGTGTGGATTCAATTTCACAGAGTTAAACCTTTGTTTTAATTCAGCAGTTTGCAGAGTCTACAAAGTAATATTTTGGAGTCCATTGCAGCCTATATGGAAAAACCAAATATCCCATGGCAAAAACTGGAGGCAGGCTATCTGTAAAAATGCTTTGCAATGTGTTTATTCATCTCACAGAGTTAAACCTTTCTTCTGATTCAGCAGGTTTAAAACACTTTTTATGTAGAATCTACGAAGAAACATTTCAGGGCCCATTGAGGCCTATAGTGAAAACCCCAATATCCCACAATAAAAACTAAAAGCAACCTAGCTGTGAATATGCTTTGCAATGTGTGGATTTATCTCACAGAATTAAACCTTTGTTTTGATTCAGCAGATTGGATACACTCTTTTTGTACAATCTACAAAATGACATTTCAAAGCCCATTGAGACTAACAGTGAAAATTTGAATTTCCCATGATAAAAACTACAAAGTAGCTGTTTCTGAAAATTATTTGCAAAGTGTGATTTCATCTCACAGAGTTACACTTTCTTGTGATTCAGCAGGTTGATGAACAACTGATTATCCCACGATAAACACCAGAAACAAGCTATCAGTAAAAATTCTTTGCAATGTGTGAATTCATCTAACAGAGTTAATCCTTTGTCTTGATTCAGCAGGTTGGAAACTCTCTTTTTGTAAAATCTACAAAGTAACATTTTGAAGCCCATTGAGGCCCATAGTGAAATACCAAATATACTGCAATAAAAAGTAAAAACGAGCTATCTTTTTAAATGTTTTGCAATGTGTGGATTTATCTCACAGAATTAAACCTTGTATTTATTTAGCAGGTTAAAGACACTTTTTTATAGAATATACAAAAGGACATTTCACACCCATTGATGCCTATAGTAAAAAAATGAATATTTTGTGATAAAAACAATAAAAAATCTATCTCTGAAAATGCTTTGTGATGTCTGGATCCATCTCAAAGAATTAAACCTTTGTTTTGATTAAGCATGTTGGAAACACTGTCTTTGGAGGATCTAAGAAGGGACATTTCAGAGCCCATTAGGGCCATTAGTGAAAAACTGAATATCCCATGATAAAAGCTAGAAACAAGCTATCTGTGAAAATGCTTTTTAATGTTTGGATTCTTCTGATAGAGATAAACCTTTATTTTTATTCAGCACATTGGATGCAGTCCTTTTGTACCATCTAGGTGGGGACGTTTCAGAGGCCATTGAGGCCTACAGTGAAAATCCAAATATCCCAACAAAAAAACTAGAAACAATCTATCTGTAAAAATTCTTTGCCATGTGTATATTCATCTCACAGAGTTAATCCTTTATCATGATTCAGAAAATTGGAAACACTCTTTTTATAGACTCTATGAGGGGACATTTTGGAGAAAATTGAGATATATAGTGAAAAACCAAATGTCGTGTGACAAAAACTAGAAACAAGCTATCTGCGAAAATGCTTTGCAATGTGAGGATTCATCTCACAGAGTTAAACCTTTGTTTTGATTTAGCAGGCCAGAATCACACTTTTTGTAGAATCTACGAAGGGAAATTTTGTAGCCAATTGAGGCCTACAGTGAAAAACTGAATATCCTGTGATAAAACTAGAAACAAGCTATCGGTGAAAATGATATGTGATGGGTGTATTCATCTCTCAGAGTTAAACATTTGTTTTGATTGAGCAGATTAAAGACTCTTTTTGTAGAATCTACAAAGGGACATTTTGGAGCTCACGGACCAGCACAGCGAAAAGCCAAATATCCCATGACATAAAATAGAAAAAAGCTATCTGCAAAAATACTTTGCAGCATGTGGATTCATCTCACAGAGTTAAACCTTTGTTTTGATTGTGGAAATGCTTTGTGATGTATGGAAATGCTTTGTGATGTATGGATTCATATCACAGATTAAAACCTTTGTTTTGATTTAGCATGTTGAAAACACTTTTTGTGCAATCTACAAGGGGACATTTTGGAGCCTATTGAGGTCTATAGTGAAAAACCAAATTTCCCATGATAAAAACTAGGAACAAGTTATTTGTGAAAATGCTTTGCAATATGTGGATGTATCTCACATGTATGAACTTTTGTTTTCATTCAGCCAGTTGGAAATATTCTTTTTGTAGACTCTATGAAGGGACATTTTGGAGACCACAAAGGCCACTAGTGAAAAACCGAATATCACTTGACAAAAACTAGAAAAGTTATCTGTGAAAATGCTTTGTGATGTGTCAATTCATCTCATGGAGTTAAAACTTTGTTTTGATTCAGCAGGTTGGAAACACTGTTTTTGTAGAATCTAAGAGGACACATTTCAGAGAACGTTGAGGCCTACATTTAAAAACCTTATATCTCGAGATAAAAACCAGAAACCAGCCATATAAGAGAATGCTTTGTGATGTGTGGATTCAACTCACAGAGTTAAGCATTCATTTTGATTCAGCATGTTGAAAACACTCTTTTTGTAGAATCTACTAAGGGACATTTCAGAGCCCATGAAGAAGTGTATGAAAAAACAGAATGTCCTGTGATGATAACTAGAAAAAGCTGTCTGTGAAAATTCTTTGCAATGTATGGATTCATCTGTCAGAGTTAAACCTTTGTTTTGATTCAAGAGGCCAAAATAATTCCTTTTGTAGAGTCTACAAATGGATATTTTGGAGCCCACTGTGGCCTGTGGTGAAAAACTGAATATCCCACGACAAAAATTAGAACCAAGCTATCTGTGAAAATGCTTTACAACGTGTCATTTCATTTTACAGAGTTAAACCTTTGTTTTTATTCAGCAGGTTGAAAGAACTCTTTTTGTAGAATCTATGAGGGGACATTTCAGAGCTTATTGAGGTCTATAGTGAGAAACAAAATATCCTGCATTAAATACTAGAAATAAGATATAAGTGAAAATGCTTTGCAATGTTTGGATTCATCTCACAGAATTAAACCTTTGCTTTGATTAAGCAGGTTTAAAGCACTCTTTTTGTAGAATATAAGAGGGGACATTTTGAAGCCCATTGAGGCCTGTAGTCAAAAACTGATTATCCTGAAATAAAGCTAGAAACAAGCTACCAATTAAAATACTTTGCGATGTGTGCATTTCTCTCACAGTGTTAAACCTTTGTTTGGATTCAGCCAGTTGAAAACACTCTTTTTGTAGAATCTACAAAGGTACATTTTGGAGCCCATTGAGGCCTATATTAAAAAATTAAATATCCCATGATAAAACCTAGAAACAACCTATTTGTAAAAGTGTCTTGCAATGTTTGGAATGATCTCTTAGAATTAAACCTTTGTTTTGATTCAGCAGTCTGGAAACACTCTTTTTGTAGAATCTACATAGGGATTTTTTGGAGCTCAATGAGACCTTTAATGAAAAACAGAATATCACACAATAAAAACTAGAAATACTCTATCTGTGAAAAAGATTTTTGATGTGTGGATACATCTCACAGAGTTAAACCTTTTTTTTTTTTAATCGAGCAAGTTGGAAACATTTTGTAGAATCTACAAAGGGACATTTAGGAGCCTATTGAGGCTTATGGTGAAAAACCAAATATCCCGTGATAAAAACTAGAAACAAGCTATCTGTGAAAATGTTTGCAATGTGTGGATTTATTTCACAGAGCTAAACCTATATTTATATACAGCAGGTTGGAAACACTCTTCTGGTAGAATCTAAAAGAAGACATTTCTGAGCTTTTTGTGGCCTGTAGTAAAAAACTGACTATCCCCCTATAAAAACAAACAATTTGTGAAAACGCTTTAGATGTATGGATTCATCTCACATAGTTAAAACCTTGTTTTGATTCAGCAGGTTGTAAACACTCTGTAGAATCTAAAAAGGGAAATTTCAGAGCCCATTAGGCCTATAGTGAAAAACTGAATATCATGTGATAAAAACTAGATAAAAAACTACCTTTGAACATGTTTTGTGATGTGTGGATTTATCTCACAGAGGTAAACCTCTGTTTATGTTCAGCAGGTTAAAAACCCTCATTTTGCAGAATCTACAAAGGGACATTTTGGAGCCCTTTGAGGCCTATAGTGAAAAACAGAATATCCCGTGATAAAAACTAGAAGCGAGCTATATCTGAAAATGCTTTGTGATGTGTAGATTCATCATACAGAGTTAAAACTTTATTTTTATACAGCATTTTGGAAACACTCTTTTAGTAGAATCTAAGAGGGGTCAATTCTGAGCCCAGTGAGGTCTATAGAAAAAAACGAATATTTCACGATAAAATCTTGAAAGAAGCTATCTGTGAAAAGGCTTCCTGATATATGGATTTGCCCCAAAGAGTTAAACTTTTGTTTTGATTCAGCAGGTTAGAAGTATTCTTTTTGTAGAATCTTTGAGAGTCATTTCTGAGCCCACTGAGGCCTACAGTAAAAAGTTGGAAACTGTTTTTGCACAATCGATGAAGAGACATTTCAAGGAACATTGAGGCTTATAGCGACAAACCAAATATCCTGCAATAAATCTTTATAAAGCTGTCTCTGAAAATGCTTTGCGATGTGTGATTTAGTCTCACAGAATTAAACTTTTTTTTTTGGTTCAGTAGGTTGGAAACCCTCTTTTTGTAGAATATTTGATAGGATATTTCAGAGTAAATTGAAGCCTACAGTGAAAAACCAAATATCCAGCAATAAAAACTAGAAACAAGCTATCTGTAAAATATGCTTTGCAATATGTAGATTCATCTTACAAAGTTAAGCCTTTGTTTTGCTTCAGCATCTTGGAAACTCGATGTTTGTATAATCTAATCTACGAGGGGATAATTCGAAGCCCATATTGGCCTGAGTGAAAAAACAATATCCTGCAATAAAAACTAGAAACAATCTATCTGTGAAAACGCTTTGCAATGTGTGGATTCATCTCAAAAAGTTAAACGTTGTTTTGATTCAGCAGGTTAAAAACACTCTTTTTATAAAATCTACAGAGGGACATTTCAAAGCCCATTGAGGCTTTAGTGAAAAACACAATATCCTGTGATAAAAACTAGAAACAAGCTATCTGTGAATATTCTTTGTGATATGTTGATTTATTGCACAGAAGTAAACTTGGTTTTTATAGTGCAATTTGGAAACACTCTTTTAGTAGAATCTAAAAGAAGAAATTTCTGAGCCCTTTTAGGCCTATAATAAAAAACCAAATATCCCACAATAAAAACTAGAAACAAGCTATCTATGAAAATGCTTTGCAATGTGTAAATTCATCACAGAGAGTAAAACCTTAGTTTTGATTCAGAAGGATGGAAATACTTTTTTTGTAGAATCTATGAAGGGACATTTTGGAGCCCACTGAGGCCTATAGTGAAAAATCAAATATTTTATGATGAAAACTAGAAACAAGGTATCTGTGAAAATGCTTTGTGTGTGTAGATTTATCTCACAGAGGAAAACTTTTGTTTATATACAGCACATTGCAAACACTGTTTCTGTAAAATTTAAGAGAGGACATTTTAGAGTCCATTGAAGCCTATATTGAAAAACACAATATTCCATGAGAAAAACTAAAAAATAATTACCTGTGAAAATGCTTTGTAATGTGTGGATTCATCTCACAGATTTATCCACTGTTTTTATTCAGGAAGTTGAAAACAGTCTCTTTGTAAAATTTAAGAAGGAACATTTCGAAGCCCATTGATGCTTATATTGAAAAACCAAATATCCCACAATAAAAACCAGAAACAATCTATTTGTGAAAATGCTTTTTGATGTATGATTTCATCTTACAGAGTTTAACTTTCATTTTAATTCAGCAGGTTGAAAACACTGTTTTTGTAGAATCTATGAAAGGACATTTCAGAGCACACTGAAGTCTACAATAAAAAAAAATCGAGTATCTCTTGATAAAAACTAGAAACAAGCTATCTGTGAAAATGCTTTGTGATGTGTGAGTTGATCTTGCAGAGTTAAACTTTTGTTTTGATTCAGTTGGTTGGAAACACATTTTTTGTAGAATCAACAAAGGAACGTTTCTGAGCCCATTGAGGCCTATAGTGAAAAACCAATATCCTGTGATAAAACTAGAAAAAAACTATCTCTGCATTATGCATTAGCTTGCAATGTGTGGATTTATCTCACAGAGCTAAACCTTTTTTTTTTTTTTGATTCAGCAGACTGGAGACACACTTTTTGTATAATCTATGAGGGAACATTTCTGAACCCATTGACGCCTCTAGTGAAAAACCAAATATCTTGTGACAAAATCTAGAAATAAGCTATATCTGAAAATGTTTGCAATGTGTGTATTTACCTCAAAGACTTAAACCTATGTTTATATACAGCAGTTTGCTAACACTCTCTTAGTAGAATCTAAAAGAAGATATTTCTGAGACCTTTGAGGCCTATAATGAAAAACAAAATATCCCCCAATAAAAACTGAAAACAAACTATCTGTAAAAATGCTTTGTGATATATGGATTCATCTCACAGAGTTGAACCCTTGTTTTGGTTCAGCAGGTTGTAAACACTCAGTTTGTAGAATCTACAAAGGGACATTTTGGAGCCCATGGAGGCCTATATTTAAAAAACAAATATTGCAAGATAGAAACTAGTAACAAGCTATCTGTGAAAATGCTTTGCAATGTGTGGATTCATCTCACAAAGTTAAACCTTTGTTTTTATTCAGCAAGTTTGGTACACTTTTTTTGTAGAATATGCAATGGGACATTTCACACGAATTGACGCCTACAGTAAAAAACGAATGTTTCGCGATGAAAACAATGAAAAAGCAATCTCTAAAAATGCTTTGCAATGTGTGGATTCATCTCATAGAGTTAAACTTTTGTTTTGATTCAGCAGGTTGGAAAAACTCTCTTTGTAGAATCTACAAAGGGACATTTCAGGGCCCATTGAAGCCAATAGTAAAAAATCAAATTTTTCATGATAAAAACTAGAAATAAGCTATTTGTGAAAATACTTTGCAATGTGTCAATTCACCTCGCAGAGATAAACTTTTGCTTTGATTCCAGGTAGGAAACACTTTTTTGTAAAATCTAAGAAAAGACATTTTGAAGCCCATTGAAGTCTATAGTGTAAAACCAAATATCCCGTGATAAAAACTACAAACAAGCTACTTGTGAAAATGCTTTGTGATGTGTGGATTCATGTCACAGAGTTAAGACTTTTTTTTTGCTTAAGTAGGTCAGAAACATTAATTTTGTGGAATCTATGATAGGACATTTTGGAGCCCATTGAGGCCAACAATGAATAACCAAATATTCCTCACTAAAAAAGAAAGAAGAAAGCTCTCTGTGAAAATGCTTTACAATGTGCAGATTCACCTCCAGAGTTAAACCTTCATTCTGATTCAGCAGGCTGTAAACTCTTATTTTATAGAATCTATGAAGCAACATTTTGAAGCCCGTTAAGGCATGTAGTGAAAAACAGAATATTCCATGATAAAAACTAGAAACAACCTATCTGTGAAAATGCTCTGCTATGTGTGGATTTATCTCACAGAGTTATACCTTTCTTTTGATTCTGCATGTTTAATACAATCTTTTTGTACAATCTATGAGGGGGCGTTTCAGAGCCCATTGAGGCATACAGTGAAAAACCAAATGTCCCACGGGGGAAAAAAAACACAAAAACTACAAAGAAGCTATGTCTGAACATGCTTTGCAATATGTAATTTTATCTCACACAGTTTAAACTATCTTGTCATTCAGCAGGTTGGAAACACTCTTTTTCTACAATGTACTAGAGGACATTTCAAAGCAAATTGAGACCTGTACTGAAAAACTGATTATCCCGTGATAAAAACTAGAGAAAAGCTATCAGTAAAAATTCTTTGCAATGTGTGGATTGATCTCACAAAGTTAAACCCTTGTGTTTATTCAGCAGGTTGGGAATCCTTTTTTTCTAGAACACACGACATTTCATACCTATGAAAGTCTATAGTAAAAAAAACGAATATTTCATGATAAAAACAATTAAAAATTTACTTCTGAAAATGCTGTGTGATGTGTGGATTCATCTCACATAGTAAAACCTTATTTTGCTGGGTGCAGTGGCTCATGCCTGTAGTCCCAGCACTTTGGGAGGCCAAGGCAGGCAGATCATGAAGTCAGGTGATCGAGACTATCCTGGCTAACACGGTGAAACCCTGTCTCTACTAAAAATACAAAAAATTAGCCAGGCCTGGTGGCCGGCGCCTATAGTCCCAGCTACACGGGAGGCTGAGGCAGGAGAATGGCATGGACCCAGGAGGTGGAGCTTGCAGTGAGCCGAGATCACGCTGCTGCACTCCAGCCTGGGTGACAGAGAGAGACTCCATCTCAAAAAAAACAACAAAAAAAAGCACAACAAACTTTTTTTTTTTTTAACTTCAGCAGTTTGGAATCACTCACTTTGAGGAATATACAAAGGGACATTTCAGAGCCCTTTGGGGCCAGCAGTGAAAAACAATATCCCACAATAAAAACTAGAAACAAGCTATGTGGTAAAATGCTTTGTGACATATAGAATCATCTCATATAGTTAAATTTTTGTTTCTATTCAACAGGTTGGAAACACACTTTTAGTAGAATCTAAGAAGGGACATTTCAAAGACCATTGAGGCTTATGGTGAAAAACTGAATATTCCCTGATAAAAACTAGAATCAAGCTATCTGTGAAATGCTTTGCAATATGCAAATCATCTCTCAGATTTAAACATTTGTTTTGATTCAGCACATTGGAAACACTCTTTTTAAAGAGTCTATGAATGGCGATTTTGAAGCCCATGGACGAGTACATTGATAAGCTGAATTTCCCATTATAGAAACTAGCAACGAATTATTAGTAAAAATGCTTTGGAATGGGTGGATTCGTCTCACAGAGTTAAACCTTTGTTTTGATTCTGCAGTTGTGAAACACTCTTTTTTTAGAATTTACGAAGGGATATTTTGGAGCCCATTAAGGCTTATAGTGAAAAATGAAATATTTCACAATGGAAACAGAAACAAGCTATCCATAAAAATGCTTTGAGTCTGAATTCATCTCACAGAGTTAAACTCTTGTTTATATACAGCAGGTTGGAAACACTCTTTTTGTAGAATTTAAGAGAGGATGGTTTAGAGTCCATTGAAGCCCATAGTCAAAAACCCAATATTCCACGATACAAACTAGAAACAATCTATCTGTGAAAATGCTTTGTGATATGTGGGTTATCCCTCAGAGTTAAACATATGTTTTGACTTAGCAGATTGGAAATAGTCTTTTTTAAGACTCTATGAGGGGACATTTTGAAGCCCATGTGTGATTATATTGATAAACAAAATATCCCACCATAGAAACTAGAAACAAATTATTAGCAAAAATGCTCTGTGATGTGTGGATTCATCTCACAGAGTTAAACTTTTATTTTGATTCTGCAGGTTTCAAACACTCTTTTGTAGAATCTATGAAGGAACATTTCAGAGCCCATTGAGGCCTGTAGTGAAAAAAACTGAATATCTTGTGATAAAAGCTAGAAACAAGCTATCTGTGAAAATGTTTGTGATGTGTGGTTTTATCTCACAGAGTTATACCTATGTTTGTATACAGCAGGTTGAGAACACTGTTTTAGTAGAATCTAAAATAAGAAATTTCTGAGTCCTTGAGGCCTATTATAAAAAAAAATCCCTCATAAAAACTGACAACAAATTATCTGTGAAAATGCTTTGAGATGTGTGGATTCATCTTGCAGAGTTAAACCCTTGTTTTAGTTCAGAAGGTTGAAAATACTCTTTTTGTAATATCTATGAAGGGACATTTCGGAGCCCATAGAGACCTGTACTAAAAACCAAATATCCCAGGATAAAAACTAGAAACAAGCTATGTGTGAAAATGTTTTGCAATGTGTAGATTCATCTCACAGAGTTACACCTTGTTTTGACTGGGCAGGTTGGAAACATTCCTTTTGTAGAATAAAGGAAGGGACAATTTTGAGCTCATTGAGGCCTATAGTGAAAAACCACATATGCCATGATAAAAACTAGAACAAGCTATCTGTAAAAATGTTTGGCAATGTGTGGTTTCATCTCACAGAGTTTAACCTTTATTTTGACTTAGCAGGTGGGAGACACTATTTTTCTAGAATCTGCAAGGGGACATTTCAAACCCAATGAGGCCTGTAGTAAAAAACTGAATATCCCATGATAAAAACTAGAAACTAGCTATCTGCGAAAATGCTTTGCAATGTGTGGATTCATCTCACAGAGTTGAATGTTAGTTTTGATTCAGCAGGTTGGAATCTTAGCAGGTTGGAAACATTCATTTTGCAGAATCAACGAGGGGACATTTCTTATCCCCCTGAGGCCTATAGTGAAAAACCAAATATCCCGTGATAAAAACTAGAAACAAGTAATCTGTAAAAACGCTTTGCAATTTGTGGATTTGTTTCACAATATTAAACCTTTCTTTTGATTCAGCAGGTTGGAAACTCTCTTTTTGTACAATTGATGAGGAGATATTTCAAAGCCCATTGAGGCTGATAGTGAAAAACCTAAAATCCTAATAAAAACTATAAAGAAGCTATCTCTAAAAATGCTTTGAGATGCATGATTTCATCTCATAGAGTTAAATCTTTCTTTTTATTCAGGAGGTTGGAAACATTCTTATTGTAGAATATACGGCAGGACATTTCAGAGCAAATTGAGGCCTGTAGTGAAAAACAGAATATACTGTGATAAAAGCTAGAAACAAAGTATCTGTAAAAATGCTTTGCAATTTGTAGATTTATCTTACAAAGTTAAACCTTTGTATTGCGTCAGCAGTTTGGAAACTCTCTGCTTGTAGAATCTATGAGAGGTCAATTTGGAGCCCATTTTGGCATGTAGTGAAAACCAATATCCCATGATAAAAACTAGAAACCAGCTATTTGTGAAAATGCATTGTGATGTGTGGTTCTATCTTCAAAAGTTAAAACTTTGTTTCAATTCAGCAGCTTGGAAACACTCTTTTTGTAGAATCTCCGAAGGGACATTTCAGATCCCATTGATGCCTATAGTGAAAAATGAACAACCCTCAAAAAAACTAGAAACAAGCTATCTGTGAATTAGATTTGCCATGTATTGATTCATCTCAAAGACTTAAACTTTTTTTTTTTTTTATTCAGCAAGGTGGAAACACTCTTTTTGCATTATCCACAAAGGGATGTTTCAAAGCCCATTGAGGCCTAGGGACAAAAACAGAATATCCCAGGATAAAAACTAGAAACAAGTTATATGTGAAAATGCTTTGCATTATGTGGATTTACCTCACAGAGTTAAACCTTTTTTTTTGTACTGCAGGTTTGAAACACTCTTTTAGTGGAATGTAAAAGAGACATTTCTGATCCCTTTGAGGTCTATAGTGAAAAACAAAATGTCACATGATAAAAACTGGAAACAAGCTACCTGTGAAAATGCTTTTTGACGTGTAGACTTATCTGAAAGAGATAAATCTTTTTTTTATCAACAGGTTAGAAACACTCTTTTTGTAGAACCTGTGAAGGGACATTTCAGAGCCCATTGAGGCCTACAGTGGAAAACCAAATATCCCATGGTAAAAACTAGAAACAAGTTGTATGTGAAAATGCTTTGCAATTGTGGATTCATGTAACAGAGTTCAACCTTTTTTTTTTGTTTCAGCAGGTTGGAACCACTCTTTTGGTACCATCTTCAAAGAGACATTTCAGATCCCATTGAGGCGTACAGAGGAAAACCAAATATCCTGCAATTAAAAACTAGAAACAAGCTATTTGTGAAAATGCTTTGTGATGTGTTCATTCATTTTACAAAGTTAAACCTTTGTTTTGATTCAGCATGTTGGAAACACTGTTTTGTAGAATCTACAATGTGACATTTCTAAGCCCATTGAGGCCTATACTGAAAAATCAAAGATCCCGTGATAAAAACAGAAATAAGCTATCTGTGAATATGCTTTGCAATGTGAGGATTCATCTCACAGAGTTAAACCTTTGTATTGCACAGCAGTCTGGAAACTCTCTTTTTGTAAAAAATCTATGAAGAAACATTTTGGAGACCATTGAGGCCTATAGTGAAATGTTGAATATCCTGTGATTAGAACTAGAAACAAGCTATCCATAAAAATGTTTTGTGATGTTTGAATTCATTTTACAGAGTTAACCCTTTGTTTGAATTCTGCATGTTGGAAACACTCTTTTTGTAGAATCTACAAAAGGACATTTCAGAGCTTATTGAGGCCTATAGTGAAAAACATAATATTCCATGATAAAAACTAGAAACAAGCTCCTTGGGAAAATCCTTTGTAATGTGTGGATTCATCACACAGAGTTAAACCTTTGTTTTGATTCATCAGGTTAGAAACACTACTTTCTTAGGATCTACAAAGGAACATTTCAAAGCCAATTGAGTTACATAATGAAAAACTAAATATTCCACAATAAAAAATAGAAACAAGCTATCTGTGATGATTTGTGATCTGTGGACTCATCTCAGTGTTAAACCATTTTTTTGATTCAGCAGGTTGGAAACACTCTTTTGGTAGGATCTAGGAAGAAATATTTTGAAGCCCATTGAGGCCTATAGTGAGAAAGCGAATGTCCTGTGATAAAAATGAGAAACAAGCGATCTGTGAAAATGCTATTCAATGTGTGGATTCATCTCTCAGAGAAAAACCTTTTTTTTTAATTCTGTAGCTTGGAAACACTCTTATTGTAGCATCTAGAAAGGGACATTTAAAATCATATTGAGGCCTATAGTGAAAACCCGAATACCCCATGATAAAAACTAGAAACAACCTATCTGTGAAAATGTTTTGTGATGTGTTCATTCATTTCAGAGTTAAAATTTGTTTTCATTTAGCAGGTTAGAAACACTTTTGTAGAATCTATGAAGAGACATTTTAAAGCCTATTGAGGTCTATACAGAAAAACCAAATATCATGCAATAAAAACTAGAAACAAGATATGTGTTAAAATGCTTTGCCATGTGTGGATTCATATCACAGAGTTTAAACTTTATTTTGACTCAGCAAGTTGGAAACACTTTTTTGTTCAATCTATGAAGGGGCATTTCAGAGAACTTTGAGGACTATAGCGATAAACCAAATATCCCACAATTGAAACTGGAAACAAGCTATCTGTGAAAATGCTTGGCGATGTATGGATTCATTTCACAGAGTTAAACTTGGTTTTGATTCAGTAGTTTGGAAACACTCTTTTTGTAGGATCTATGATTGGACAATTTGATCCCATTGAGGCCTGTTAGAAAAAGTTGAATGTCCTCTGATAAAAACTAGAAACAAGGTATCTGTGAAAATGCTTTGCAATGTGTGGATTCGTTTTACAGGGTTAAACTTTGTTTTGATTCAGTAGGTTGGAAACATTCCTTTTTGTAGAATCTACGAAGGGACCACTTAGGGCCCATCGAGGCCTGTAGGGAAAAACCAAATGTCCTGTGATAAAAACTAGATACAAGGTATCTGTGAAAATGCTTTGTGATGTGTGGATTTATCTCACGGAGATAAACCTATTTTGATTCAGCAAGTTGGGAACATCCATTTTGTAGAATCTATGAAGGAATACTACAAAGCCCAGTGAGGCCTACAGTGGAAAACTGAATATCCCATGATAAAAAGTAGAAACAAGATATCTGTGAAAATTCTTTGTGATGTGTGAATTCATCTCCCACAGGTAAACCATTGTTTCAATTCAGCAGGTTGGAAACATTCTTCTTATAGAATCTTCAAAGGGATATTTCAAAGCTTATTTAGGCTTATAGTGAAAAAGTGAATATCCTGTGATTAAAACTATAAACAAGCTATCTGTGAAAATGCTTTCTGATGTCTGGATTCATCACACAGAGTTAAATCTTTGTTTTGATTCAGCGGGTTGAAAACACTGTTTCTGGAAAATCTATGGAAGGCAGGTTGGAGACACCTTTTTTTGTAGAACCTATGAAGAGACACTTTGGAGCCCATTGAGGCCTGTAGTAAAAATGCAAATGTCCCATGATGAAAAATAGAAAAAGTTTTATGTGAAAATGCTTTGCAATGAGTGGATTCATATCACAAGGTTAAAGCTTTGCTTTGGTTTAGCAGTTTGAAAGCACTATTTATGGAGAATCTACTAAGGGATATTTTGGAGACCATTGAGGCCTTTTTTAAAAAATCGAATGTCTCACAATAAAAACTGGAAATAAACTATCTGTGAAAATGCTTTGATGTATGGATGTATCTCCCAGAGTTAAACCTCTGTTTTTATTCAGCAGGTTGCAGACAGTCTAATTGTGAAATGTGTTAAAAGATATTTCAGGGCCTATTGAGAACTATAATAAAAAAACCAAATATTCCTTGATAAAATCTAGAAAAATCTATCAGTGAAAATCCTTTGTGCTGTGTGGATTCAACTGACAGAGTTAAAATTGTTTTGATTCAGAAGTTGGGAAAACTCTTGTAGAATCTATGAAGCGGCCTTTTGCAGCCCATAGAGACCTATATTTGTAAAATTGAATATTCTGCTGTAAAAACAGGAAACAAGCTATCTGTGAAAATACTTTCCAATGTGTGGATTTATCTCACAAAGTTAAACCTTTGTTTTGTTACAGCAAGTCAAAAACGCTCTTTTTGAGAACATTCAAAGGGATATTTTGAAGTCAATTGAGGCCTGCAGTGGAAAACAAAATACCCCATCATAAAAACTTGAAACAAGTTATCTGTGAAAATGCTTTGCGATATGTGGATTCGTCTCATGGAGTTAAACTTTTGTTTTGAATCAGTAGGTTGGAAACACTCTTTTTGTAGAATCTATAAAGGAACATTTCAGAGACCACTGAGGCCTATAGAGAAAAACCTAATATCCTGTGATAAAAACTAGAAACAAAATATCTGTGAAAATATTTTGTGATGTGTGAATTCATCTATCAGAGATAATTTTTTTTGATTCAGTAGGTTGGAATAGCTCTTTTTGTAGAATCTACAAAGGAATATTTCAGAGCCCATTGAGGCCTACCATGAAAAATTGAATATTCTCTGATAAAAACTAGAAACAAGCTATCTGTGTAAATGCTTTGCCATATGTGGGTTCATCTTACAGAGTTAAACCTTTGTTTGGATTCAGCAGGCTGAAAACATTCTTTTAATAGAATCTACAAAGGGACGTTTCAAAGTACATTGAGGGATATACTGAAAAACCTAATACCAGTGATTAAAACTAGCAGCAAGCTATCTGTGAAAATGCTTTCTGATGTGTGGATTTGTCTCACGAACTCAAACTTAAACTTTTGTTTTGATTCAGCAGGTTGGCAACACTCTTTTTGTACAACCTATGAAGGGATACTTTGGAGCTCACTGAGGCTGATAGTGAAAAAATGAATATTTCAAGATAAAAACTAGAAACAAGCAATATTTGATAACACTTGGTGGTGTGTGGATTCATCTCACAGAGGTAAACCTTTATATTGATTCAGCACATTGGAAACACTCTTTTTAAAGAATCTACAAAAGGACATTTTGGAGCCCACTGACAAGTATATTGAAAAGCTGAATATCCCACGATAGACACCAGCAATGATCTATTAGTGAAAATACTTTGTGATGTGTGGATTCATCTCACAAAGTTAAACCTTTATTATCATTCAGTAGGTTGACAAAACTCTTTAGGTAGCATACACAGAAAAGATATTTTTGTGAACATTGAGGACTAAAGTAAAACACCAAATATTTCACGATAAAAACTAAAAACTATCTATCTGTGAAAATGCTTTGTGAAGTGTGGATTTATCTCACAGAGTTAAACCTTTGTTTTAATTCAACAGGATGAAAATACCTTTTTTGTAGAATCTATGAAGGGACTTTTCGGAGCCTATTGTAGACTACAGTGAAAAACCTAATATCCTGGCATAAAAACTAGAAAGAAGCTATCTTTGCAAATGATTTGTGATGTGTGGATTCATCTTACAGAGATAAACTTTTTGTATCAGTTAAACCTTATTTTTTATTCCCTGCAAGTTGGAGTCCTCCCACCTGGCCACAGGGCCACGTTGTGGACAGCTTGTGCAATGAAGGGAATGCAAGGATGGAGTTGGAAGCACTTCCTGTGTCATCTGTCTGCACCTTTTTTTGCAGATGAAGGAGCAGATTGTATGCTCACCCCTATCTGACCTTATTGCTGCTCACACTCTTAGTTCTAGAATGAAATCCCAAGATGTTGGAGGAGTGCTCCCTTCATGATGTGAAGCACCTGCTCAGCTGCAAACTGAATTTGAATTGGATTCAAGGGGCCTGCAGACAGGACTGCTAGGGTCCCACTCTGGGTTGGCCAAAGGAAAATGAGGCCCTGACAGGTGTCTGTTCCTGACAGTGATGTGCTCCTCTTTTTTCTAGAAGAGTGGCTCCTTTGTATGGGGAGGTGATTTGTACACCTGTGGGTCTCAGCCATCCCCCCCCCCCAACTCACTGTGGACTCAGGAACCATGGAAAAACAAAGAACATGCAGCCCCATAGGCCAAGCAGAGCCACACAGACAGGTGCACCAGAAGGTGAAGGGACTCAAAAAAAAGAAAGTGCTGCGGTGCGTTAGTCACATTCCTTTTAGCAGATGCCACTTACACACACACACAGACACACACAAACACACTCACACACAGCCACACACACATGCAGACATCCGAACACTCGCAACAATTCCACAGAAACACACAGCCTGGCAGCTCCTGAGGCTGCGTGGTTCTGCAGAAAGCCCCTTCTGAGAGAAAGCAGCTCCAGGAAACAGAGGTGGGCTGTACCTAGAAATCACAAGGAGGAAGTTTCAAAAAGACTCACCCCCACACCGTCTAGGCAGGCCTGACTCATCATGGGTATCCTTTTGGATCCTTAGGGATTTCGTGGTTTATTCCTGGGGCTCCACTTGATGTTTCTTCAGGCTGGCTCACCACTGCCCACTCCAAGGATTGTGGGAATATCCCATAGAGCCCTCAGAGTAGACAGGTGAGAGTCCAACACTGACACACATCCACAGAGGATTCCTTCTCTGCCAAGATGAAGGGACTTGTCACCAGGCAACGGTGGCATTCACTGTGACGTGAGCCACTGCTCACCACTGGTGCCTGGTGACCTGGCTGTCACATGCGCATTCACCAGGCAGGCTCAGGCACCTGGCTGTCAGGGCTGTAAGCCTGCCAAAGCTCAGGAAAATGGTACAGCCAGAACCGGCCTAGTCGCCAGAAAAAGGCTGCCTGCAGCAACCAACTGCAGCACGCTAATAGTCTCGAACATAGGGCCTTTATGATCCATCTCTGTGGTAGGGTCCCACAGGAGAAGGAGGAGTTTGAAGACTGTGAGGTGGGCTCTGGAGACTGCTCTCCTGACTCCATTCCCAAAAAAGGATGTGTGCATGAATTGGGTCTCCTGAGGATGGGAATAATGTCTGGTGAGTTGTTAAGAGGTCTCTAGGTGATGGGATATCTGAGATCCAAGAGGAAGGTGTCAGTGGAAAACAGCCAGGCCCTTGAACCCCATGCCTTCCTTCATCCCGGGCCTCACAGGGGCTCCTGCTTCTCAGCACGGCTCTCTGGGAAAGGCAGAAACCATGACAAAAGCAAGTTCAAGGTGGAGCAGTGTTCTCACACCTCTAACAGGCCTCTCACGGGTGCACTTGAGGTTGAGAGAGTGTCTCAGAGGCTGTCTGGGGCAATTTGAAACCTGAAAATAACGTCCAGGAG
This sequence comes from Homo sapiens, assembly GCF_000001405.40. Lineage (NCBI taxonomy): Eukaryota > Metazoa > Chordata > Mammalia > Primates > Hominidae > Homo > Homo sapiens. The sequence continues at coordinate 22,670,743 of NC_000017.11, read as the reverse complement.
TGCCATTGATGGGCACTGTGGACCCCCCATGAAAGCAAAGAAAAATCAAGGCTTTCCTGGGAGAATGAGCAGACTTGCGCAGGAGTCCAAGCCATGTTCAAGGATTCCTGCCACAGGACTTAAAAGCTTCCTGCAAAGTGCAAACAATGCCAGCCACCACTATGAGACCACTACCCACAACCTGGTGTGCAGGCAGCCTACCCAAAATACCTTTTGCTCTCTGATATTCCTGGCAACCAAAACATCCACGATGAAAGGCAGTCCCACCCACCAACAGCCCAATGAAAAGCCCCATCCACAATGAGAAAGGAAGTGCAGATGACATGAAACAGAGCCTAGATTGCCAGGTAAAAGCCAGACACAGCTGCCTGTTTCTCATCCTACAGGAGTCATGCAGCTGTCCTTTAGAAGTGGGAGAACAAGAGTTACCTTGATCGTGGATATACTCAAAATTTACGATTCCAAAACTATCACAACTGCCCAGTCATTAAAACATGACAGTGTTTATAAGAAAACACTGATGCAATTGATTCCCATTAGAGTCGTCCTCCATGAACTGAGAAACTTTTTGTGTGGAAGACTTTGAGCCAGACCCTTAAAAACCCCAGGTTCATGAGGAACATGGAAGAAACTCTAAGCCAGACCTAGGAAACTCTAGGCCCACAAGGGACATGGAAGTCAGGAAAAGAGGAGGCCAGTGTGGAGGCCACATCCAACCCAGCATCAATCCGTCTCACTCCAATGTGGCTCCAGGAATGAAAGCTCAATTCTGGAGCTGGCCTGAAGGGCCCCAGTTTACAATCCAACTTTTCTCTGCACGATTGAGTCATCCCACCTGGGCACCGGGCCATGCTGTTGACTGTGCAATGAAGGGAATGAGGGGATGCAGTTAGAAGCAACTTCTGTGTCATTTGTCTGCACCTTTTTTGAGGTGAAGGTGCGAGATCCCATCCATACCTCAACAGACTGTATCCTCACCCCTATCTGACCTTATTGTTGCTCACACTCTGCATCCCAGAATAAAATTCCGAGACAATGGAGGAGTGCTTCCTGATGACCTGAAGCACCTGCTCAGCTACAAACCAAAATCGAGGTAAATTCAAAAAGCCCTGCGACTGGACTGCGGGGGTCTGGCCCAGGGCTGGCCACAGAACAATAAAGCACGGGGAGTTGTCTGTTTTGGGGTGTGGTGTGCTTCTCTTCTTTTTAGAAATGTGGTTTTTTTGCAAGGGGAGGTGATTTTGACCCTGGCGGTTGTCAGCCATTCTTCCAATTTACTGTGGACTCAGGAGCCATGGAAAAATGAAGAACATGGAGACCCTCAGCCCAAGCAGAGCCACAGAGACAGGCCACCGGAAGGTGGGGTGACAAAAAACAAAGTGCTGCAGTGCGTTAGCCACATTTCTTTCAGCAGACTCCACTTACCCCCCACACACACACACACACTCACATGTCTGCACCCACACGCAGATATCCACAACTTGAAACATTCCCAAAGAAACACACATCCCAGCAGCTTCAGAGGCTGTGTGTTTCTGCAGGAAGCCCCTCCTGGGAGAGAGCAGCCTGGGGAACACAGGCAGGCTGTACTTAGACATCACAGAGGGGGCAAGTTTCAAAAAGACTCACCCCCGAACCCTCTATGCAGGCCTCTTCGGGCTGTCTCCATGGTCAGGTCCCGCTGGAGGAGGAGGCACTTGGAGACTGAGGTGGGAGCTAGAAACTGTTCTTCCGATTCCATTCCCGAAAGAGGCTGTGTGCAAGAATCGGGTCCCATGGGGGAAGGGAATACAGTCTGCTGAGATGTTAAGGGGTGTCCAGGTGATGAAATCATACCTGAGACCCCAGAGGCAGATGTCAGCAGAAAATGGCCGGGCCCTTGAGCTCACTGCCTCCCTTCATCCTGGGCCTCACAGGGGCTCCTGCTTCTCAACATGGCTCTTTGGGAAAGGCAGGAACCATGACAAAGGCAAGTTCAAAGTGAAGCAGAAGTCTCACACTTTGGACTGACTTCACAGGTGCAGATGCAGTTCAGAGAGCGTCTCAGTGGCCGCCTGAGGCAATTGCAAGCCAAAAAAAGTGTGTTTAGGAGTGCTGATGAAGAGTAGTATGGACTCCTCATGAAAGCAATGGAAAATCAATGCTTCCCTTGGAGAATGAGAGGGCCTGTGCTAGAGTCAAAGCCATGTTCAAGGATTCCTGCCAGAGAACCCAAAAGCCTCCTGCAAACTGCAAACATCTCAGTCCCCCACAGTGAGACCGCTACTCACAACCTGGAGTGCAGCCAGCCTACCCAAAGTACTTTTTGCTCCTTGAAATTCCTGGCAGCCAAAAGATCTGTAAAGAGAGGCAGTCCCCGCTAGCAACAGATCCATAAAAGATCCCCTCCACAATGAAAAAGAACATGCAGATGATATGTAACAGAGCCTAGATGACCAGGCAAATCCAGACACCGCTGCCTGCTTCTCATCCTATAGGAATCAGGCAGCCTTCTGATAAAATTGGGAGAACAAGAGTTTCCTTCTTGGCAGATATGGTAAAAATGCTTTGCTATGTGTGGATTTTTTTTTTTCAGTTAAAACTTTGTTTTGATTCAGAAGGATAAAGACATTTTTGTGTCCCTATGAGGGAAAATTTCAAAATCCATTGAGGCCTATAATGAAACACCAAATATACCACGATAAAAACTACAAAGAAGCTATGTCTGAAAATGCTTTCCAATGTGTGATTTTATCTCACAGAGTTAAACATTTCTTGTGATTCAACAGACTGGAAATTCTCCTTTTCTAGAATCTAACAGGGGATATTACAGAGCAAATTGAGGCCTATAGTAAGAAACTGACTATCCTGTGATAAAAACTAGAAACAAACTATCAGTGAAATGCTTTGTGATGTCTGGATTTATCTCACAAAACTAAATCCTTGTTTTAATTCAGCAGTTTAGAAACACTTTCACTGTAGTATCTACAAAGGGACATTTTGGAGCCCACTGATGCCTATGGAGAAAAATGGAATATCCCATGAAGAAAACTTGATGCAAGCCATCTGTCAAAAGGCTTTGTGAGACATGGAATTATCTCACAGAGCCAACCTTTTGTTTTGATTCAGCATGTTGGAAACATGTTTTTTGTAGAATCTAAGATGAGACATTTTGAAGCACATTGAGGCCTAGAGTTTAAAACCAAATATCCTGCAATAAAAACTAGAAACAAGCTATCCGTGAAAATGCTTTGTGATCTGTGAAATAATGTCACACAGTTAAACCTTTGTTTTAATTCAGCAATTTGGAAACATTCTTTTTGTAGAATCTACAAGGGGACATTTCGGAGCCCATGGAGGTCTATAGTGAAAAACAGAATATCTCGTGATAAAAACTAGAAGTAAGCTATCTGTAAAATGCTTTAGGATGTGTGGGCTCATCTCAAAGAGTTATACTTTTATTTTGATTCAGCAGGTTTGAAACAGTCTTTTAGTAGTATCTACCAACAAACATGTCAGAGCCCATTGAGGCCTACAGTGAAAAACAGAATATCCTGCAGAAAAAAAAAAAAACACTAGAAGCTTGCTATCTGTGAATATGCTTTGCGATGTGTGGATTCATCTTACAAATTTAAACCTTTCTTTTGATTCAATAGGTTGGAAACACTCTGTTTGTTGAATCTAAAAAGAAAAAATGTCAGAGCTCATTGGGGCCTATAGTAAAAAACAAAAATCAAAAAACAAAAACAAAAAACAAATATTACACGATGAAAACTAAAAACAAGCTATCAGTGAAAATATTTTGTGATGTGTGGATTCTTCTCACAGAGTTAAAGTTTTTTTTTTATTTAGCATGTTGGAAACACTCTTTTTGTAGAATCTACTAATGGGAATTTCTGAGACCTTTGAGGCATATTGTGAAAAAGCGAATATCCCCCACACACAAAACTAGGAAACAGCTATCTGTGAAAACGACTGGCAGTGTCTGGATTCATCTCACAGAGTTAAACATTTGTCATTCAGTAGGCTAGAAACATGTTTTTCATAAATCTAAGGAAAGACATTTCAAACCCTTGAGGCCTATAGTGAGAAGCAGAATATCCTGTGATAAAAACTACAAACAAGGTATCTGTGAAAATGCTTTGTGATATGTGAAATAATGTCACATATTTAAACCTTTGTTTTAATTCATCAGTTTGGAAAAACTCTTTTTTTAGATGCTACATAAAAACATTTCGGAGCTCATTGAGGCCTATAGTGAAAAACCAAATATCCCATGAAAAAAACCAGAAGTAAGGTATCTGTGAAAAAGCTCTGCAATGTGTGGATCCATCTCACAGAGTTAAAACTTCCTTCTGATTCAGCAGAATCAGAACACTCATTTCAATCGAATTGAAACACTCCTTTTCTAGAATCTATGAAGAAACATTTCAGAGCCCATTGAAACCTATAGTGAAAACCCCAATATCTCATGATGAAAAATGGAAACAACCTATCTGTAAAAATGCTTTGGTATGTGTGGATTTATCTCAAAGAATTAAATATTGTTTTCATTCAGCAGGTTGGATACACTCTCTTTGTACAATCTACACAAGGATATTTCAAAGCCCATTGAAGCCTGTAGTGAAAAACTTAATGCCCTGTGATAAAAACTACAAAAAGCTGTGTCTGAAAGTTATATGTGATGTGTGATTTCATCTCACAGAGTTAAATCTTTCTTGTGATTCAGCAGGTTGATAAAAAACCGATTATCCCGTGATAACATCCAGAAACAAGCTATCAGTAAAAATTCTTTGTGATATGTGGATTCATCTCACAGAGTTAATCATTTTTTTGATTAAGCAGATTGGAAACACTCTTTTTGTAGAATCTACAAAGGGACAGTTTGAAGCCCATTGAGGCCCATAGTGAAACACAAAATATCTCAGGATAAAAGTGGAAACAAGCTGTCTTTGAAAATGCTTTGCAATGTGTGGGTGCATCTCACATATTTAAACCTTTGCATTTATTCAGCAGGTTGAAAACACTTTTTTATAGAATATATGAATGGACATTTCACACCCATTGATGCCTATAGTAAAAAACAAAATATTTCACAATAAAAACAATAAAAGTCTATATCTGAAAATGCTTTGTGATGTGTGGATTCATCTTCCAGAATTAAACATTTGTTTTGATTCAGCAGGTTGGAAAAACTCTTTATGTAGAATCTATGAAGGGCCATTTCAGAGCCCATTGAGACCTACAGTGAAAGACCAAATATCGCCCCCACCCCACCCAAAAAAAAAAAAAAAAAAAAACAAGAAAAAAGCTATCTGTGAAAATGCTTTGCCATTGTGGATTCATGCCACAGAGTTAAACCAGTGTTTTAAATACACAGGGTGGAAAAACTCTTTTTGCAGAATCTACAAAGAAATATTTCAAAGCCCATTGAAGCCTATAGTGAAAAACAAAATATGTGGAGAAAAAAACTAGAAACAAGCTATCTGTGAAAATGCTTTGCAATGTGTGGATTCATATCATGGAGTTAAACCTTTCTTTTGATTAAGCAGGTTGAAAGCAGTCTGTTTTTAGAATCTATGAGAAGACATTTTAGTACCCATTGAGGCCTATGGTGAAAAACCAAATATCCCATGATAAAAATGAGAAACAGGCTATCTGTGAAAATGCTTTGCAATGCATAGATTTAACTCACAGATTTAAACCTTTGTTTTGATTTAGCTGGTTGGAAACACTCTTTTTGTGGAATTTACGAAGGGACAATATGGAGCCCCTGGAGAAGTATTTGGAAAAAGCAAGTATGCTACAATGAAAAGTAGAAACAAGATGTCTGTGAAAATGTTTTGCAATGTGTGGATCTATCTTACAGGTTTAAACCTTTGTTTTGATTCAGCAGACTGGAAACTCTCTTTTTGTAGATTGTACAAAAGGACATTACAAAGCTCATTAAGACCTCTAGTGAAAAGTTAAATATCCCACAATGAAAACTAGAAACAAGCTGTCTGTGAAAACGTCTTGTGATTTGGGGAATCATCTCTCAGAGTTAAACACATGTTATTTTTTCAGCAGGTTGGAATCACTATTTTTGTAGAATATATGAAGAGACATTTCGGAGCCCATGGACAAGTACATTAAAACACCAAATATCCTGCAATAAAAACCACAAACAAGCTATCTGTGAAAATGCTTTGCATTGTGTGGATTCCTTTCATAGAGTTAAACATTTATCTTGATTCAGCAGGTTGGAAACACTCTTTTTTGTAGAATCTACTAAGGGCCATTTCAGAGTCCATTGAGGACTACTACAGTGAAAGACCAAATATCCCATGATAAAAACTAGAAAAAAAGCTACCTGTGAAAATGCTTTGCAGTGTGTGGATTCATCTCAAAGAGTTAAATACTGTTTTAATTCGGCAGATTTGAAAAGCTTTTTGCAGAATCTACAAAGAAACATTTCAAAGCCCATTGAAACCTACAGTGAAAAACAAAATAAGTGGAGATATAAACTAGAAATAAGCTATCTGTGAAAATCCTTTGGGATGTGTGTATTCATATCACAGGGTTAAACCTTTGTTTTGATTAAGCAAGTTGGAAACAGTCAGTTTGTAGGATCTAGGAGAAGACATTTTGGTGCCCATTGAGGCCTGTAGTGAAAAATGAAATATCCCACAATAAAAACAAAACAAACAAACAAAAAAAAAAACAAGCTATCTGTGAAAATATTTTGCAATGCGTGGATTCACCTCACTGAGTTAAATCTTTATTTTGATTCAGCACTTTGAAAACACTCTTTTTGTACAATCTATGAGAGTCATTTGGGAGCCTATTGAGGTCTATAGTGAAAAACCAAGTATCTCATGATAAAAACTAGAAACTAGCAATCTGTGAAAGTGCTTTGCAATGTATGGATATATCTCACAGATTTAAACCCTTGTTTTGATTCAGTAGGTTGGAAACACTCTTTTTGTAAAATCTACATAGGGACATTTCAGAGTACATGAAAGCCATTAGTGAAAAACTTAAAATCCCATGACAAAAACTAGTAAAAAGCTATCTGTGAAAATAGTTTGTGATGTGTCAATTCATATCAGAGAGTTAAATCTCGTTTTAATTCAGCAGGTTGAAACACTGTATTTGTAGAAACTAAAATGGCACATTTCAGACAACATTAAGGCCTAAAGTTAAAAACGTTATATCTCAAGATAAAAACTAGAAACAAGCTATATATGAGAATGCTTTGTGATGTGTGGATTCAACTCACAGGTTAAACCTTTGTTTTTATTCAGCAGGTTGTAAATGCTGTCTTTGTAGAGTCTATGAAGGGACATTTCAGAGCCCATCAAGAAGTATATGAAAAACCTGAACATCCTGTGTTGAAAACTAGAAACAAGCTATCTGTGAAAATTCCTTCCTATGTGTGGATTCCTCTCACAGTATAAAACCTTTGTTTTTATTCAGTAGGCCAAAATCTCTCTTTTTGTAGAATGTTCAAAGGGACATTTTGGAGCCCATTGTGCCCTGTCATGAAAAACTGAGTATCGCGTGATAAAAACTAGAAACAAGCCAACTGTGAAAATGTTTTATGATTTATTATTTTTCAGAGTTAAAACTTTGTTTTTATTCAGCAGGTTGAAAACACTCTTTTTGTAGAATTTTTGAGGGGACATTTCAGAGCCTATTGAGGTCTATAGTGAAAAATCAAATATCCTGTGATAAAAACTAGAAACAAGCTATCTGTGAAAATGCTTTCAGACGTGTAGAGTTATAGATTTATCTCACAGAATTAAATGTTTGTTTTGGTGTATCAGGTTGCAAAAACTCTACTTGTAGAATCTATGAGGGGACATTTCAGAGACCAATGAGGCCTACACTGAAAAAACTGAATATCCCATGATAAAAATTAGAAACAAGCTATTTATAAAAATGCTTGGTGATGTGTGGACTTATCTCACAAAATTAAACCTTTGTTTTGATTCAGCAGGTGAGAAACACTCTCTTTGTAGAATCTAAGAAGGCACATTTCAGAGCCCATTGAGGTCTAAAGTAAAAAATCAAATATCCCACAATAAAAACTAGAAACAAGCTATATTGTAAAATGATTTGTGATGTGTGGATTCATTTCAGAGAATTAAACCTTTGCTTTGATTGAGCAGGATGGAAGCACTCTTTTTGTAGAATCTACAAAGGGACATTTTGAAACCCATTGAGGCCTATAGTCAAAAACAAATTATCCCATGATAAAAACTAGAAACAAGATATCAGTGAAAATGCTTTGAGATGTGTGCATTTCTCTCACAGAGTTATACCTTTGTCTTGATTCAGTCAGTTGGATGCAGTCTTTTCATAGAATCTATGAAGGGACATTTCAGAGCCCATGGAGGAATATATTGAAAAACTGAATATCACATGATGAAAAGTTGAAACAACCTACCTGTGAAAATGCTTTGTGATGTGTCAGTTCATCTCACAGTGTTAAGCCTTTATTTTTATACAGCATTTTGGAAACACTCTTCTAGTAGAATCTAAGAGGGGACAATTCTTAGCACGTTGAGGCCTATTGTAAAACATCCAATATTCCGTGATCAAAACTAGAAACAAGCTATCTGTGAAAATGTTTGCAATGTGTGGTTTCACCTCAAAGCATTAAAGTTTTGTTTTGGTTCAGCAAGTTAGAAACATTCTTTTTGTAGAACATACAAGGGGCATTTCTGAGCCCACTGAGGACTAGTGAAAAACCGAATATTCCGCGATAAAAATGAGAAAAAAAATCTGTAAAAATGCTTTGCGATATTTGAATTTATCTCACAACATTAAATATTTGTTTTGATTCAACATGTTGGAAACTCCTTTTTTTTGTACAATTTATGAGGAGGCATTTCAAAGCCCATTGAGGCTTAAAGTGAAAAACGGAATATTCTGAGATAAAAACTATATGAAGCTGTCTCTGAAAATGATTTACGATGGGTAATTTCATCACACAGAATTAAACCTTCTTTTGATTCAGCAGGATGGAAACACTCTTTTGGTAAAATCTTCAATAGGACATTTCAGAGCAAATTGATGCCTACAGTGAAAAACCGAATATCTAGCATTTCAGATGCTTGGAAACTCACTGTTTGTAGAATCTATGAGGGTACAATTTGAAGCCAGTATCAGCCTGTAGTGAAAAACCAATATCCCAAAATAAAAAGTTAAAAAAGCTATCGGCCAGGTGCGGTGGCTCACGCCTGTAGTCCTAACACTTTGGGATGCTGAGGCGGGTGGATCATGAGGTCAGGAGATCGAGACCATCTTGGCTAACATGGTGAAACCCCGTCTCTACTAAAAACACAAAAAAATTAGCCTGGCCTGGTGGCGGGCATCTGTAGTCCCAGCTACTTGGGAGGCTGAGGCAGGAGAATGGCATGAACCCAGGAAGCGGAGCTTGCAGTGAACCGAGATCACACCACTGCACTCCAGCCTGGGTGACTGAGTGAGACTCCATCTTAAAAAAAAAAAAAAAAAAAAAAAGAGCTATCTGTGAAAATGCTTTATGATGTGTGGATTTATCTCAAAAAGTTAAACGTTGTTTTGATTCAGCAGGTTAATACACTCTTTTTGTAGAATCTACAGAGGAAACTTTCAAAACCCATTGAAGCCTATAGTGAAAAATCAATATCCCGAGATAAAAACTAGAAAAAAGCTATCGGGGAAAATGCTTTGTGATGTGAAGATTTATCTCACAGAGGTAAACCTTTATTTACATACAGCAGGTTGGGGGACACTCTTTTTGTGAATTAAGTTACAATTAAGTCTCCACTGAAGCTTATAGTGAAAAACCCAATATCCAGTGATAAACCCTAGGAACAAGCTGTTTGTAAAAATTCTTTGTGATGTGTGATTTCACAGCAAAGAGTTAAACCTTTATTTTTATTCAGAAAAATGAAAAACCTTTTTTCTTTAGAATCTGCAAAGAGACATTTCTGAGCCCATTGAGGCCAATAGTAAAAAATCAAATATCTCATCATAAAAGCTAGAAACAAGCTATTTGTGAAAATGCTTTCCAATGTGCAGATTCATTTCACAGAGTTAAACCTTTGCTTTTATACAGGGAGTTGGGAACACACTTTTATAGAACCTATGAGTGGACATTTCAGAGTTCATTGATGCCTATACTGAAAAACCGAGTATCCTGTGATAAAAACTAGGAAACGACTATCTGTGAAAATGCTTTGCGAGGTTTGGAGTCATCTCACAGGTTTAAACTGTTGTTTTGATTCGGCAGGTAGGAAACACTATTTTTGTGTTTCAAAATCTACTATGTCTCAAAATCTACTATGAGACATTTCTGAGCCCAATGAGGCATATACTGAAAAACTGAATATCTTGCTTTAATAACTAGAAACAAGTATCTGAAAATATGCTTTGTGATGTGTGGATTCCTCTCAAAGGGTTATACATTTGTTTTGATTCAGCAGTTTTAAAACACTCTTGTTATAGAATCTACAAAGGGACATTTCGGAGCGCTTGAGGCCTTTAGTGAAAAACAGAATATCCCACAATAAAAATTAGAAACAAGCCATCTGTGAAGATGCTTTGTGATGTGTGGATTTATCTCACAGAGTTAAACCTTCCTTTTTATTCCATAGGTTGGAAACACTCATTTTGTACAATCTACAAAGGGACATTACAGAGCTCATTGACCCTAATATTGGAAAATCTAATATCCTGTGATAAAAACTATAAAGAAGCTATTTCTGAAAATACTTTGTGATGTGTGATTTCATCTCAAAAGTTGAACTTTTCTTTTGATTCATCAGTTTGGAAACTTTTTTTGTAGAATCTGTAAGGGGAGATTTCATAGCCCATTGAAGCATACAGTGAAGAATCAAATATCTCTTGATGAAAACTCAAAGCAACCTATCTGTAAAAATGCTTTGCGAGGTGTAGATTCATCTTACAAAGTTAAACCTGTGTTTTGCTTCTGCAGGTTGGAAACTCCTTGGTTGTACAATCTGCAAGGCAATTATTCCTAGTCCATTGAGGCATTTAGTGAAAAACCAATAACCCATGGTAAAAATTAGAAACAAGCTATGGGTGAAAATGCTTTGTGATGTGTGGCTTCATCTCACAAAGTTAAAACTGTTTTGATTCAACAGGTTGGAAACACTCTTTTTGTAGAATCTACAGAGGGACATTTCAGAGCCCATTGATGCTTATAGTGAAAAACCAAACACCACAGGATAAAAACTAGAAACAGGATATCTGTGAAAAAGCTTTGCATATCATCTCACAGAATTGAACATCGGTTTTGATTCAGCGGGTTGGAAATATTCTTTTTGTAGAATCTACAAGGTGAAATTTTGGAGCAAATTGAGGCCTATAGTATGAAATTGAATATTCTGCAATAAAAACTAGAGAAAATCTATCTATAAAAATGCTTTGTGATGTGTGGGTTCATCTCACAAAGTTAAATCTTTATTTTCATTCAGCATGTTGGAAACACCTTTTTGTATAACCTATGAAGGGACATTTCATAGTCCACAGAGGCCTATAGTGAAAAACTGAATATTATCTGATAGAAACTATAGAAGCTATATGTGAAAATGCTTTGCAATTTGCAGTTTCATCTCACACAGTTTAAACTTTCCTCTGATTCAGCTAAGTTGGAAACACTCTTTTTGTAGAATGTATGAAGGGACATTTCGGAGCCCATTTGAGGCCTATAGTGAAAAGCCAAATAATTCGTGATAAAAACTAGAAGCAAGCTACCTGTGAAATAGCTTTGCAATGTGGGAATTCATTTCACAGAGTTAAACTTTTGTTTCTACACAGTAGGTTCAAAACTCTCTTTTAGTAGAAGCTAAGAGGGGACAATTTAGAGCCCTTTGAGGCTTACAGTGAAAAATTCAAAATTTTGTGATTAAAAACTAGACACAAACTATCTGTAAAAATGTTTGGTGATGTGAAAATTCATCTCACAGTGCTAAACATTTGTTTTGATTCAGTATGTTGGCAAAACATTTTGTAGACTGTACAAAGGGACATTTTGGAGCCCGTTGAGACCAATATTGAAAAAACGAACATCCTGCTATAAAACTAGAAAAGTTCTCAGTGAAAATGCTTTCTGATATGTGAATTCATCTCACACAGATGTAAACCTTTGTTTTCATTCAGCCAGTTGGAAACACATTTATAGAGTTTACCAGGGGATATTTCAGAGCCCATTGAAGCCTCTAGTTGAATACCGAATATTCCTAGTGACATATGGTGTTGAGCATCTTTTCAGAGGTCTAAGAAATGTGCCAGGCATGGTGGCACATCCCTGTGGTCCCAGATACTCAGGAGGCTGATGTGGGAGGGTTACTTGAGCCCTGGAGGTTGGGGCTGCATAGAGCCATGATTGCACCACTGCACTCCAGCCTGAGTGACAGAGCTAAAACCTGTCTCAAAAAGATAAATTAGGCCTGGCACGGTGGCTCATGCCTGTAATCCAAGCATTTTGGGAGGGCAAGGTGGGTGAATCACGAGGTCAGTAGATTAAGACCATCCTGGCTAACATGGTGAAACCCTGTCTCTACTAAAAATACAAAAAAATTAGCCGGGCATGGTGCTGGGTGCCTGTAATTCCAGCTACTTGGGAGGCTGAGGCAGCAGAATCACTTGAACCCAGGAGGCAGAGGTTGCAATAAGCCAAGATCGTGCCATTGCACTCCAGCATGGGCAACAGAGTGAGACTCCATCTCAAAAAATAAATTAATAAATAATAAATAAATAAATAATTGACTTAATTTTTAGAACAGTTGTAGGCGTACAGAAAAATAGAGCAGAAGGCCTATTGTGCTCTAATATCTGCCTCACACCATAGTACACACACTTCCTCTATTATCATCTTGTTAATGTGGTACATTTGTTATGCATGATGAGCCAATATTGATATTATTAAGTTCATGGCTTATATTAACATTCATTCTTTGTGTTCTACCATTTATGGGCTTTGACAAATGCTTAAGGACATATATCCACCATTATAGGGTCACACAGAAAAGTTTCACTGCCCGAAAAATCTTCTGTGCTCCACCTATTCATCCTTCCCTTTGCTCAAGCCCCTGGCAACCACTGAACTTTTTATAATACCATCTGCCTAGTTTTGCCTTTTCTAGTATTCCATATAATTGGAACTCTACACTATGTGGCCTTTTCACATTGGCTTCTTTCACTTAGAAATACGTGTTTAAGATTCCTCCAAGTCTTTTCATGCCTTGGTAGTTTCTTTTTATTCCTGAAGAATATTCCATTGTATGAATGTTTCAGAGATAGTTTATCCATTTCCCTATTGTAGGATATCTTGGTTACTTCCAATCTTTGTCGAATATGTATAAGCTGCTTTAAACATTCACGTGCAGAATTTCAGTGGATAAAGTTTCAGGTCATTTGAGTATTCACCAAAGAATGCAATTGCCAGATCTTATGGTAAGCATATGTTTAGTTTTGCAGGAATTTGCAAAACTGCCTTCCACAGTGGCTTTACCATTTTGCATTCCCAGCAGCAATCAATGAGTGTTCCTGCTGCTCCATATCCTCACCAGCATTTGATGGTGTCAGCGTTTGGATTTAAGCCAGTCTAATAGATGTGTAGTGGTATCTCATTGTTGTTTTAATTTGAATTCCCCAGTGACATATGGTGCTGAGCATCTTTTCAGATGCTTATTTTTGCTACTTATATAGCAAAGAGCAGATACAGATGATGTACTTCAGGGAAAGAGCTTGCTATGATGATAGGAAGCTGCAGGCAGAGATGATCTCAGGGTTAACTGGGCATCAACTGTGCCTTCTCCTGTCACATAAAATGTGGTCTACCTGAGTTTTGACTGGAAACACAGAAAATCTGGTTGTCCATAAATATTTCTTACTGAGGCTTGAGGTTTATGTATGTTTTGATCAAAAGGTGATATTACCCCAATATATAAGCAGGTCAGGGTACAACAGGTAATGACTGTCAGAGATGTTGAGAGTCTACATTGAATGGGTGGTGTCACTGGCTGCCCATGTATTTCTCATTATGGACTTTCACTTTTCATTTGCCACATGAAAGGCCACTGAGATAGACTACATCTCATTTTTCTCTTGAGAATCTCTAGTACTGAGAAATTTTTGCACTCTGGGCCACACTGCGTTCATAATCTGATTATATATATCGTGTGTGTGTTTGTTCCTTTCCTAAAATGCTCAGTTCAGCTGCAGTTCTAGAGGTAAATACTACTAGGTTTCCATTTTAGAGAGTTGAGGATCTGAGGTCTGGAGAGGTTACTGTGTAGGAAGTTGTCTTTAACTAAAGTGGCAAGACCATGTGGCCAGGTCAGATAAGCTGCCTTCAGACTGTACTCTTGAACTTCTACTGGATAATGTCTTTTCATTATAGAAAAGAGTGAACTTAGATGTTTTATTTTTTTCAAAATCATTGGCTGTAGGATTTCTCTCAAGATATGATGAAAAGCAATAATTGTCCCTGTTTACATTACCTATAATTACTGCTCACCAGAAATTGATTATCGATGCAGCAACCTTTTACATTCCTGTCTGCTTTACTATGCATGAGGGGGCTTCACTGTAAATAAGAGGTCCAAGATTCAGAAATATCTTTAAAATGCAATGCTTGGTCACAGGTATCCATCTGAAAAATATTTTGCTCATTAGCCATATAGACTCATATGGCAAACTACAGCCAGAGACACAAAATGTGGAAAGAAGAAAGGGCTATGAGAAGTCCTCGGTCCCCTTACATTTTGTATTTCTATTCATATGCATCCAGAATCATGAGGAGTTTGAGCAAATGGGAAATGCAAAGTCCTAATCAAAGCATACCCACATTTCAGTTATCTGCATTATTGCACATTTAAATTTATAATACGTACATAGGATACAATTCAATAGGTATAAAAATGTTAAGTACCCTTTTCTCTTATGCATCCCAGTCATTCAGTTGCTCACTTTAGAGTCAACATTTTAATTTTGTTGTGCACACTTTCATAAATGTTTTTCTTTACTTTTTTTTTTTTTTTTTTTTTTGGAGATGGAGTATCGGCCCGTCACCCAGGCTGGAGTACAATGGTGAGATCTCGGCTCGCTGCAACATCTGCCTCCTGTGTTCAAGCAATTCAACTGCCTCAGCCTCCTGAGTAGCTGCAATTTCAGGCACAAGTCACCACACCTGGCTAATTTTTTGTATCTTTAGTAGAGATGGGGTTTCAACATTTAGCCAGGCTGGTCTCGAACTCCTGACCTTTTGATTTGCCCACCTCAGCCTCCTAAAGTGCTGGGATTACAGGCGTGAGCCACCATGCCTGGCCTATTTAGAATGTTTAGGCCATGCCTGACCTATTTAGAATGAGTTTGGCTGGAACAACCTATAAGTAGAATGGTACAGAAGTCTATTCAAAGCAAGTAAGATATATTAAAGACAGCATAATTAACAGAAGGGTTCAATACATAGGGCAGAAAATAGGAAATTATTCAAAGCTGAAACATTAGCAATGACCTTACGGGATTAGGTTATTCCAAAACTAGGAAGATGACTTATGAGGCTAGACACAATGAAGAAAAGGAACAGATCAGAACAAACTACACATCATGAAGTAGGTAAAGCATTTCTGAACTATAGACATAAAACACTAGGAAGACAGGTGTTTGTTTGTTTATTTATTTATTTATTTATTTATTTATTGAGACAGAATTTCGCTCTTGTTGCCCAGGCTGGAGTGCAATGGCTTGATCTTGGCTTACCGCAACCTCCACCTCCTGGGTTCAAGCGAGTCTGCTGCCTCAGCCTTCCCAGTAGCTGGGATTACAGGCATGCGCCACCAATCCTGGCTAATTTTGTATTTTTAGTAGAGACAGGGTTTCTCCATGTTGATCAGGCTGGTCAGGAACTCCTGACCTCAGGTGATCCGCCCACCTCAGCCTCCCAAAGTACTGGGATTACAGGCGTGAGCCACTGTGCCTGGCCAACAGGAGTTTATTTTTATGAGTTACAGACTATGTGCTTTGAGAATGAAGTAACAGATTTAAGGATGTAAGCATAATTTAGGGATATTGAAAATGATATGGGAATAAACTCTGTTTAGTCATTCATGGATTTATTCATTCTTCAGATGACTATGTGTGCGAATATTTAAGAATTCTAAAACCACATGGGGTTACTTGTAACTATATGGGAGCCTAATACCATAAAGGATTCAGAATATACTTTGCTGAATGGAAGAGGCTTTTAAATGAAAATCTTCTCTCTACATCTTTATGTTTCTAACAAGAATCCACTGAAGGCCTACATTTCCCCAAAGGTTAACAGCCCTCTTCTCAATTTTCCTGGTAAAGTGTTTTTATATTGGTAGAACACCTTCTGTCACCCTGTATATTTTTCTTATCTCAAGTAGAAAAAATTTTTGTCCTTTTGCTTGGGACTGTTAACAGCCCTGGTAGTGGACAAGTAGAAGGAAATGATTCTGTGAATTTTCTGTTATATATATTTTAGCCAATTTAGGACTTTTGAATGAGGCGCCATGCAGCCAAGGATTTAGGAACTTCAGCTCAGGAAAGAAAACTACATAGATGTTTAATCTTGTCCTAGCCTCTTATTAGCTGGGTAACTTTGAGCAAGTTTTATACATATCCTTCCCATGAGTTTTTCATTTCTAATATTGACTTAGTAATGCAGTATGTTTCATAGACTTGCTGTAATGATTGATGGGGTGTATCTAATAGTGTTTGTTTTACTGTAACTGGGCCACATTTAGGAAGTACTCAATTAAAATTAGCTGTCATTATTCCTATTATTAATATGGTGATGGGCAGCTAAAAAGCATTTAAATAATTATGATTAATATTGATAATATTAAGTCATTTGTTGCAGAATCAGGAATTTTATATTCTAAATGATATTCTTATTTATATTGGTAATACAATTCTGATCAAAGACTAATATATGTTTTATATGTATTTACCCTTAAAATTTTTACATATATAACTATACTGGTATAATATGTACATCAAAATATAAAAATATGGAATTTTTTATACTTTAACTTCTGGGATACATGTGCAGAACATACAGGATTGTTACATAGGTATACATGAGCCATGAGAGTTTGTTGCACCCATCAACTCATTATCTACATTAGATACTTCTCCTAATACCCTAGCCCTCCCAACCCCCAACAGGCCACAGTGTGTGATGTTTCCCTCCCTGTGTCCATGTGTTCTCACTGTTCGAGCCCCATTTACGAGTGAGAACATGTGGTGTTTGGTTTTCTGTTCCTGTGTTAGTTTGCTGAGAATGATGGATTCCAGCTTCATCCATGTCCCTGCAAAGGACATGAACTCATCCTTTTTTTATGGCTGCATAATATTCCATGGTATATGTGCCAAGTTTTCTTTATCCATTATGAGATAAAATGAGACATAGAAGTTATAATCCACCATAATAGATCATCTTGCAGGGAAATAGGGATCTAAAATTCCTCCTTGGAGGCCATAGTCAACAACATAGGAAATAAGATTCCCCAAAGGCTAAATATTCCCATATTCCTGCTTCTTTTATAAGTGATTTTAGTTGAACATTGCATATTCAAGTGAGATGAGAAGGAGATAAAATTATAAAACATTATTGTTATGGGCAAGAGTTTGCACATAAAATTATTATTAAAATCTTCTTATATTCTTCAAGATAATTTCCAAGATCCTACTAATTAAGCAAAAACTCTAATTCAGATTAGTTTTCATTATCTTTATATAATCTTGAAACCTTATGAAATTTTGGCTAAAGGAGGCTACTGGTAGCAAACAAATCTTAGAAACATATGTTGAGCAATTTTTAATAAAAAGCCTTGAAATTCTTGACTTTTGTATAACCTAGAACCCCTAAGAAAGTAAGAAAGATACAGCTACATAGAAGCGTTTTTAGAAAATTTACATCAAAACTCTTATCAGGTATTAACTTTGAAAAGTACTCCCTGACCTCCTAGACTTGGCTAAATGTCTCCCTGTTTTAAACATTATGGTATCACTTCCTCTCCTGCGTTACCATAACTAACTTTCCACTCATGCTTCTTTTAAGTGAGCTGCTGATTTCCATCAGCCCAAATAATTTCATCTTTCTTTCCCTGATACCTAATGTAGTACTCTGCATTTGATAGGTGTTAGGAGACAGTCCTCCAAGTGTCTTTTGCATTTCTGCACAACTGTTATTCTGCACTAGGCTCCCTTTTAAAGGATCTTTGTGTAGAGAACAATTCTGAAAGACAAAGTATCCCCTTTTAAAGCAAGAATATATTTTCTTACTTATTGGTAATAAAGATGTCTCCCTCCAAGGCAAATCCTGGGGAGGTTTGCTTATATCTCATGATAAAATGATTGGGCTCCTTCAGCCTAGAGTAGCTAAGCTCTGATGTAAATCCACTGTGTGTAGTATCTACTCAGGTCCCTCTACTTTGTCTTGTTAGACTTTTGGGGTAAAAGGAACAATAAGAATGAGTAACTCATGCCCCTTGCTGTGCCTTGAGAAATAAAGTCTTTGTCCATGAACCAGGGGTCCTGTATCTTCTCCTAGCATTCATGACACTGTGGCAGGCTAACACAGAAAGTAACACAGAATGTGTATACATGAATAGAATATATATATATATATATATATATATATATATATATATATATATATAAACAAGTACACCTGCATTCCCCATTCATATTGTATGAATGGATATTATATTTTCTGGATATTATAATTGTCAAAACTCCCATATCCTTAGAATAGAGTATTCCTGATCACCTCAAGCCTTTATATAGAGCAGGTCAGTCAATTTCAAGACAGTCTAACACAACTCTATTTTGCATATAAAAACACAAAAGGTAGGGTTAGTGGATTTTTGTTAGTCCATTATTTACAAGTAACATTAAACATTCTCCGTCTAAGCTGATGAATTAAAAAGAGATGATTTTGCTTTGGAAGTATAGTCACTTCATCCACCAGTGTTCTCGTTAAATACTTTTGATGTAGAATTCACTATTTTACAGGTAAGTGTGAAGCACGGTATGTAAATGTGTTAATAATGAAAATGATACTAAGAAATTTATGAATAAATTGGCAAACTATAAATTTTAAAAAATTACTTCATATAACAGTATCTAAAATAAAATCATGTTTGCCAGCAACTTGCAAAGACATTGAGCACAGTAATAGGCCGCTGAAGCCACATTTTATTCATTGTGATCACTGGCAAAATGCCCAGTCAGTTGCAAAGTGTGAAATAATGGGTAATAAAGAACAATAAGCTTAAGACCTAGTAAAGCAAAATTCTGAGATCAATTAAGATTACTATCATAGTTGAGAGATAGTCTGTCTGTGGCTTCTCATCTCACCTCAGAAGTAGACTAAGCCTGTGAAACTCTCAAGTTTCAATCACCTATTTTTCTCAGTTATTGTTGGAAAGCACTTAGAGACGTTACTGAATAACAAGACATTTTAAAAGTCAATTGTAAAATAACTAAAGAGAAAAACTTTGTCAATATCATCCACATATAAAGATACTAAGATATTTTTATTATAAATAAATTTGTCATCAGTATGTATTATGTATTTTCCATATAGTTAACATTTTAATAGGCTTTTGAGTTTATAGGAAAATATAGAAGGAATAAATATCTCTTTCTTTTTTTGGGGGGGGTTTCTTTTTTCTCTTTTTTATTATACTTTAAGTTTTAGGGTACATGTGCACATTGTGCAGGTTAGTTACATAGGTATACATGTGCCATGCTGTGTGCTGCACCCACTAACTCGTCATCTAGCATTAGGTATATCTCCCAATGCTATCCCTCCCCCCCCCGACCCCACAACAGTCCCCAGAGTGTGATATTCCCCTTCCTGTGTCCATGTGATCTCATTGTTCAATTCCCACCTATGAGTGAGAATATGCGGTGTTTGGTTTTTTGTTCTTGTCATAGTTTACTGAGAATGATGATTTCCAATTTCATCCATGTCCCTACAAAGGACATGAACTCATCATTTTTTATGGCTGCATAGTATTCCATGATGTATATGTGACACATTTTCTTAATCCAGTCTATCATTGTTGGACATTTGGGTTGGTTCCAAGTGTTTGCTATCGTGAATAATGCCGCAATAAACATATGTGTGCATGTGTCTTTATAGCAGCATGACTTATAGTCCTTTGGGTATATACCCAGTAATGGGATGGCTGGGTCAAATGGTATTTCCAGTACTAGATCCCTGAGGAATCGCCACACTGACTTCCACAATGGTTGAACTAGTTTATAGTCCCACCAACAGTGTAAAAGTGTTCCTATTTCTCCACATCCTCTCCAGCACCTGTTGTTTCCTGACTTTGTAATGATTGCCATTCTAACTGGTGTGAGATGGTATCTCATTGTGCTTTTGATTTGCATTTCTCTGATGGCCAGTGATGATGAGCATTTTTTCATGTGTTTTTTGGCTGCATAAATGTCTTCTTTTGAGAAGTGTCTGTTCATGTCTTTCGCCCACTTTTTGATAGGGTTGTTTGTTTTTTTCTTGTAAATTTGTTTGAGTTCATTGTAGATTCTGGATATTAGCCCTTTGTCAGATGAGTAGGTTGCGAAAATTTTCTCCCATTTTGTAGGTTTCCTGTTCACTCTGATGGTAGTTTCTTTTGCTGTGCAGAAGCTCTTTAGTTTAATTAGATCCCATTTGTCAATTTTGTCTTTTGTTCCCATTGCTTTTGGTGTTTTATACATGAAGTCCTTGCCCATGCCTATGTCCTGAATGGTAATGCCTAGGTTTTCTTCTAGGGTTTTTATGGTTTTAGGTCTAACGTTTAAGTCTTTAATCCATCTGGAATTGATTTTTGTATAAGGTGTAAGGAAGGGATCCAGTTTCAGCTTTCTACATATGGCTAGCCAGTTTTTCCCGCACCATTTATTAAATAGGGAATCCTTTCCCCATTGCTTGTTTTTCTCAGGTTTGTCAAAGATCAGATAGTTGTAGATATGCAGCGTTATTTCTGAGGGCTCTGTTCTGTTCCAATGATCTATATCTCTGTTTTGGTACCAGTACCATGCTGTTTTGGTTACTGTAGCCTTGTAGTGTAGTTTGGAGTCAGGAAGTGTGATGCCTCCAGCTTTGTTCTTTTGGCTTAGAGGGAAATTTATAGCACTAAATGCCCACAAGAGAAAGCAGGAAAGATCCAAAATTGACACCCTAACATCACAATTAAAAGAACTAGAAAAGCAAGAGTAAACACATTCAAAAGCTAGCAGAAGGCAAGAAATAACTAAAATCAGAGCAGAACTGAAGGAAATAGAGACACAAAAAAAAACCTTTCAAAAAATTAATGAATCCAGGAGCTGGTTTTTTGAAAGGATCAACAAAATTGATAGACCGCTAGCAAGACTAATAAAGAAAAAAAGAGAGAAGAATCAAATAGACGCAATAAAAAATGATAAAGGAGATATCACCACCGATCCCACAGAAATACAAACTACCATCAGAGAATACTACAAACACCTCTATGCAAATAAACTAGAAAATCTAGAAGAAATGGATAAATTCCTCGACATATACACTGTCCCAAGACTAAACCAGGAAGAATTGAATCTCTGAATAGACCAATAACAGGATCTGAAATTGTGGCAATAATTAATAGCTTACCAACAAAAAGAGTCCAGGACCAGATGGATTCACAGCCGAATTCTAACAGAGGTACAAGGAGGAACTGGTACCATTCCTTCTGAAAGTATTCCAATCAATAGAAAAAGAGGGAATCCTCCCTAACTCGTTTTATGAGGCCAGCATCATTCTGATACCAAAGCCAGGCAGAGACACAACCAAAAAAGAGAATTTTAGATCAATATCCTTGATGAACATTGATGCAAAAATCCTCAATAACATACTGGCAAAACGAATCCAGCAGCACATCAAAAAGCTTATCCACCGTGGTCAAGTGGGCTTCATCCCTGGGATGCAAGGCTGGTTCAATATATGCAAATCAATAAATGTAATCCAGCATATAAACAGAGCCAAAGACAAAAACCACATGATTATCTCAATAGATGCAGAAAAAGCCTTTGACAAAATTCAACAACCCTTCATGCTAAAAACTCTCAATAAATTAGGTATTGATGGGGCATATTTCAAAATAATAAAAGCCATCTATGACAAACCCACAGCCAATATCATACTGAATGGGCAAAAACTGGAAGCATTCCCTTTGAAAACTGGCACAAGACAGGGATGCCCTCTCTCACCACTCCTATTCAACATAGTGTTGGAAGTTCTGGCCAGGGCAATTAGGCAGGAGAAGGAAATAAAGTGTATTCAGTTAGGAAAAGAGGAAGTCAAATTGTCCCTGTTTGCAGATGACATGATTGTATATCTAGAAAACCCCATTGTCTCAGCCCAAAATCTCCTTAAGCTGATAAGCAAATTCAGCAAAGTCTCAGGATACAAAATCAATGTGCAAAAATCACAAGCCTTCTTATACACCAATAACAGACAAACAGAGAGCCAAATCATGAGTGAAATCCCATTCACAATTGCTTCAAAGAGAATAAAATACCTAGGAATCCAACTTACAAGGGATGTGAAGGACCTCTTCATGGAGAACTACAAACCACTGCTCAAGGAAATAAAAGAGGATACAAACAAATGGGATAACATTCCATGCTCATGGGTAGGAAGAATCAATATCGTGAAAATGGCCATACTGTCCAAGGTAATTTACAGATTCAATGCCATCCCCATCAAGCTACCAATGACTTTCTTCACAGAATTGGAAAAAACTACTTTAAAGTTCATATGGAACCAAAAAAGAGCCCGCATCGCCAAGTCAATCCTAAGCCAAAAGAACAAAGCTGGAGACATCACACTACCTGACTTCAAACTAAAGTACAAGGCTACAGTAACCAAAACAGCATGGTACTGGTACCAAAACAGAGATACAGATCAATGGAACAGAACAGAGCCCTCAGAAATAACACCGCATATCTACAACTATCTGATCTTTGACAAACCTGACAAAAACAAGCAATGGGAAAGGATTCCCTATTTAATAAATGGTGCAGGGAAAAATGGCTAGCCATATGTAGAAAGCTGAAACTGGATCCCTTCCTTACACCTTATACAAAAATCAATTCCAGATGGATTAAAGACTTAAACGTTAGACCTAAAACCATAAAAACCCTAGAAGAAAACCTAGGCATTACCATTGAGGACATAGGCATGGGCAAGGACTTCATGTATAAAACACCAAAAGCAATGGGAACAAAAGACAAAATTGACAAATGGGATCTAATTAAACTAAAGAGCTTCTGCACAGCAAAAGAAACTACCATCAGAGTGAACAGGAAACCTACAAAATGGGAGAAAATTTTCGCAACCTACTCATCTGACAAAGGGCTAATATCCAGAATCTACAATGAACTCAAACAAATTTACAAGAAAAAAACAAACAACCCCATCAAAAAGTGGGCGAAGGACATGAACAGACACTTCTCAAAAGAAGACATTTATGCAGCCAAAAAACACATGAAAAAATGCTCATCATCACTGGCCATCAGAGAAATGCAAATCAAAAGCACAATGAGATACCATCTCACACCAGTTAGAATGGCAATCATTACAAAGTCAGGAAACAACAGGTGCTGGAGAGGATGTGGAGAAATAGGAACACTTTTACACTGTTGGTGGGACTATAAACTAGTTCAACCATTGTGGAAGTCAGTTTGGCGATTCCTCAGGGATCTAGTACTGGAAATACCATTTGACCCAGCCATCCCATTACTGGGTATATACCCAAAGGACTATAAGTCATGCTGCTATAAAGACACATGCACACATATGTTTATTGCGGCATTATTCACGATAGCAAACACTTGGAACCAACCCAAATGTCCAACAATGATAGACTGGATTAAGAAAATGTGTCACATATACACCATGGAATACTATGCAGCCATAAAAAATGATGAGTTCATGTCCTTTGTAGGGACTTGGATGTAATTGGAAATCATCATTCTCAGTAAACTATCGCAAGAACAAAAAACCAAACACCGCATATTCTCACTCATAGGTGGGAATTGAACAATGAGATCACATGGACACAGGAAGGGGAATATCACACTCTGGGGACTGTTGTGGGGTGGGGGTAGGGGGGAGGGATAGCACTGGGAGATATACCTAATGCTAGATGACGAGTTAGTGGGTGCAGCGCACCAGCATGTCACATGTATACATATGTAACTAACCTGCACAGTGTGCACATGTACCCTAAAAGTTAAAAGTATAATAATAATAATAATAAAGGAAAAAAAAAGACAGAGGCACTAAGCAAGGTAACTAAAAGTCACTTCAGTGGTCTCATAATGTATTCACTTGCCTTGGAAACAGGCATCATTATTATTAGCAACCTCAGTGGTTTATGTATTATTCCTTTTTCCTATGTGTGGATTAATTTTGTATTCATGTTTCCATTGTTACCTTAATATAACCAATCTCAAATCCTATTAAAAAAAAAAGGCTTAAACGAGTCATTGATTTCTCACAATTGTGGAGGCAGGGAAGTTCCAAATCGAGGTGTTTGCCCGTTGTAGGTCCTAGTGAGGGCTCTCTTCCTGGCCTGTGGATGGCTGTCTTCCTGCTGTGGCCTCACATGGCAGAGAGAAGCTCTCCAGTGTCTCTTCTTATAAGGACATTAATTGTATGGAACCAGGATTCCACTCTTATGACCTCATTAGCCTTAAATCTTCACTCCAAATAGAGTCACACCAGGGGTTAGGACTTCAGTGTATAAATTTCGGTGGGTGGTGTGGGGGATAGAATTCAGTCCTTAATAAATGTTTTTGCCATTTTTACTGTCATTCTGTCACAAGAACACAGTGGAGTTTTCCAGAGACTACATAAGGGTGTGGTAGCAGCAGGGTGAATGCAGAAGCAGGTATGAGAAGTCAGCAATCCTCTGCTAGCCAGACCTTAGAGAGACTCGCCAGGATGTAACCTTTATCACCACTCCTCTCGCTACACTTTTGTTCTTGTGGAAAATAGTTATTTTTTAAATAAAAATGTTATGCTAAAAAAAAATAACAGAAAAAAGAAAACAAAAAACAAAGAAATTTAATGATCCAAAATCTAAATCTTTGAAAAGTTAAACAAAATTGAGAAATATTTAGATGATGAATAATAAAAAAGACCAGGCATGGTGGCTCACACCTGTAATCCCAACACTTTGGGAGGCCATGGCAGATGGATCACTTGAGGCCAGCAGTTCGTGACTAGCCTGGCCAACATGGTGAAACCCCATCTCCAAAAATTACAAAAATTAGCCGGGCGTGGTGGTGGGCACCTGTAATCCCAGCTACTCAGGAGGCTGAGGAAGGAGAATCGCTTGAACCCAGGAGGCAGAGGTTACAGTGAACCCAGATCCTGCCTTTGCACTCCAGCCTGGGTGACAACGGCAAAACTCTGTCTCAAAAAAGAAAAGAAATAAGAGATAAAGTGTTGATTACCAAAATCAGGAACAAAGGTTACTACTGCCAATTCTCCCCCATCCTGTCCAAATGTATGAATTATAAGGGAAATACTATTAAATACTTTGTGACCACAAATTATACAACTTATATTTATGGTAGAAAGTCTTAAAAATGTATAAATTACCACAGCTGAAACAAACATGAATAGAAAATCTGAATAAATATGTTGAATTAACAATTAAAAGTCTTCCATAAGAGAATATACAGGACCACATGACTTCACTGGTAAATTATTTCACATAGTCAATGAAGAAATGATACTCATACTCAGAAAATAGAGAAAGAGAAAAACTTCCCAATTGATGTTATAAGGCCTATATTCAAAAGCAAAAATGAAAGAAGAAAGAAAAAGAAATTTTAAAAAAGAAAAAATAAAAATAAAATTACAGATCAGTATACCTCACAAATATAGACACGAAAATCTCCAATAAAATATTATCAAACTAAATTCAACCATGTATACAAATGATTGCACTCCATAACTAAGTGAAATTAATCCCAGAAATGCAGGATTGTTTTAGTATTTAAAAAGTAAATAATGTAATATATTATGTTGTAAAATAAAGAACTAAAATGAAACGATTATCTCAATGATGCAGGAAAATGATTTGACAGAATCTAACATGAATAAAAAAATAGAATGGAATTTCTTCAACCTGATAGAGGACATCAGCAACAACAATCACCAAAAACACTGTGTTTTACAGCACATCTAATGGTGAAAGACTGGATGTTTTCCCCTCAAAATTGGCGACATGCCAAAGATGTTTATAATGTTCACTCTCACCAATTCTATCCAATATTGCACTGGAGATTATAGTCAATACAATGAAGAATACATTGATAAAACCATCAGGAAATGGAAGTGGCTGGGCTAAAGAGCTCAGGCCTGTAATCCCAGTGCCTTGGGAGGTCAAGTCAGGAGGAT
This sequence comes from Homo sapiens, assembly GCF_000001405.40. NCBI lineage: Eukaryota > Metazoa > Chordata > Mammalia > Primates > Hominidae > Homo > Homo sapiens. The sequence goes on along the minus strand of NC_000017.11, from coordinate 22,644,285 downwards.
TACTTGAGGCTAGGAGTTCAAAACCAGCCTGCGCAACAAACAGAGATCTTCTTTACAAATGTATTTATTTATTTTTAATTAGCTAGGCTTGGTGGCATTCACCTCAGTCCTAGGTACTCAGGAGACTGAGGCAGGAGAGTTGCTTGAGCCCAGTAGTTCAAGGTTGCAGTGAGCTATGATTGCAAGATGCTGCACTCCAGCCAGGTAGATAGAGCAAGACACTTTCTCTCTTAAAAAAAAATTAAGAAATAATTATATTCACAATACTATAAAAATAAACCCTTGGAAATAAATGTAGCAAAATGTGTGTAAGATTTGTATGCTGAAAACTAATCATCTAAGCAAATGGAAAATCATTCCATGCTCATGGATTGGGAGACCCACTATTGTTTTTCTAGTAATTCTCCCATCATAGATCTATAGATTTAATACTATTGTTACCATACATTAGCCATATTATATGAACATAAATATTTCCTTTGTGAGCCTCATATCTAATTATTTGCTAATTACATATAAAGTAATTATTTTAATATGAGCTCTTTGAAAAGCACATTAAAAATGGTTCCCCAAGACCTTGGCTTTCAAGCTCAGATGGAACTATTCAATATGAACTAGAAAATTTAGTAAACAAGGTGTCATCTTCTGCCTCATTATATTTTTATTTGGAACACTATGTTCGACTCTAAGGTATTGAGTTGATAGGGAGAGTTGAGGCAGAAATTTCCAGTCTCTCTTTACTTCAATGTAAGAGAAGTAACCAGTTTAATTGTTCAGAACCTGACATTTATTTAGTCATGTCTTTTTAGTGTTCAGGTTTATTGTCTTCAATGATTAGATACCAATCTGCTTCCTTTTCGACTTTCTTAGGCTCGGATTCATCAGATTCTCTATTTGTGTCATTTGGAATGGAACGACTTTCCCACAGAGTAGAGGTTATTAATTTTCTTACTTCCTTCTCTCTCTCTTTCTCTCTCTCTACACCACAATTTTTGCCAAGAGCAAGTCAGGTTTTTGGTCAAGCTAGGTTTTTATTACATGCTTTCCTTCAACTAAGTATGAAAGAAATCTATTAAATAATATTTAATTTGGTCTCAAATGTGAACCATACTCTCCAACCTAGTATTTCTACCAAATATCCATGAACTGAAATTTACTTCATAGTTTTGACCTTCATAAATTGTTCGTTTCCCCATTTATCTTCAATTTTTATATATTTTTAATTATTGATATCAATTCTGGAGAAAATAATAAATCTTACACCCTGCATAACAACAGGTACAATAAAAGAAGTACGTTCCTTAACATGAGAAGAATGTTAATCCATTTCAATCACAAGTATTTCATTTTTCCCATGAGTGACACTATGCTATGCATTGTGGAGTTTACAGAACAGTTGAGATACGATCCTGACTTCGTGGTATATAATTTCATTTGATAAGGCAAGGCGTATGTGGTACTATAAAGATATAGATGTTACTGATGTACATGACAGCCTTGTAGGCTGAGTTCCCTCATAGAAGTGGACTTTGTGCAAGCTTGAAAATTGGTAGCATCTGGATAAGAAAAAAGTCAATCAAGTAAGAGAAATGCCCCAAAATTGCTTCTACAATTGTAGAACAGCTTCCTTCAGAAAAAGCTACATAGACTTTTAAATTTAAAATCATAGCATCTTACAAACAAATGTATAAATACCATTTACTTTTATGTCTAATAGATTTCAGGAAAGTATCTAAGTCAATGTTAAAAATTATATTTCAAATCCTCTAATTAAATAATAGTGAACTGTGTTTTGAAATCATCAGATACTTCAAAATTAGTTTGCTTTTCAAATAATGCAACTTAGTAAAATATGGACTTGTAGAGTTCTTATTTTACTGTGATTCTTCTATGAAAATAATGTAATACTATTTAAAAATTTTGCTTACATTTTTCACAAGTGTAAAGTAAGTACAACATCACAAGCAATATTTGTTGAATTATTGCAATGTATTATACATATTTTACTTAATATGAGTTATATATTGAGAACTTTTTTTCAAATAATAATTCTCCAAGATGAAGATAAAGTGCATGAAAACTTGAAGTAAAGATGTATTCTCCCTACAAGACTTAATGGTGAGACTACAAAGAACTCAAGATTGCATTGGCCAAGGGATTAAAGAGGCAGATCAGAAACTGCTTCCAATGTTGTTTCCCAATAAATAAATCAATAAATCAATAAATAAATACCTAAATCTTGTCAGGTGTTTTCATCCAAGGAGACAGTAACACTAACCTCTGTCTTCATGAATACATTTTTCCAGGCTTCTGGAGCTTGTCAATGATTCCTAAACATGACTTTATATTCACTCACCCAGAGACCCATTAAAATCCCAATGTCACCAGGCATGGTGGCTCAACACCTGTAATTCAAGCTACGTGAGAGGCTGAGGCAGAAGGGTCCCTCAAGCCCAGGAGTTCGAGGCTGAAGTGGGATATGATCATGCCACTGTACACTAGCCTAGGTGACAGAGTGAGACCCTGTCCCCTCCTCCTCCAAAAATCCTGATGTCCAGGTTATCAAATTAGAATTTTTGAAGGTATGATTGGGGCAGTGCTATTAAAAGCAAGACAAAACAAAGCAAGCAAGCAAACCACTTGATTCTAATATGCAACAAAGTTTAAGAACCACCAGATAGATAAAGAAAACAAATTCATTAATACTTATTGTCTATTACCTTTAAATAACCTAGATCTCAAGAGATCCTAATATACAAAACCTTTGGCTAGGACCTGAGAACCTATTATAATTAACATTTTCATTAATCTTAATATCTTACTCATATCATCCACAAAATTCAATGTAAGATGGATCACACACCTAAGCATGAATGCTAAAGCTTCTAGAAGAAAACTTTGAGGAACATCATAATGATCTTGGGTGAGATAAACAATGATATTTTTTTCTGGAGCACAGAATGTATTAAACATAAAAATAAAAATTGTATTAATGTTTTTACTATATTAAACTTATATTCATTTATTCTAAAAACCTCATTACATATATAAGGAACTCCTTCAACAACAGAAAAAATAAAAAGGGGGGCAAAATGATTGAATAAATTTTCTTCAAAGACATACAAATAGCCAAAAGGTATATGAAAATATGTTCAACATCCCTAATGATCAGAGAAATACGAATGAAAGCCACAATATGATATCACTTCACACCCATTAGGAGAGCCGTTATAAAACAAAACAAGACATAACAAGTGTTAGCAGTGATGGGGAGAAACTGGAATCCTTGTACACTCTCTGTAAATTGGGATGTAAATTGGTTCAGTCACTGTGAATAACAGTATGGAGGTTCCTCAAAAACACTAAAATTAAAACTACTATATGACCCCCCATCTTACTCTTGGGCATATGTCCAAAAGAATGGAAATCAGGATGTGGTACAGGTACCTGCATACCCCTGTTCTTTGCAGCATTACTCACAAAAAACAAAATTTAAAAACTTAAATGTCCATTACTGCATGAATGGATAAAGACAATGTGGTGTATAAATACAATGGAATATTTTCAATTTTAAGAAGTACATTTTGCCATTTGCAACAACATGGATAAACCTGGAGGATATCATGTCAGCATGGTAAGTCAGTCACAGAAGGACAAATTCTGCATGATTTCACTTCTATGAGCTTTCTAAAATAGTCAAACTCAGCCGGGAGCGGTGGCTCAAGCCTGTAATCCCAGCACTTTGGGAGGCCGAGGCGGGCGGATCACAAGGTCAGGAGATCGAGACCATCCTGGCAAACATGGTGAAACCCCCGTCTCTACTAAAAATACACAAAATTAGCCAGGCGTGGTGGCGGGTGCCTGTAGTCCCAGCTACTCGGGAGGCTGAGGGGAGAATGGCGTGAACCTGGGAGGTGGAACTTGGAGTGAGCCGAAATTGCGCCATTGCACTCCAGCCTGGGCAACAAAGCGAGACTCCGTCTCAAAAAAAATAAAAATAAAAAAGTCAAACTCATAGAAATAGAGAGTAGAATGGTTAGGGGAAGGAGGAAGAAGGGTTGCTGTTCAATGGGTATAAAATTTCAGTTGTGTAAGTTGCATAAGTTCCAGAGATTTTCTGTACAACATCATGCCTATACTTAACAGTACTATATTTTACATTTAAAACCTTATTAAAAGGATAGATCACAAGTTATGTTTTTATCCCAATTAAAAATGAATAGAAATGTCACAGTGAGATAACATATTTGAAATACATAGACCTGACAAAAGATTTCTTTGGAGAGTAAACAAATCCTATAAATTGTTATGCAAAAGATAAATCACTCAATTAAAAGTGGGCAAAAGACTTGAACAGTCAGTTTATAAAAGAAGACAGCCAAGTGGGTGATCAGGATAAAAAAATGTGTTGAACACAGTTGGTCATCAGAAAAATTAAAATAAAAGCCTGAATGAGATGTGATTACATGTCCAAGAGAACTGGTAAAATTAAAATGGCTAAATACCTGGAGACCAATATGGGAGGATAGCTTGAGCCCAGGAGTTCAAGGCTGCAGTGAGCTATGATTATGCCACTCCACTCCAGCCTGTGTGACAGAGCGAGACCCCATCTCTTAAGAAAAAAAATTGGGAACTGAATATAGCAATTCTGAAGAGGTTATGAAACAAAGAAAATCTCATACATTTGTGGTGGGAAAGTAAATTGTATAGCTACATTTTAAATAAGTTTGGCTATTTCTTATAAAGTTAAACTGCGCACATACCCAATGACATCATAATTCAATTAATAGGTATATTCCAAAAATAAATGAGGGTGTGTATTCACACGATAGAGACAGATATAAATTTATTCATAGCAGTTTGTTTTTCTTTGTAGGCAAAAACTGGATGTAACATCTATAAAGAGGAGAAGAGATAAACAAATTATGATATTGACTTACAGAGTAATAATACATAGCAATAAAAAATAAAATAGACACATAAATCAGCATGGATGTATCTCCAAAACATCATGTTGAGTAAAATAGGTCAGACACAAAAGCTTAAAATCTGTATGACTCCAGACAAACTAAGTTTAGCGAGAGGCAAAAGAAAACTATGGTCATAGTAGAATATCCTTTGACCAGTGTTTGTTATTGACTGGAATAAAGCACCAGAAGGTTTTCTGCGGAATAAAGCACCAGAAGAGTTTCTGTTCTTTATCTTAATATGGGTGGTGTGAATATGAGTGCATAAATATATAAAGTTAAGGTATACACCTTAAATTTGTTCATTTTATAAAATATAAATTTAGTCTTGGTAATGTACCTCCAAAATTACTTCTCAGCAAACCTACCTTCAAAACATTTAAATAATTTTTACTACTGCTGTTATCCACCCAGGCTAAGCCAACATCATGTCTCCTCTGAATTTTTATCTCCCTTCCTGCTTCTGCATTAGCCCTCACCTTCAGTCTATTCTCAATATCCAAGCAAGAATATAACATAATATAATAGAGATCATGCCACTCTGCTCACCCACTTTTAAGGACTTCTAATTCCACTCTGGGTCATTATTGTACAGATTATACAGCTCTACTCATGCTCCCCACCAGGCACACCTCTTTGATCACAGCCCTGTTGCTCTTCCCCTCGTGGCTCTGTTCCAGCTTTACTGTACCCAACACTTCCTGATGCTCTTTGGGCAGGCTGGGAATTGTCTCTGTGTTAGTCCATTTGAGCAGCTATAACAAAATATCATATAGTAAGTAGCTTATAAAGGACATAAATTTATTCTTCACAGTTCTGGAAGCTAAGTCCCAGATCAATGTGCTCACATATTCCATATATGATGAGGCCCTATTTCCTAGTTCATAGACCCATCTTCTTCATATGGTGGAGTCATCATATGGTGGAAGGGACAAACCAACCCCTCAGGCATCTTTTATAAAGGCACCAATCTCCTTCATGAAGGCTCTGTATTCATGACATAATCACCTTCCAAAGACCTTAGCTTTTAATAGTATCATACTGTGAATTAGATTTCAATGTATGAATTTGGGGGGCTGTCAACATTCAGATTATAGCACTCTCACATTAGATGCTTTTTACATGGTTTCTGTGACTGAAAACACCTGTCTTCAAATCCCCCCTGGATTGCTTTCTTACCTTCTGTATTAGTTCCTTCTCATGCTGTTAATAAAAACATATCCTAGACTGGGTAATTTATAAAGGAAAGAGGTTTAATTGAGTCACAGTTCTGCACAGCTGGTGAGACCTCAGGAAAGTTATAACCATGATAAGGGGAAGCAACACATCCTTCTTCACGTGGTGGCAGCAAGGAGAAGTGCCAAGCAAAATGGGGAAAAAGACCCTGATAAAACCACCAGAGAGCATAAGAACTCACTCATACCACAAGAACAGCAGCATGGGGGTAACTGACCCCGTGATTAAATTAACCCCCACCAGGTCCCTCCCATGACACATGGGGATTACAGGAACTACAATTCAAGCTTTAGATTTAGTGGGGGACCCAGTCAAACCATATCACCTCTTTCAAGCTTTTCACTCATATGCTACTGTCTCTGTCATGCCATCCTTTATTCCCTACTTAAAATTGTATCTCCTCCTCATGTTATTTGCTTTGTTTTTTGTTGTTGTTTTGTTTCTTTTAATTTTTTTAAATTATTTATTATTTATTTATTTTTTAATTATACTTTAAGTTCTAGGGTACATGTGCACAATGTGCAGGTTTCGTACCTATGTATACATGTGTCATGTTGGTGTGCTGCACCCATTAACTCGTCATTTACATTAGGTGTATCTCGTAATGCTATCCCTCCCCTCTCCCTTCACCCTACAACATGCCCCAGGTGTGATGTTCCCCTTCCTGTGTCCAAGTGTTCTCATTGTTCAATTCTCACCTATGAGTGAGAACATGCAGTGTTTGGTTTTCTTGTCCTTGCGATAGTTTGCTGAGAATGATGGTTTCCAGCTTCATCCATGTCCCTACAAAGGACATGAACTCATCCTTTTTTATGGCTGCATAGTATTCCATGGTGTATATGTGACACATTTTCTTAATCCAGTCTATCATTGTTGGACATTTGGCTTGGTTCCAAGTCTTTGCTATTGTGAATAGTGCTGCAATAAACATACGTGTGCATGTGTCTTTATGGCAGCATGATTTATAATCCTTTGGGTATATGCCCAGTAATGGGATGGCTGGGTCAAATGATATTTCTAGTTCTATATCCTTGAAGAATCATCACACTGTCTTCCACAATGGTTGAACTAGTTTCCAGTCCCACCAACAGTGTAAAAGTGTTCCTATTTCTCCACATCCTCCCCAGCACATGTTGTTTCCTGACTTTTTAATGATCGCCATTCTAACTGGTGTGAGATGGTATCTAACTGTGGTTTTGATTTGCATTTCTCTGATGGCCAGTGATGATGAGCATTTTTTCAAGTGTCTGTTGGCTGTATAAATGTCTTCTTTTGTGAAGCATCTGTTCATAACTTTTGCCCACTTTTTTATGGGGTTGTTTTTTTCTTGTAAATTTGTTTGAGTTCTTTGTAGATTCTGGATATTAGCCCTTTGTCAGATGAGTAGATTGCAAAAATTTGCTAGCATTCTGTAGGTTGCCCGTTCACTCTGATGGTAGTTTCTTTTGCTGTGCAGAAGTTCTTCAGTTTAATTAGATCCCATTTGTCAATTTTGGCTTTTGTTGCCATTGCTTTTGGTGTTTTAGATGTGAAGTCTTTGCCCATGCCTATGTCCTGAATGGTATTGCCTAGGTTTTCTTCTAGGGTTTTTATAGTTTTAGGTCTAACATTTAAGCCTTTAATCCATCTTGAATTAATTTTTGTATAAAGTGTAAGGAAGGGATCCAGTTTCAGCTTTCTACATAAGGCTAGCCAGTTTTCCCAGCACCATTTATTAAATAGGGACTCCTTTCCCCATTTCCTGTTTTTGTCAGGTATGTCAAAGATCAGATGGTTGTAGATGTGTGGTATTACTTCTGAGGGCTCTGTTCTGTTCCAGTATTCTATATCTCTGTTTTGGTACCAGTACCATGCTGTTTTGGTTACTGTAGCCTTGTAGTATAGTTTGAAGTCAGGTAGCATGATGCCTCCAGTTTTGTTCTTCTGGCTTAGGATTGACTAGGCAATGCGGGCTCTTTTTTGGTTCCATATGAACTTTAAAGTAGTTTTTTCCAATTCTGTGAAGAAAGGCATTGGTAGCTTGATGGGGATAGCATTAAATCTATAAATTACCTTGGACAGTATAGCCATTTTCACGATATTGATTCTTCCTATCCATGAACATGGAATGTTCTTCCATTTGTTTGTGTCCTCTTTTATTTTGTTGAGCAGTGGTTTGTAGTTCTCCTTGAAGAGGTCCTTCACATCCCTTGTAAGTTGGATTCCTAGGTATTTTATTCTCTTTGAGGCAATTGTGAATGGGAGTTCACTCATGATTTGGCTCTCTGTTTGTCTGTTGTTGGTGTATAAGAATGTTTGTGATTTTTGCACATTGATTTTTTATCCTGAGACTTTGCTGAAGTTGCTTATCAGCTTAAGGAGATTTTGGGCTGAGACAATGGGGTTTTCTAGATATACAATCATGTCATCTGCAAACAGGGCCAATTTGACTTCCTCTTTTCCTAATTGAATACCCTTTCTTTCTTTCTCCTGCCTGATTGCTTTGTCTGCCTTGCTTTCCTCCATAGCACTTATCAACACTTAACATATATAATAACAAAAGTAATTAAGCTATATAATATCTCCTTCCAAGAGAATATAAGCTCCAAAAAGGCATATTTTTTTTTCTTTTTTTTTTCACTGCTATATCCGCAGTGTCTACCAGAGAATGTGTTACAATTAGGAGCTTAATGTGAATGAATGGATGTTAGTCTTATTACCTTTTAAATTTACCTTATTTTTTTATTTTCTACATTTTCCATCTCCTATGTCCTTTCCACCTTCCTAGGTCCTTTGGGATGTGCATAGAGAAAGCAGCAACACTAAGGTAAGAAGTTTTAACCTTTGGATTAATATTACAATCTTGAGACAGTTTTGCTTTTCTATTGCTGTTAGCAAAAACACATTCCTGCTGCTGTCAGTTGTGATGCACTGAGAAAACTTCAGAGACATAAACTTTTTCCAGAGAAGAGAGGCTTTACTGGTGTTCCAGTCCTAAGATGAGACCACTTACACATCCTGGTTTATATTTTATTTAGTTGCCTTTATTCTCTTTCTCTTTATTTTTTTCTTCTTTCTTACATTTTATTTCTTTTTGGAAAAGACCATGTACAAACAGAATAATACGTGGATCCATGCCCATCCATCTTAGTATAATCGTGTATTCATTGTGCTTTGTTGTATACATTTCTTACATATTCTATATATGGACATACGCTATGTATGCTATATATCATAATATACATAACCATTTATTGATGGACTGTTACAGTATTTTCAATTTCTGATAACAGCAAAAATGATCCTTAAGTTGCTATTATTAATATTTATTTTTACATATCAATGATCATTTTAGAGGATTAAAAACTTAGAAGAATTTTTAGGGAAACCATATACTTACTTTTCACATTGTCATAGACAAAGAGCACCCATATTTTTTTCTCCACTAAGAACAACACAAGATGACTGGAGAAAAATAAATCACCAAATATCACAAAGATACTTGCATGTTTTATAAGTAATTAATAACTACTTTCTTATAACAGTAAAAATTATTTTGTTTTGTATGAGGTGACTTTTCACTCTAACTTTTAAAAACTCATTACATACAAATATATCACATCAAATCCAAAAGCTATTGCTAGGACAATGGTTCCTGTCTTAATATTAAGTGTGAGATAAAAGGCCTTTACCTTCCAGAAAGTTGTTTATAACATACCAAATATGTGAACACCCAATAGCCAAAGACATTATCTCTGTAATGCAATTTTGAAAGTTGTTAAAATATTTTTTTATCAATTTCATCCTACAAACACAGAATTTAAACCACTCTTTTAAAGTGGATTTCAGAAGATTGGAATAGGAAGTTTTAGAAGTCAATACCTCCATGAAAACTGCCATTGAACTGGAAAAAATAAGAATTAACATTTTTGGAAATCTGGATCCTAATCAGATAAATTACAACCATTAGTAGAGTGCTTGATGCTATTGGTCTTTAGCAAGAAAGTGGCTGCCTGCACATGCCAGATACCATCACTCATTCTTATTCACAAGAGTCAAAAAGTGAAAACAAACCTGTATGTGTGGATAAACAAAATGTGGCATGTACACACAAGGGAATATTATTTAGCCATAAAAAGGGAATGACGTTCTGATACATGTTTACAACATGGATAAATCTTGAAAACATTATGCTAAATAAAATAAGCCAGATACAAAAGGACAAATAGTACATGATTCTACTTATATGAAAGATCACGAATAGTCAAATTCATGCAGGGGGAATGCAGATTGCTTGTTTCTAGGGCATGGAGGCTGGGGCAAGGGGAATGGAGAATTATTGCTTAATGGTACAGAATTTCTGTTTGATGTGATATAAAAGTTATGAAAACAGTGTTAATTACACAACATTGTGAATGTATTCAATATCACTGAGTTTTAGAATTTAAAATGATTAAATTATATCTTTTATGTTATGTATATTTACCACTGGGTGACAACATTGTGTTAATGTAGGCAAGTCAATTTTGACAGTTGTACCACTCTAGGGGAGGATACTGATAATGAGGGAGGCCATGCATGTGGAGGCAGGGTGTATATAATACACACACACACACACACACACACACACATATATATATATATACACACACACACACTATACATATGTAATATATATACATATTATATTATATACAACCTGCCTCCACATGCATGCAATATATATATATATATGCATATATTCATATCCATGACTCAATCTTAATTCAGGATGATCTCACCCTGAGATCTTTAACTTTATTATATCTGTAAAGCTCCTATTTCAAAATAAGGTGACATTTACAAGTACTGGGATGGGAGAGGGTCTAGGACTCAGACACTCCTTCTCTCCAGCATGTTCCATGAGCAAATCACTAGTAGATGATTGCTAGCAAGGTGTTACTATTACAACAAACCCCTAAATGTCAGAGACAGAGTTAGTTTGGGGAATATCCTCTCCACCACAATCTCATTCATTTAAGCTACAGTCTTAGTCATTTAAGTCAATTTAACAATAAGCCAAAATTGACAAATGGGATCTAATTAAACTAAAGAGCTTCTGCACAGCAACCCATCAGAGTGAACAGGCAACCTACAAAATGGGAGAAAAATTTCCCAACCTACTCATCTGACAAAGGGCTAATATCCAGAATCTACAATTAACTCAAACAAATTTACAAGAAAAAAACAAACAACCCCATCAAAAAGTGGGCAAAGGACATGAACAGACACTTCTCAAAGGAAGATATTTATGCAGCCAAAAAACACATGAAAAAATGCTCACCATCACTGGGCATCAGAGAAATGCAAATCAAAACCACAATGAGATACCATCTCACACCAGTTACAATGGCGATCATTAAAAAGTCAGGAAACAACAGGTGCTGGAGAGGATGTGGAGAAATAGGAACACTTTTACACTATTAGTGGGACTGTAAACTAGTTCGACCATTGTGGAAGTCAGTGTGGCGATTCCTCAGGGATATAGAACTAGAAATACCATTTGACCCAGCCATCCCATTACTGGGTATATACCCAAAGGACTATAAATCATGCTGCTATAAAGACACATGCACACGTATGTTTATTGTGGCACTATTCACAATAGCAAATACTTGGAACCAACCCAAATGTCCAACAATGATAGACTGGATTAAGAAAATGTGTCACATATACACCATGGAATACTATGCAGCCATAAAAAATGATGAGTTCATGTCCTTTGTAGGGACATGGATGAAATTGGAAATCATCATTGCCAGTAAACTATCGCAAGGACAAAAAACCAAACACCGCATGTTCTCACTCATAGGTGGGAATTGAACAATGAGAACACATGGACACAGGAAGGAGAACATCACACTCTGGGGACTGTTGTGGGGTGGGGGGAGGGGAGAGGGATAGCATTAGGAGATACACCTAATGCTAAATGACGAGTTAATGGGTGCAGCACACCAGCATGGCACATGTATACATATGTAACTAACCTTCACATTGTGCACATGTACCCTAAAACTTAAAGTATAATAATAATATAAAAAGATACATTATCAAACAAAATGAACAAAAAAGAAAAGAAAAAACAAAAACCAAAAAAAAATATTGAAACATCTTTCTTCGAAGTTTAAAGTTGCATTAAAGAGTAACAATTACAGAAATTATAGGTAGCCTTTAGTGATACAAGTGACATCTCAAAAGGAAGATGATTTATCTATTTCAAACTTTCCCTGCAAGTAATACTGGATGAAAATTAAATTGGCAAACATAATTAATAATCATGGGTTATTAATTACTTCTGCAAAGTGGGTGTGCTGATTTTAAAAGCTTGAATAAAACATAAATTTCCTTAATTTGATACTGCAAATGGAGTAATTTGGTTAATGTAAATGGTAATATTTAACTGATTTTTGCCTCAGATCTTACAACTTAAAATATTTTTCTAAAATTAGATTTTGTACCATCTCTCCAGCATGTTCCAGCCCATATCAGTCAGTCCAGGATTCTATAACAGAATGTCATGGACTGGATGGCTTACACAACAGACATTTATTTCTCAGAATTTTAGAAGCTGGAAAGTGCAAGATTAAGGTGCTGGCAAATTTGTTTCCTCGTGAGGTCTTCTTCCCAGCTTGCTTTTTCCTCACGTAGCAGATGGACAGAGAGAGAGAGAGACACAGAGAGAGAGAGAGAGAGAGAGAGAGCACTCTATAGACTTCCTGTTCTTATAAGGACACTAATTCCATTGATGAGGGTCCTAAGCTCATGACTTTGTCTAAACCTAATTAATTCTCAAAGACCTCACTTCCCAATACTGTCACATTGTGGGGTAGGGCTTTAACATATGAAATTTGAGGGAAAAGAAATATTCAGTCTAGAACAAAGCCCCATAAATTTCAAAAAGTTGTGGGACAGGAGGGAATGGGGATGGTATTCAATGGTACCACATCCAAGCAAGTCTTGTATGGTTAAAACAAAACAAAATCAATATAATAACATGAAATTTTACATAGAAACTGATCTGATTATAAACTGTTTGCTTACCATAATCAACATTCATATACATTGTTTTAAAAATACTTAATAGTGTTCTTTGTTTAACCAAATAATAGAGGCATTAACTAGTTTCCTAGTGCTGCCAAAAGAAATTGCTACAAAACTTGTGGCTTAAAATTGTTACAATAATAATAATAATAGTAATAATAATAATATCTCTCACTTATAGAGGCAAAAAGACCAAAATCCAGGCGTACTCAGGACCGTACTTCTTCTGATGGCTCTAGGGAAGAATCCTTCCCTGCCTCTTCTAGTTCCGGGTGGTTCCTGGTACTCCTTGGCTTGTGACAGCATAACTGTAACCTTTGTCTCTATCTTCACATGACCTTGCTTGTGTTTCTGTGTCCCAAATATCCATGACTCACTCTAAATTCCGGATGATCTCACCCTGAGATCTTTAACTTTATTTTATCTGTAAAGCTCCTATTTCAAAATAAGGTGACATTTACAGGTACTGGGAGGGGAGAGGGTCTAGGACTCAGACACACCTTTTTGAGGATACTGTGTGACCCATTACAAGGCACAAAGTAATTACCGTAGGCGAACTGCTTGTGAGAGCTCCCTCCAGTTTGGAATATATTCATGTTTCCATGTAAGAGAAAAATTCATCCCTGCTTCAGTTCATCTTAGCATCAGCACAAGGGTGGGATTCAGAGACATATAAGTGTGGAATACCAGACCCCACCACACTTAAAAAGCTGGCATACTAAGTTCATAAACAATGTGAAGTGTAAAGTTGAGTTGAGAATGCTTGTGTCATACAGTTTATGTATCTTATAATAGCCTTAATCACACTTTTAGTAATTTTCCCCTCCATTGGGTGCAAAAAATAAAATTAGTTAAAAATTGGATAGAATAAAAAATATATATATCTCTTTGAGTGGAAGAATGCTGCCATCACATTTTGTTATTTTATTCCATTGTATAAAGTCTCAGTAGTGCTCTCTTTATAAATGTATTGAAGGCTTGGCTAAATTATATCAAATTTGCGATTAAATACAAATGTGAATACTATAAAATATTACAAAGGACAATCCTAATACTATGCTATACCAATTGTACAATGGCTTACAGATGCCATAAATATTTACTTTAGGGGAGTAAAATAAGTTATAAAATAATATTTAAGAACACCTAAAATCCTTGAATAAGTTTAAAATGGTATTATTATTTGCAAAAAGTTGCATATGAAGTCAGCTGACTATTGAAAACTTTTCAATAACAGAAATATATACATTATCTAAAACACATATTCCAGTATTTTCAAGAAACAAAATACTGAATTAAATCATCTGTCTTTAAATGTTTATTTATTTTGGTTATAAAGGTCCATGAAAATGCTGAAAATTGGTTTATTTGATCTAAAAAATTAATATGCAATTTTTATTTTTAATGTATTATTTTTCCCATTTAGTCTTTTCTAAATAACACTTTCATCCAAAGTAGATGACTGAAGAAACAAAATGCTGTTTTCTTTATGAACTTGTAATACATTTCAATAATAACTAAGATACTGTTCATGGTGTTGAAGTGTACAATAAAACAAATTGCAGTTGAATAGTAGCAGAGTAGAAGCCGAAAAAAATAATGTATAAAAGTAGCTTAAAACAGATGATAGCAGAGCAGTTTCCTGCCAACGCTCTCTAAAAATCAGTCCTTTCAGGCTTTTGTGCTGGTATTAGATTTAAGTTATAGACAAGACATATATTTCTGACCTTTTCCTTTCCCTTTCTACACCCTGGGGTCAAAGTCTCCTATAAAAGGACATTTGCAGCAAGTATTTTCAGCTGGGGTAGGAGGAAAGGGCAGGAATAGGAAGCAGAGCAGTATGACCACCTCTTGCTCACTTGATTTGTAACTAGTGTGTAGTAAAGAATTTTGCTATACAAAAATAGTGTCTTAACTGGATTATTGTAAGACAAAGTATGCACTTTTCATGTCGTATTAGTATTTTGTTAATAATCCAGTCCATGATATTTTGTTAATAAGGCTAGGGAAACCTACTAAATCCCTATACTAAAGTGAATTTGATTCTCCCGCAGAAACTTAAATCCTCAGGGTGATACAACTCAGTCCTTCTACTACAGCAGCTCTTTTATAAATGCCTCCCAAAGCTCCAAGAAGGAACAAAGAACATGACCCAGTAAGCTCACACCATGAGTCTATATTGCAGAAACCTTTGTTCAAAAAATAAAACTGCAGATGCTCTATTGAATCCACTGGAGAATGTCCTGATACTAAGGACAAGTATATAAGCTAATGATTTTATTAATTTTAACATTTTTAAATGTTTTCCTTTGGGGAATTCTAATTTATATATCAATATTCAGGTAATATTTGCTGAAAACACAAACTCTGAGAGTCAAAATGATCTGCGTTCACATTCTCATTTTCTATTATAACATAAAGACAACTACTTTATTATCTTTTTAGAAACTTTCACAACTACTTTAGTTTCTTCCTAATTATATAAATTAATCTATCTCAAAAAACTTTGCCCAAAAGAGTTAGTAATAGCTATCAACTTCAGAAAAACTAAAACTTTAAAAATAACTTTTAGAAGGAAAATGAAATACAGAAATAATACATCTCATTTACACTTAAAAATAATATGAATTGTCACTATTTCCTATGAAAACATCTCATGCCAAGTTCTTTTATTAAGCTTGGATTTAAAATGTTATATTTCAGTTGCAACTGGTAGAATCTTAGTAAAATTATAATAAGAAATTGTTTATATTATATTTAATATAGAATAATTACATTTAATTCCACTTGTTAGCCTATTCTGATTATCTAGCAGGTTGATTCATAATTTACCAACTTGGGTCAGAAATATTTTCTATTCTTAGCTTTTGCTATCAGCAGAGATAATAATAATATAGAGCCTGAATAACAAAAGATTCTGTATTGTTTCAATTTAATTAAAGTTGATTCCCTGCTTTAAGAGAGACTCACATTTTACATTTTATATTTTTTAATTAAAAAGAGAACCTAGATATTTGCTTTTCCAAATTTCCCATAAGATAAGAAAGACTTATTTTTTCTTAATTACACCCTTGCTAAGTCACATTAGCTGCCTGACCTTGGACAAAATTCTTAACCTCTTTGTGTCTCATTTTCAATAACTGTGAATTAAAGATAATAATTATATATTTCTCAAGGGATTATTGTGTGAATTAAATAAAATAATCCTCTAAAATGCTTAGTACAGATTCTGGAACATAATGAGCAGAAAAAATTAATAACTATTATTATTTTTATTTAAGATATTATATGACATACTTTTTCTTTATTATCTTCAGGAGAATTTCTACTCATCTTAAAACTATATTTGACTAAACAAAATTTTAAAACAAAAATAAAAATATTGCAGCTGTGTTGGTTTTAACCATTCTAAGCTGATGAAATTTGCTTTCTGTTTGGTTTGTGACTAGGAAGCTAAACATTATTGGGACCAAAAATTTCTGGTGTCAAAAAATTCAAGAGGAAAACTGTTAGATTCTATTACAAATGGGTATATTTGAACTGTTAAGATTTAATTGTGAGTATGTAGATAATGCAAATATATCTTAGGGTACAACTTTTGTTCTCATTAAGTTACCCATTTTACATTTTGAGAACACTAACATAAATTCTTGTCAAAGAGAAGATCTAAGATGGTTTAAAGAAGATACTAAATGAAATCAAACTTACTTGTCAAGCTCCACAGCACAACTTACAACTCATAAATCACACTCTGTATGACAGCTACAGGAGGGATCTGGGTAGCCAAACAAAATGATGGATTTTATCCTTCTTGTTTTTGAGTTATTAAGAACTAGTTGAACTATAGAATGACGTGAAAGATTCACATCAGATATGGGAGGTTATTTGCAGAAACTCTCGTTTTCTTTATCACATTAATGTCAATATTCAACATTTCCGTATGACTAATTGTTGAACTAATTTTTGATTTCTTATGCCAACTATTAATAATCTTCCTTTCATCTAGAAAACAATCACTTTTCATCTATCTGTAAATTGATATTTGTTATGTTAATTTATTTTTGCTTATTACAAGGATTACCTTTTATTTACAACAAAGCATTCATAGATTTGTCTTCAATCAAATCTCATAAAAGTTAATTGAATTATTGAAAGGAATTTGTAAATTATTGTGTTTTTTCTAAAATAACATCAGCATGTATATTACATTAATTTTGTTTACTGTTTTTTGCTTCACATTAACTATATTTAACTGATTTTAACAGTCTTAGATAATTCCAAAACATCAATTATTTTACTTGGATTTATTAATTCATTCAAAAAAAATACATAATGAGAATCTATTGTTTGCCAGGCACTGGGCTAGGCAAAGGTAAGAGTAAATGGCAAAAATTATGTTCTCCCTGTTTTCCTGTAATATATTGCCTGGCTAAAGGCTGTGAAGGAAGAGTAATGTGAAGGAAGAGCATTCAAAGGATATAAGAAAAGGGCTCACAGAATTAAGTGTATGTAGGCTGTTCTTAGGGAAAACTTCTAGAGGTGGTACTTGGCCTTCAGTAAGAAGTATGATTTGATATTTGATGTTAACTAGGTAATTGAGGGGATAAGGTGCTTTCTCAGCAGAAAGGACATAGTAGGCAAAGTTTTTAAGATAAAAGCATAGTGAAAGCTCAAAACTAAAAGGAGGCTTGTGTGTCTGGACTCCAGAGACAGGAAGAGAGTTTAGAGAATCTAGCAGAGATAGCAGAGAAGACTTTATCTTTTTTTTTTCTTTTTTTTTTCAGTAGCAACCATCTTTCCTGTGAAAAAACCCCTCTCCTAGTACTTTAGTTCTGTGGATCCAAAAATTATAGCATTTTTCTACCACCATAGGGGTGAGAATATAGTAAAAAATGTCAGTTATTCAAGCATGTAAGAAACTTGGAAGTCATCACTCCCATCCTTACAAGAAAAATGCTGTATAAACAGAGTATCAACAACTCATTTTAAATCCGTTAGGGGACTGAGGCCACAGAACAAACTGCTGCCCCCACCCTAAATCTCCACTTAATTAGAGAGATGGGGAAATGCAAAGAATTGTAGCATAGTGGAGCAAAAGCCCAGGAGCCCCCATAGATGTTAGTAATGGAGCAGAAAACTTTAACATGTAGTTGATTAATTTCTGGAAGCGCATTGTGGACAAGCTTGAGAGTTAACTTTGAAAAATATATAACATGATAATACTAATTAAAAGAAAGCTGGATTAATATATTAATTTCCAACAAAAAGACTTCAGAGCAAGAATAATTATAGGGGGATACAAAAGCGATATTACATAGTCACAAAGGGTTTAATTTTCCAAGAAAACATAACAATCCTTAATGTGTTTGCATGTAACGGGCTGTCAATAACACATGAGGTGAAAACAGATAGAACTGCAAGAACAGACAGATAAATCTACTATTATAATTGGAGATGTTAACATCTCCCTATCTATAATGAATAGAACCAGCAGGTGGAAAATCAGTAGGGGCATAGTTCAACTGAATAGCACCAAAATCAGTGAGTCCCAGTCTCTCTTCCTGGAAGTTGATTCTTGAGCAGGGACGTCAGGAGTAGAGTGATTCCAGACCATATCTAATAACAAATAAATTAGAATCTGGATATGATATTTAGGCATTTGTTTCTTTAAAAAATTGCCCCAGGTGATTCCATTGTGAATCTAATGTTGAGAAATAATATGCACAGTCATTTTCTTTGAATTCATTCTGCCTGAGATATCTAGAGTTGTTTTGGTTCTTGACAATGTTTTGTTTAGCAATTCATTCAATGTTGTGAATTAACTTTCAAGAAATGCCTTTTCCTTGCTGTAAAATTATATTGTTTTATGTTATTATAATTTTTAAATTGTGATAAAAATTGCTATCTCAATGTTAGTCAAAGGAAACAAAATTTAAATTGACAGGAGAAGTAAATTTCAGAGATCTATTGTACATTATGTAATAGATCTATAGTGACTGTAGTTATAGCGACTATGGCAATAGTGACTATAGTTAATAACAATAGTATATAATTTAAAATAACTTAAAAATTATTGAGAGTAGATTTTAAGTATTCTACATGTTATTTTCTTTGTGACGTGTGCATCTTCTGTCAGCTTCCATGGGAAATTTGACATTGCAACCTCACCTGAGGCCATCACTTTTTCCTTGATGCTGCAAACCATCCTATCATGTGTTTGTACCACATCAATAGTGAAACTGACAGTGTTCTGATAGGGGTATAATCTTTTATCCCAATCTACATCCCGATACCCAATAGCCCAGTATTCTTAGAATCCAGTTGTGTTCATACTCTCCTGGATCATTTCTGTTCTTTTGTAATATAGTCCCTTTCTTCCCTTATAGGCTTATAACAATGTTAACAGACACTTTTCAGAAAGGTAGGTAAATAATCTGTTCAAATCTTACTACTGTTGTTTAACGGAAACTTATATATGCATGTATAGGTGTGTACTGTATGAAAAAAGTGGAATTAGAGTTTATCTAGAAAAGAAAAAATTACCTCATCTAAGTACAGAAATGAGTAATCCTTAAACCAAATCATACAATTGTCTCTATCATATTTCCACAGATAAGTCAAACATTTAAAAAATCTTATTGTTCTTGCATAAATGCAGAAAACAATACATCTAGGATATGTTTGTATTCTATTGTACTTTCACAGAAACTGATTCTTAATACTATGGTTATTAAGAAAATAATCTTTGCAATGGTTTTGGAATTAAATTTTCATGTAAAAATGATTATGTAGATCAAAATAAGTTGCAATTTTCTGGACTCCTGATATTTTAAATAACAGTAGTTTCCAAAGGTGATTTATTCATTATTTTAATTTTTAATGTAAATTTTCACAATATAATCATGCTATATAATTGTATTTTTCAACTATTATTTTTGTCAACTCATTATTAAGAAACAATACTTATAAATGTTAACTTATAATTCTTAAGTTATAATTAAAAAATCACAGCTTGTTGAATGAAATATCTGATTTATTACTCCCTGAGTCAACATTAAATTATTGTATTGCTATATCATGTATTTTGATGGTCATAACCCTAGGTTTATATAGCAATTTCACTCCACTTTCATTTACATACCTAGGAAAGTTGCAGTTAATTCCAATTTGAATAATATCATTGTAACTAAATTTATCACGAATCTCAACATGACAATTTAGTAGTTAATCTCCATTTCATTTTACTTTTGCACAACTTTTCCAATGAAGTGATCCTCTGATATTAGGACTAGTTGAAATCTTAGGGCAAATATATAAATTGCTTAAAAGGAAGTCTTAAGATGCTTTAACTCATGCATTGAATTTGAACATAGAAATGAGAGCAAAGCTTGGATAATTTTATAATGAAATGCTAAGCATGTTTTCCCCTCAAGGAAACATTTAAAGTCAGCTTTCAAACTGAATATTACTTAAACATCAATCATTTAACTGTACAGCATAGGACATTTTGGGCATGGCAAATTCTAATGGAGGAGACTGCTAGAAATTCTCAGCCACATAGAAATCTGACTGCTTAATTTTGAAAGCTGCAGAGCTGTTAGTAAATTTTTTTATCTTGTTTTTACATGTAACTCAGAAACTACTTTGAAAAACTCTCAATACTTTTTGTGGCTGGGTGCAGTAACTCACGCCTGTAATCCAAACACTTTGGGAGACCAAGGTGGGTGGATCACCTGAGATCTGGAGTTCGAGACCAGCCTGGCCAACAAGGTGAAACCCCAACTCTATTAAAAATACAAAAACTAGCTGGGCATGGTGGCACACGCCTGTATTCCCAGCTACTCAGGAGGCTGAGGCAGGAGAATCACCTGAACCTGGGGGACGGAGGTTGCAGTGAGCCAAGATCACGCCACTGCACTCCAGCCTGGGCAGCAAGAGAGAAACTCAATCTCAAAAAATAAATAAATAAATAAATATAAAAATAAATAAAAGAAAAGGAAAAAATACTTTTTACTTTATTTCTCCCAAAATACGTCAAAAATTACATAATGGCACACTTGCTTTTTCTGTAGTCAAAACCATTTGTAAATAAACTTGAAATGTACAGTGTAGAATCCAAGAGCAGAAAATAAAGGCTGAACATAGAACTAAGAACCTGTCCAACATCAAGGCAGTGGCTTTTTATCAATTTC
The DNA here is from genome assembly GCF_000001405.40 of Homo sapiens. NCBI lineage: Eukaryota > Metazoa > Chordata > Mammalia > Primates > Hominidae > Homo > Homo sapiens. The sequence goes on along the minus strand of NC_000017.11, from coordinate 22,622,831 downwards.
TCTCACTCCAGGGCAACATTTGTTCCCTTACTCTTGTACTCTTTGTATCTCCACTGCTTGCCTGTGGCTCAATATTATTCTTTATAACATTACGGAGGCTATTTGGCTTTGCTCATCCAGTATGCATACCTATTATATTCTTCATCTCAATTGGAATTCTCAAGTGAAAGAGGCTTACTGATTTCTAATCAATAAATGGATAACTTCCACCTAAATCAAGTGTTCATTCATTGTCCAATCCACTGGATCAGGTGGGCCTGAATCATACATGGAAGGAAACTTCCTAACATGCTGAATGGATTGGCTCTCACAGAAGATGTTCTTGAGTGAGCAGGTTTCCTTACAAAAATATAATATACTAAGACTGTGGTATTCAGACAGCTCTTCAATCTTGAAGGGAACCGTGGAAGTAAATGAGGGGTGACATGGCTTATCAAATAGTGTGGACCAGGTGAGCTCTAGGCTTCTCAATGTCACTTAAGGTAATTACCTGCACTTTCATCTGTTTTATAATATTGCCTTTATTTTTTTCCATGAAAGAGTTAGGTTTGGAAAAACAAGAAAAACAAGCTTAAAATTCTTTCTCTAGTGAATTGGTTGTGTTTATAAATCTTTACCTTAGCTTGAGTCCCCGTTTGTGAAATGTATAAATCCTTTTGATACATTAACAAACACTTGGAAAATGACTTAACTTATTAAGTTGAATTATCTAATATAAGGGTTGTAAGTGAAGGCTTAATTACTCAGCATTACTGAATTCAATATACCTGCCTTTTCAGTTTGCCTAGGGTGACAAATACATTTCCCATTACAGCTTGCCAATGTAACGCAGCCTTATTTCATTTTTATTGTAAATAAAAGCACATTCTAATATGTTTTAGCTGAATACAGCAATGTATATATTCAACTACTTCCCAATAGGGAAAATTTAAAAAAGTTATTTATTTAGCCCAGAGCTTTAGTTTCCTTTTACATAACCAAAAAATACTTCGTGTGAAATAAAACCTTTTTACAGGTAATGAGACCCCATAGAATTTTAATGAAAGACAATTGAAGACCCATTTTTAAATAAGCCATTGGGAAGAATTAATATAATTAAGAATAGAAAGAACTAGATAAGGATATAAAAACAATTAACCTAGGAATATTTCTGTATTTCTTCCTCATTTTCTTGAGTTTTAAAAGACATTGAAACATTTTGACAGCTATAGAAAATGACCTAGGAACCAATATACTATTTCTGACATAAAATGATATGCTTTTTCTAGTTCTCATAAAACTCAGCATAAAACTATATACCTAATAGTTATCTAAAAGGAGTTCCTAAAAATAAATATATACATTATTAATATGTGACATGTGTGAGTTACTTTTGAAAAACTACAAAATTATTCAAAATGCTTTAACATACGATTTAGTGAGTATCAATCTGGTATCCATTTCTTGATTCTGTTTTTTCATAGTGCACTCTTAAATATATATGTTAATACTTTTGAATAAGTGATTTATTCTATGAAATGTTTTAATGAGCAAAATGAATCTATATAAAGCAACTTCATTTATATTTTGTTCCTGTCATGTCACATTGCTGAAATTTTGTATTATACTGGACATGACTCATTTTTAAATATGTAATAGTATATGAAGTTCTCAATGTTAATGTCTGGAGGATACAGAATAAAAATAGAAGAAAAGTTAAAAAAATTAAATGTAAACTATCTTTGCATATGAATAAGAATATTACAAATACCATATTTACATACTATGTTTATATATCTTTACACTGCCAAAAGGCATATATGGCAGGTAGAGAATAATAATATCTCTGAATAAATATAAAATCAAGATACATAATATTTTTAAATGTTTTTCATTGAAGTGTAATTGACATAAACTGAACATAATCCAGTGTATATTATTTTTAAAGTTTTGGCATATTGGTACATAAGAAAACACCATGGCGATCAAGATAATGAACATATTCATTTCCCCAAAGTTGCTTTGTGTCTTTAGTAATGGCTTCTTCCCCTCTTCCCTACTTAATCTCCATGCAACTACTAATCTATTTCTGATACTACAGAATGGTTTACACTTGGTAGAATTTTATGTAAATGTAATCACACAAAATCTATTCTTTTTTGTCTGTCTTTTGCACTCAACATAACTACTCTGACTTTCACCTATGTTGATACTGGTAACAATAGTTCATTCTTTTTTAAATTAATAGATTTTATTTTGAGAACAATTTTAGGTTTATAGAAAAAACTAACAAAGCACAGAGAATTTCCAAACACTTTCTTCTACCCTCCATATTCTTTATGATTAGTATCTTGCATTAGTGTGGTGCCTTTGTTATAACTGATGCATCCGTATTGACATATTATTATAAATGAAAGTCCATATATTAGTTTTATATTAGGGTTCACTCTTGGCATTATACATTTCATGGGCTGGGACAAGTGCATATGTCATGTACCCACTACTATGGTATTATAAGAATAGTTTTACTTTCTTAAAAATTTCTGTGCTTGATTTATTCATCCTTTCCCTTGGAGACTACTGGAAATTCTGATCTTTTTATAGATTTTCCCCTTTTTAAGAATGTTACATCATTGGAATGATACAGTGTACAGCCTCTTCAGATTAGCTTCTTTCACTTAGTTATATGTACTCTAGGTTCTTGCATATTTTGTATGGCTTGATAGCTTATTCTTTTAACACTGAATATCCCATTTTATAGATATGCCAGTTTATTGAGCCATCACTCACCTGTTGGGGGCATCTTAGTAGCTACCAAGTTTTGTTACGAGAAAAGCTGTTTTAAGGAGTCATGTGACATTTTTGTGTAGAAAGATTTTTGACTCATTTGGATAGGGGTGAAGTTACTGGTCCATGTGGTAAGACTACATTTAACTTTGTAAGAAATGCAAAACTATCTTCTAACGTGGTTGTGCCATTTTGCATTCCCACAAGCAATCAATAAGTTTCCCTTGCTCTTTATCCTCAACACAATTTAGTGTTGTCAGTGATTTGGATTTTAGCCATTTTAGTAGGCATGTGGTGGTATCTTGTTCTAATGAGCAGTTCTCTAACAATATATGATGTTGAGCATATTTCATTTACTTATTTGCCATTAATATGTTTCCCTTGGTGAAATGTCTGTTCAGATCTCCTGCCCACTTTTTAACTGGATTATTTAACTTTTTTTCTTTTTGAGTTTTAAGAGTTCTGTGGGGTGCTCATACCAGTTCTTCATTGGATACATGTTTTGTAAATATTGTCTCCCAGTCTTGGCTTGTTTTTTAAATATAAACTATGTCTTTCCTAGAGCAGAAGTACTAACTTATATAAAATTCAATTTATAATATTCTTCTATAGTCTCGCATTTTTATATTTAAATCTATTATCCATTCTTGTATATTGTGTAAACACAGTGTCTAGATTCTTTTTTTGGATGTGGATGTCCAATTGTTCCAGCACCATTTGCTGAAAATATGGTTTTATGTGTGTGTGAAGTTATATCTCATGTTATGAGTATACCGTGTTGGATTTATTTATTCACCCATTGATAAACTTTGGGTTGTTGACAGTTTAGTCTTATTATAAATAAGTTTGCCATGGACACTTGTAAACACATTCTTATATGTATAATATGCTCTACTGTTTTCTGCTTAAAGAACAACAGTAGAGTAAGTAGGTAAAATAGTGGGTGTCTATTTAACTTTGTAAGAAACAATCCATTTTTTTCTCCAGAGTGGCTGTATCATTTACTTTCCTACCATCAGTATTTGAGAGCTACAGATTTTTTAAATCATCACCAACACACAAGATGATGAGTATTTTTAATTATATTTATTCTAGTAGGTGTGGAATGGCATCTCATTTAATTTGTATTTCTCCAATGGCTAAAGATATTGAACATCTTTCGATGTGATTATTTGCTGTCTCTGAATTTCCTCTGGCAAAGTATGTGTTCAAATATATTCTTTTCCTTATTGTTTATTATTGGACTGTAATTTGCCTTAAAATTGAGTTTACATATTTTGGATACACATCCTTTATCAGACATAATTTGGAAATGTCTATTACAAGTTTGAGTCATTTAGGCTAGAAATATAGAATTTTTTGTTTTTATGAAGTCATATTTACTGTTGTTGTAATTGGTTTTTTTGCTTGTTCTCTAGGTTGTTCTTTGGGCCACATCTAAGAAACCTTTGTCTAGCCAAAAGCCACAGATAATTTCTCATTTTTTGGTTTCTGGGAGATATACAGTTAAATTTTATATTTAGAACTGTTATCTAATTTGATTAAATTGCTCTCTATGATATGATATTTGAATTGATGAAAAATTAGTAAATATTAATATTTTTTAAAGTGGCCAAATCTTGCAATTTATATCTAATGGAGAAGACTAGAAAATCCCCCATATTTATTTCCTCTTACTTCATACTATTAAAATTTGTATTTAGGCATTTGGTTTCTCAGATAAACATTACATTCCCCAGTATATGGTTCTATCTGGCTTGGTGACAACACGATGAGCATTAAGATGTGAGTAAAAGTAATACATACACATTCTTTTCAATGTCTTTAATTGAATGGGATATCGGCCCATTTTTCTTCTGGTTTATTACACTGAATATTGACGTTATTTTCCAATATTGAGACAGTCAGACAATGACAAGACTTTAAGAGTAACAATGTAAAAATTATAGAAGTTGTCTCAGTTTATCAACAATCCCCTGGATTAGAGACCCCTACCAGTCCTAGGCCATCTAATATATGGACATTTTGTTCAGTAGAAATAAATATATATTTTTTATTGTACTTTAAGTTCTAGGGCACACGTGCACAACGTGCAGGTTTGTTACATAGGTATAAATGTGCCATGTTGGTTTGCTGCACCCGCTAACTCCTCATTTACATTAGGTATTTCTCCTAATGCTATCCCTGCCTCTCTGCCCCCACCCCACGACAGGCCCAGGGGTGTGATGTTCCCTGCCCTGTGTCTAAGTGTTCTCACCTGTTCAATTTCCCACCTACAGGAATAAATTTTTAAATCATTTTTCAAAGGTTTTATTACATTCTGATTGAACATTTTCAGAAAGAATAAATAATTTAATACAAGAAGTGGGCCACTTCATGTTACAAAACAAACAAAGCACCAATAAGAAACAACAACAAAAAACACTAATGAATGTGGCTTTATCTTTGCAACAGCATGACAGACTAGCAAGTTAATGACATTTGTTATGCGATAGAAAATATTTGTTGAATTGCCACTCTAATGACTTTATATCAACCAACTCGTTATCGACACTAGAAAAGATTAAAAAATACTTCAGTATATTCACATGTTGGCTTGTTAACATTTTTAAGAGTCTATAAGAGAAAAATGCATCCAATGTCGACAAAAATATTTTTCAAGTATGTTGTATGTACCTACAACTAACTACTTTGTGAACAAAAGTCTCTATATAAGTATATAATTTCTGACACTTAAAAAAGCTTCCTGTGCAAAAGAATATATATGTTCTAATACTAAATTCACTTATAAAATAATTGACTTATTTAAATAATTTAAGATGCTCTTATATATTTATATTAAAAACATGGCAGCGAATAAAAAGACATTATACAGGCTACTTATGGTTTGTTTGTTTGTTTGTTTGTTTGTTTTGAGACGGAGTCTCGCTGTGTCGCCCAGGCTGGAGTGCAGTGGCGCCATCTCCGCTCACTGCAAGCTCCGCCTCCGGGGTTCACGCCATTCTTCTGCCTCAGCCTCTTGATTAGCTGGGACTACAGGCGCCCACCACGACGTCCGGCTAATTTTTTTGTATTTTTCGTATCGACGGGGTTTCACCATCTTAGCCACGATGGTCTCAATCTCCTGACCTCATGATCTGCCTGCCTTGGCCAAAGTGTTGGGATTACAGGCTTGAGCCACCGCGCCCAGCCCTACTTATGGTTTTTGATGTTTTGGTCTACAATACATTTATCAGATTGTGGAAATAAATCAAACAATATATTTAATTGGACTCAATTGCATTATTGCATGCCACGCGTCGTATACCATCTGTTTGCACATAACACTTTTTAATTTAAGTAAAATTATTATCATAAAGTTATATGAATTTATTTTATTCCATGTTATTATTTACACATCGTTAGGAACATTTCCTTAAAAATTATATTTGGACATAGTAAGTATCAGATACTTTACATCTTTGGAATCAGTTATTTTATAACAGTATATACTAAACATCATTACTCCTTCTCAAACTTAAATAATGCAATACAAATTGGACAAAAATTTCAGGGAAGATCTGGGATCAAAAAGGAGGTATTGAAACATCACATGTACTCCATAATTACATACAAATATTTTGTACCCATAATATTTAAAATACAAAAAATTAAAAGGTACATTTTCCTCAAAGTGCATGTTTCTTTTGCTATGCAAAACTGCAGGATATGGAAAGAAGTGTTTTAAACCACTGAATCATTTTATGTGTAGGATAAAAGGGATGGTAACTTTCACGCGCGTCCATGTGAAGAGACCACAAAACAGGCTCTGTGTGAGCAATAAAGCTTTTTAATCACCTGGGTGCAGGCGGGATGAGTCCAAAAAGAGAATCAGCGAAGGGAGATAGGGGTGGGGCTGTTTTATAAGATTTGGGTAGGTAAAGGAAAATTACAGTCAAAGGCGGCTTGTTCTCTGGCAGGCAGGCATGGGGGGTCACAAGGTGCTCAGTGGGGGAGCTTTTTGAGTCAGGATGAGCCCGGAAAAGGGATTTCACAAGGTAATGTCATCAGTTAAGGCAAGGACCAGCCATTTTCACTTATTTTGTGGTGGAATGTCATCACTTAAGGCAAGGGCCAGCCATTTTCACTCCTTTTGTGGTGGAATGTCATCAGTTAAGGCAGGAACAGGCCATTTGGATGTGTACCTACAGGTCACAGGGGATATGATGGCTTAGCTTGGGCTCAGAGGCCTGACAGCACCAAATGTCCCATTTCATGTAGTGCACTGATACATTCAATACAAACTTCAAGATAACATGAGAAAGTTAAATTATTTAACTTATTTCAAACTAGGGGATAGTATGTTCTCATTATTATAAGCCAGAATTCTGCTTATCCATTTCTATTATTAGAACAAAAACATATTTATTCTTGTCTTAAAAATAGACACCTTAATATAATTCTTCGTAAATACAACATGATAGTCTGTTTACAGAGTTTATATCATTCCAAGACTGCATTTCTAAAGTGAGAAAATATTAAAGGATATAAATTCACTCCTCTCCACAAAATTCCGTATTTGTTATGCAATGGCTTGAAAATGTATGGAAGGGAAGTATGGAAACACTCCATACCTGGAAAGCATTCTATCTATGCCTTTGAAATAATGGTTATTTAGTACTAGATTCTCATCAGTGCTTATCTATGTAATGTGTATAGCTTAAGGTTTTTAAGAAAGAAGGATAACGTGCTCAATATAAATTATTTCAAGCACTTTTATTGGAATATTGAGTCATATATTTGCTTTCCGTAAGTCCTTTTATCTATAAAGTATTAGTTGAGAAAGGCAAATTGTAGGGTGGTAAATGAAAACCAAATTTTTCATTCACCACATTAAATGTAAACGGATATATACTCTATTTAAGATCAAAGTTGCTCTTTATTTCATTTTATTTTTTTGAGACTGAGTCTCACACTCTCACTTGGACTGGAGTGCAATGGCGCGATCTTGCCTCACTGCAACCGTTGCCTCCCAGGTTCAAGCGATTCTCCTGCCTCAGCCTCCCGTGTAGCTTCTTAAGATGTAAAGATTTTTAAATTAAGATGATTCTTGGGATGAACCGTTTTGTGTTGGTTGAAGATTTTTGTTTCCGTATTTTCATCATTTTTAACTTTTATTTTCAGTTCAATGGCACCTGTGTAGGTTTGTTATGTGGCAAACTAGTGTCACAGAGGTTTGTTGTGCACATTATTTCACCACCCAGCTATTAAGCCTAGTACCCATTAGTTGTTTTTCCTGATCTTCAACTTCCTCCCACCCTCCACACTCCCAGAGACCCCAGTGCCTGTTGCTTCCCTCTATGTGTTCATGTGTTCTCATAATTTAGCTCCCACTTGTAAATGAGAACATGCAGTATTTGGTTTTCTGTTCTTGCATTAGTTTGCTAAGGATGAAGACCTCCATCCAGCTCCCTCCATGTTCCTGCAAATGACTTGATCTCACTCTTTTTTATGGCCACCTAGTATTCCATGGTGTATATGAACCACAAAATAAAGATGGTTCCTAACTTTTAAGTTAAGATTTTTGAATTAAAACGAATCTTGATTTTTAAATTAGGATCGTTTCAAGATAGTTTTATAGATAGATTAGATAATCTATCTAGAGCTAGATAGGTAGAGATATCAATTGATAGATATCTATCTAGATATAGGTAGATGGTTCTCTATATAGACCTATCTATATATCTATATATGTCTACACATAACTCTATACAGATATATATTTATATCTACATCTATATTTCTACATGTGCATAGATATATATACATAGTTATCTATGTATGTATATACCTGCATATCTATATCTATATGTATATAGATATCATATACACACCTAGAGATATATATTGGTATGTAGATATATATGTAGATATACATATATAGCTATCTACATATATACATTTATAAACATAGATATAAATATTAATATATCTATAAGTATATATACATATACATATCTGTATCTGTAGAAGACATATACTATCTTCTATCTATATATCTTCTATCTTCTATCTATGGAACCATCTAAATTTAAAAATTTCATATATGTATATAAAAGATAAACACAAGCCAAATGAAAATTTGTTTAGCTATGTTAATATTAGACAATAGAGATTTTAAGGCAGAAATTATTACCTGAGAGGAAGATGTATACATCATTCACATAAAAGAATCAATTATTGAGGAAGTTGTCTAACTTGTGTATTTATATTCACGCACACACAGTTAATGCGCATGCATAATTTATAGAACTAAAAGGAGCAATAGGCACATCTTCAATCATAAAGACTTTAATACACATTTTTGATACATGATAGCAAAAAGGATACAAAATATCAATAATACAAACATTTAAAGCAGTAGAATTAAATACTTTGACATAAAAACTGCACTCAAAAACAGCAAAACATACAATTTATTATAGTGTATTTGGAACATGTTTCAAAATTTACCATAGATATCTATAGATATCTCTGTCTAGGTAGATAGATGATAGATGATAGATAGGTAGATAGATAGATAGATAGATAGATAGATAGATAGATAGATAGATAGAGGCTGAGGTTAGGCCCCAAGCAAGAATCAATAAATACCAAAAATTTGAAATCTTTGACAGTGTTTTTTGTACAACAATGTTATTAAGCTGGAAATCTATAGCAAGACTTTGAAAGTTAACAAATGTTTGGAAATTAAGCATCACATTTCTAAGTTATTCATGGATCAAAAAAGTAATTACAGTGAACATTAAAATATATTTTGAATTTAATAAAAATGAAAGTAAAAATACTGCTTGTTAAAAGTTGGGAGACTTAGGCAAACCTCAGCTTGGAGATAAATATATGGTTACATAAATATGTTAAAAAAATAAAGTTTGAAAATTAATAATGTAATCGTCAATCTCAAAAATTTTAAATGTAATGTCAAATTAAATCCAAAGAATTAAAAAAGAGAATATAAATAAGAAGCAGGAGAAAAAGAAACAATCATAAAATAAATGAAATCAGCAAAAGCCAAAGTTACTATGAAAAGACTGATAAAAATATACCATGATTATGCATGAAATTAAAAAAGAATATCCACAAATTCTAAATATCATGAATAATGAGGAAATCATTATAGATTCTATAGTCACGAGAGAGAAAAAGAGAATGTAATAAGTAACTTTAAGTCAAAAATTGTGAAATAATTTGATGAAATAGAAGACATTTCTAAAAAATCGTAAATAGTGACACAAGAATAGCAAATCTGAGTAGCTCTATATCTGTTAAAAGTAAAATTGTAATTGAAGCTTTCCAAATGTAGTGAGTCTAAATCAAGTAAAATATTAAAAATCTGAAATGTTTCCAGGAAGAAACATTGAATTCCTAATATAAAATATAACATATTATATTCAATCCCTTTACTGAAAATTGTGAAAGATTAAGAGAAATTAAAGACATTCAACAGAAATAAAGATGTACCATGTTTCTTTGTTATTCCTAGTATTAGAAGAAAGAGTCAGTATTTTAAATAAATCTATATTTGTAATACACTGAAAATCACAATACTGTGATTAGTAATAGTGTAATTTGTCTGCATTATATTTGGCGGCAACTGAAAAACTGACTGTAAAATGCAAATAAAAACGCAGTGCATAAATAACTTTGAAGAAAAAATATAATGTGAAGACTTTATTAAAGTTTTTATAAATGTATATTAATTATGACATTATGGAAAAGGTGCAAGTATAGATATTTCAATGAAACAGAATGGAGAACTCATAAAGAGAACCACACAACAATATATTTAGCTGATTTGTGAAAAAAATAGTGCTTCAGTACAGCAAGGAAAAGATGTATTTTCAATAAATTGTGCTGTCTTTCATAAATCCATAGAGAAAAATGAATATTAACATCCAACTTCACAACATACACAAAAATTATTTCATATAGAAGCCAATGTGTAACATAAAACAGTACAGTTTTTAAAAAGTAATATAGAGGGCACTTCTATGACCTTAAGATTTAAAAAAAGACTAAAAAACTAACCACTGAAGGCTAATAAATAAGATAAATAAGTTAATAGTAATAAAATAACATAAACAAGGATTTGTAATCATAAAATAACTCACTGAGAGTGAAAAGGCTAGCAACAGAATGGGTAATGAAATTTGCAATATAAATACAGTAAGAACTCTTAAAAGATACTTTTTAAACTTCACAAATGAATTTTTTGAAAAAAAAAACATGGTCAGGTACGGTGGCTCACAACATTAATCCCAGCACTTTGGGAGGGCAAAGTGGGAGGACTACTTGAGCCCAGGGATCTGAGACCTGTCTGGGCAACATAGTGAGAGAACTCTGCCTATACAAAAAATTTAAAAAATTAGCCAGGCATGGTGGCTCTGGCCTGTAGTCCCAGCTACTCCTGAGTAGCTAGGCTCTTTTGAGTCGGGGAGGTCAAGGATGCAGTGAGCTCTAATCAACCACTGCACTCCAGCCTGGGTGACAGAGTTAGAACCATCTCCAAAAAAAAAAAAATTAATAAATAAGAAATAAAAGTACAACCAAATGAAACATCAAGAAAGGCCTTTTCAAAGCACTTTACCACACAGAATTAAAAAAAAAATTAAAGAAAGAAAAAAATAAAAGGAAATCAAGCTACTTTTATTAAATACAAATTAAAAATAAAAATAAATTCTACTCTATAATTACTAAAAAGCTAAACTTTAAAAAATAAAGTGTATTTAGGGTTTCTATAGAAGCTGCACAAACGAAATTTGCACGCACTGATGAAGGGAATGTAAATCACTACGACTCTGAAAAACATTCGACTTAATCTTGTAATGAACGTAATGAACGTATCCTTTCGACCTCATTGCCCAAATCCATCCTGACTATATATGCATACAGGTGTTTGCATGTTTGTGTGTATGTATTCATATATACAGTGTGTGTATATATAGTGTGTATATAGAAATACATAAATGTGTACATATACTTCCTCCTAAAGATATGTATAATAATCTTTCTAGAAACATAATTTATATTAGATCCAAACTGGAAAAATAGATATCAAATATGGAATAAATAAGTACAATGTGTTGTTTACACACAAACTGCATGTTGAGTGAAATAAATAACTGTAAAGTATGAACAGATGTGAGGATAATGGTGAGAGGGAGAGTTACTACTGTGTAGGGGAAAGAAGGAATTTCCTAGGATTCAGCTCAGATTTTATTACTTCACATGAGTCATCTTTATAATGCTGTGCTGACTTTTGGATAATTTTTCAGCCTGTACATTTGATGTTGGTACATATGTCAGTGTTATACTACAATACATATTTTAAAAATCAACATTCCAGAGTGTTATGAAGTGGATAAATTCCTTTAATTTGAAATCATATTTCTTATATTTTAATTAGAGCTGCCTTTCTAACTGCCTGAAATTAGGCAAGTTAGTAACTTGTCTGTTGAGTTTACTCACCTGAAAACAAGGAATAAGAGTAGCACCTTCACAGGTTAATAATGAGACTTAATCAGTTTAATACTTATAAAAAGCTTACAATTGTACAGACCTACATTAAGTTCCACATAAGTGTATAATAAACAAAAATTATCAATTATTAAATTAATACTACTTGTCTATCCCTATAACAGGTGCTAGGAAAATAAATGTTATCCTTTCCTTCCCTTAAGGAAAACAAAGACTGTTAGAAAATATTAATGTGAAAAGTGATAATAGCTATGGAACAGTGTTCTCAGAGTAAGATACTCAAACTTTTTGTATAAGAATCTTCTTAGTATATTTTTGAATTTATTCTAAAAATTATTGTGAGCAAATTTAGCATTGGGGCTAGAAAGTCCATTTAAAAAATAATGGCAATTTTTGTAAATGCTAAAGGTGAAGAGCCAAGGCTGTATATTATGAAAAAAATGACACAAGAAGAAGTAACAACACAGGTTTGCTTATGAAGGTCAAGAGAAGCTTTCAAAAATACTGAGATCCAGGACCGGAATCTTAGAAAAGAATAGGAATTTTCCAAATGGTCAAGTAAGGTAAAACTATTCCAGGAAAATTAAACCATATGAGCCAAGGCCAAGAAAACTAAAATTATATATAGTATTTCAAACATTTAAAGTTTGATACAGCAGGAACCTAGGTGCTAATGAGAAGCATTTAGAAATAAAGCAAAAGCCAAATCTCTGTCATAAGATGTTTGGACACAATCAAAGCAGCAACGAGAAAATGAGTGAAAAGATTTAATCCCAGAAGAAAGGCACATATTTATTTAATCCTAGAAACACACACACACACACACACACACACACACACAGCATCATTAGAAATAAGGCTTAGAATAAATTACCAGTGAAAATGAATGTTGATTTTTTATATTTTTATGAAAAGGTTTCATCCCTTTCATATCATTTGCATATATCCATATATGCAACCTTCAGTAATGTAATGTTTATAATGATCATGGTATTGTACTCCTCAATATTTTGACATTTCCCTCTCAGTCTTCCTTTTATATAAACTCCACAAAACTTGTTCAAGTCTCTCCAGACTTTATTATCTTCTGAATTGCTGCCTTGATCAGCCAAGATCTTTTTGAACTTGGGGTAAAGATGCATTTTATCAGCCACCATCCAGTCAGATCAATTTGTTTGTGCCAAAATTGAGATCTCTTTTTATGTCCGTTTGATTTATGTGGAGTCACAAATACCAAGGCATTCATTCCTCAGGGGATTCACCTGCCAAACATTCACAAAAACTGTTTTCTTTTTTTTTTTTCTTTTCAAGCATTTTATTGCTTATTATTTTCCAGTTTCTCAGTTGATATTCACTTCATTCTCTCGTGCACTGCTACAATAAGGATTGCTCAAAGAGTTTGTGATAATAACAACTTTTATCTTGGAATGCAGTAACTAATTTTTAACAACCCAACTACTCTAAATCACTAGACATCAGCATTGCTATCAGAAAATTAGTTTTACAAACACTTTCAAATAAGATGAAGGCAGAAACTAAGACCGTGGCAGAAGATCATTAAGTATAGGGTTGTTAATTAAGTAGAATTGACACATTTCATTACCAAATAAGAAAAAGGCAATACTTTAAGTAACTCTACCGTGTGTCTTGCACACATTAATCTAAGAAGGTAATATAGAAAGGAAAATTAAAGAAGAAAAATAATTAAATATTAAGTACTGGAAGTACCTGTTAAAAGTTCAGAAGTTCTCAGCAGACAGATGTGTTTGTAGAAATTTTAAAGAAATAAGTAGTAACAAAAGTGATGCGTGATCACCAAAGAGGACCAATTTCAGAACACTGGTAAAAATAATATTTAATGAGTGAATCAAACAACAGAAGTGTATAATATGTTCTCCAAAGACTTGTACATAATGTTCATAACAGTTTTCATTATAATACAGTAATATTTGGGAAACAACTCAAATGTTCATCAAAAGTAGAATGGATAATTTGTGTTTACTCATACAAAAGAGGTAAGAAAATGAATGTTACTATAATGATATGTAACATTGAAGCAATCTTCCAAACATTAGATTTATCATGCTGAGCAAAAGAAGCCATACATAAAAGAATGCATACAGTATGATACATTTATATTAAGCTCAAAATCAGACGAAACTAATTCATAGTGTTAGAAGTCAAGGTAATGACAAACCTAGATGGTTACTAACTGGAAGAGGTCAAAATGATGATATCTAAGGTGTGGGGGCTGCCCTATTTGTTGATCAATGTAGTGATTATATGAGGTTGTTCTATTTGAGAAACTCATTGACCTACACTCTCATAATTTAGGACAATTTCTGTGTCTATATTATGCTCCAATAATACAAAGTAGCTAAAAATATAGAAGTAGAATCAGGAGAGGCTATTCCATGAATCCAAATGGAAAAGCAGATCGGGCATGGTGGCTCACATCTGTAATCCCATCCCTTTGGGAGGCTAAGGCAGGCAGATCACTTGAGCCCTCTAATTAAGACCAGCCTGAGCAACATGGCAAAACCTTGTCTCTACAAAAATATAAAAATCAGCTGGGCACGGTGGCACACACCTGTGGTCTCAGCTACTCAGGAGGCTGAGGTGGGAGAATCGTTTGAGCCTGGGAGGTGGAGGTTGCAGTGAGTGGAGATTGTGTCACTGCCCTCCAGCCTGGGGGACAGAATGAGGCCCTGTCTCAAAACAACAAACAGCAACAACAACAAAAAATAGGAAAGTATTCTGGAAAGAAAGATGTGACCAGTAGTCCCAGACTATGAAATCCATGAAGAAGAGTAGTCTAGGTAAACTTCTCAGGTGCCAGGAAAAGCTATTCACAGTGAATTGCTTCACAGAGTAGATATGCTATAAAGAAGGCCACAGGTCTCTTTGGGGAAGGCATGGGGAAAGATTTACTGTGAGTGGTGCGTCAATAGTGCAGAGCCCTCCAGGCACCCTATTTAATCAAAGGGCTCTGAATCAGAAAATTAACATAAAACTTGGTGGGAGGCTATATCTCCACAGTGGTGACTGGAGTCAAGTTTTTGGCTCCAGACCTGAAGAATTTCTTGTCATATGAATTAAGCAATATTCTGAAAGGGTCTCTATTTTGTTCTAAGGATGTCAATATCATTTAGCCCCTGCCCAAGTTTTCTTGGTCCAAGACACTCTGATGACCTGTACAACTCTGCCAGCCTTGATTGTAGGTATGCCCACATTTTGTTTGGTGGTTAAGTGCTACAATGTTGCATGTGATTTTCTGGAATCACATCATTCTTATTGAAATCTGTGAGCATTTCTCAATTGTGGCCTCTTTTATAGTCATATCTGGCCCACAGAAGTGAGCAACCAGAGAACTTTCACTGATGGAAAATCTCCCCTTACCCATATGTTTCTTAATCCCTTAGTGAAGGGAGTCTCTTCTGGATCTTCTCATAGAACATAATTGGGGAGCGAGTGTGCAGAAAACACATGAGAATCCATTCCATTGTTAGATGGTTCAACCTGTCGGAATGTTTATGATTAACTGGCTCTGAGACAAGGGCACTACTAAGTAATGTAATACTGTTGGTTGACTGAAAAAATTCTGTAAAGTTAGCACAAAACAATAGCTACAGAAATTACGTGTATTTTCACCTGACATGGCTCGGTGATATTAGAGAAAGTATAGGTTTTGGAAATGTTACACTGAATGTGCATACAGGTTGAAGCAGCCATTTTCACAAGTTATCAGATAGGTAAGTAAGTAGGACAGAAAAACTCTTTCCTCTCTAAGCTATTCATATTTTCAAGCATTTATTCTGAATGTGTTAATGATTTGTAAAACACACATGGCGTGACTTTGATTTCTCCACTATGAATGGTGTTTCAGCACCTGGGCATCACGTAGTTTCCTTTATAAGTCTCTAAATTTTGTTATAGTCACTCATTGTCATTACTTCAAAATGTTCACTTGTATAATTCTTGCCTCTGAACTGAAACATTTTACTCTTATTGTCAATAGGCTCTGTTTTTGAGGCAAAAATAAAGATAATGCTGGCACATGAGTTTTACAACATTTTCTGCATAACTAACTGGTTGAGATTGGACAGCATTGCTGGAGACCAACAGAAGCAGAGCTATTTACGGAGGTAGACAAAACAATAGAAGCATCCACTGTTGGATTTCCAGGACATATCCCAGCAATAGGCAGCAGGTCAAGCACTGAAAAAATATTTGTTTAATAACTGAATGGTTGGATAAATGTCAAGTGCCTGGTAGAGACAAGAACAATTAGGAGTATGACTAGGAGGGCTTTAAATGAAGTAATGTGTTATGACTTAAAATAATATTAAATGAGGAATTGAAAACTGGGAGTCAAAATCACTTTCAAGAAGTTTGGTTGTAAAGAGAGCAAATCAAAGTTGCTACAAGTAAAATCATGAGTGTTTGTTTTAAGACTCACTTGTACATGCGTATAACATAGTGTTACACTTAAGGCTACCCTCTTAGCAAATTTCAAGTAAACAATACAGTATCATTAACTATAGTTCTGACTTCTTTCAAACTTAAAATCTTTCTCTTATGGCAGATTTTTGAAATGACTAGATTATCTTTGTAAAAAATTTTTACAAAATCTCCCAACCTTCAACAGCAGAGAACTAAAGTTCTAAAGTGGTGTTGTCTTGAATCGTGCTTATGACAAAGATGTGTTAATGTGTTGTATAGAGGTGTCAGAATCTGGTTTATAGTTATATTTCTTGCAAAATTAATCTTTGGGCTGTACTTCATACCATAAGCTTCAATTAATACATGCAAGACTGATTCCCTTGCTCTGAGACCGATAATTGATCAAACGGAATTTAGGTTTATAACAGGATAAACAGTATTGTGAAAACATAGAACTGATTATGATAGCTAAGTCATCAAATATTATAATGAGCATATATTGTCTGTTTCTATGAAAGAGAGAATGATATAATTAATTTTATGGTCTTATGTATTATTTCATCCTCTTCTATCTTCTGCAATTCATAGTTATATGATAGCAGTTTGCAACTTATAGTCTAATAAATATTGTATAATTTAATTGAAATAATTGGGTCATCACATTTAAACTCTCATTAAATTGACATTTTGTACTCAGGAAAATAATTTGAGATTATTTCAATTTTCCAAAAGATCATGAGACATAGTCTGAATTCATTAAAACAGTGTAAAAACAGTGTCTTTGAAATACTCTTTTTAACAGATAGTACACTAAAGCTGAAAACTTTCAGCATTTTTCTCTATTTTCCTATTCCACCATGATCATTGACCTTAAGCCGAGGAAACAATTGTATCTGTGAACTCACCATTAAATATATCAAATGAGAAAACAGGAGTCATCTTCCTATATTCAAATAGCAAAATCAATGTTTAAAAATCTTAATTTAGAGAAAGATTTCTCATTCATTATCTGCATCTCTGTGCTCTAGCAGTATCATGTTTCCTATCTACCACATTTTTTTCCTTAGAAATTAGTGGACAGAATTTTGAGAAGAGGTTTTGTTTTGTTTTCTTCACAGGTGACTCATGAGGATCCGTATAATTATGTAGAAGCAGAACTGTTACTGTTTTGGTTCTTTTTCCTGAAATGCAGTCCCAAATTCTTCTCTTCAGTGACTGACCATCAATTTTACAGGATGAACAATTTCACCCATCTCGTTAGTTATATGCACCAGATTCATTTCTTGTGGGGTCATATTTGGGTCATTGCAATTGGTTAATAGGGAGATTCTGTATCACAATATAATCATTTTGATACTGTATTTTTCTCACATAAAACTGCAAAGGAAACTCTTTTCAGAGTGAATGCAAACCTCCCATCCATGGTTATAATGGAGTAGATCCTGCTAACACCTTGAAGTGCCTTTTTAATGGCTCTTGTATATTAAAATGAGTGCCTAGAGGTCACTATATGTCTTTCATATTGAAAAATGAAATATTTCAGTGTACTGAACTCAAATATATAATCTTGTGATTCAAGTGATTATCCCCTTTCGTTCTATATCTTTCCATTTCTGCTTTTTGCTTCATGATATTACTATTAATTTTATGTCACTTGAACTTTATCATACCACATGCCTTTCAAATATCTCTTCCTGAATTGTTTCTAGAACCCTTTCTGTTTATCCTTAGTTTTCTCATTTTTAATTGCTAGCCTCATTTTTACCAAGATTCTTCTTTTTAACACTCTATATAGTCTGGTTGCCATTCTAGAGGGTGTTATTGCCCAGGTTGTATCTTGGTAAGTTTTTAGCAAGTACCTAATTATGTTATCAGTTCAACCTTATGAGTATTCTGCCTGACATTCTTTAACAATTCTCAGCTCTTTTGGTGACTTCATCTTCCTCTCGTAACAATTTTTTATTCTAGTTTAAATGCACCATGAGGGGGAATAATGCCGTATTTTCTTAAGTGATTTATTTGTTATTTACTCACACCAAAAGTAAGTGCTTATTATAGCCTGTTCAAAGTGAATTTAATTCAATTGGCCAGATTTGCAATATTTTAAATAGAAAACATTATCTTGGACAGCCTAAAGCTTTACTACATCAATTTCTATGTTTCATCCTTTGAAGGGATTTTCATCCTCTGTTATTTATGTAATTATGGCCTATCTAGAGCTAGAATTCTGTAAGAAGTGTAACATTTTAAACTAGCCTTACAGAGAAGCCAGGTATCTTGGAAACAATTAGTAAGAGGAAATAGAAAACAAAAATTCTCTCACCACTTGATGATACTAAAATTTCTTTTAATGTTTTTATGAGGTTAGGGTAACATTTGTAACATTATTGAACAAAGAAAGTAGAAATATAATACCGTAGGCCAGTTTTATCTTGGACTCAAAGTGAGGCAGATGAAAATGTTAAAGCCATTAAATGAACCAGTGGTTAGCCCAAACCCAGGGTATATTAATAAAATTATGACATAATTATCAGTTTATTTCAGGACTGTAAAGTTGACTACGCATTATAAAATGTATTTTTTCAATGCACCAAAGTAGTTAACTAAAGTAGAAAAATATATGGCTAGTGTAATAGATAAGCAAAAGTTCAATACTTGGTTTTAATAAAAACTCTTTGAAAACTAAGAATTAAAGTAACATTCTATCCTGTAAACAGTAACAAAATCTATAATAAAAGTTATCTTTAAAGGCAGGGAATGAGATAAAGATTCTCACTATCAATATGGAAAATATGATTACAGGCAACAAGTTGGTAAGAGCAATATAAATTAGTTTGAAAACCTAGAGATGCAAAATATCCACTTTGGGCAAGAAAATAGCCATTATTATCCTTAAATATTTCTTGTGCTTGGCTTCTTGAATATAGTAGTATTCAAAAATGGGGAAATCCCCCATTCAAGAATAAAAGTTGAAATTAGGCAGAAACTCAACTCAAATTTTAGTCACCCCCATCAACAATGGAGACAAGAAATTCTGTATTAACTAGCTCATAGTAGTTTAGTATATATACAGTTTTTTTCATTTATTTCATCAAATTTTCCATATTGATCTTATAAAGAAAAGATAGTTGGGACTGTTAGTATTGTTTGAAACCATGGAAACTATACCTCTTCGACTAAAAGGCAGGCATGGGACAATGTCAAAAACATAGAATTAAATAGCTACTTTGTAGTCTGAAGGCCTTGGTCACAAAATGGGGAAGTGAAGTGCAATGGTTGGTCCCCTCCAAATCTCATGTTGAAATGTAATCCCTAACGTGGCAGTATTGAGACATGAGGCCTTTAAGAGGGCTCTGGCCTCATGAAATAGCCCATTCATAGTTTGGTGTATTTAAATAGTTAATTAATTAATTGGTTTTCATGGGAAAGAAACTGGTGTTTTTATCAGAAGAGGGAGAGAGACTTGAGCACCGCATGTTATCATATGTGGCATTTTCATCATGTGATTCCCTGTGCTGGCTCAGAAGTCCGTACAGAGTTCCCATCAGCAAGAAAGCCCTCACAAGATGTAGCCCTTAACCTTGGAATGCTCAGTCCCCATAACTGTTAGAAATAAATGTATTGTCAATCTAAGTTACCCAGTACAAAATATTTTGTTATAACCATCAGAAAACAGACTAAGACAAGTAGGATAGTGAGGACAATGGAGAGTTGGCCTGACTCTGAGATCTGCACTAGACGTCAGCACACAAATGAGGTACAAGTCACACTTCTACAAATGTATTACAAATTATCAGTGATTATTTTTATCACATGAATATATTTTCACACATTTATTTGACAGAGTTTGGAAATTAAATAATAATGTGTTTCATTAATGGAGAAGAAAACCAGGTTAGAAACACATGCCACTGTCCAAGGTCAGAGAAGGATGCAAACCTGTTGGGTAATATTCAGATGAAATGGTCACTTGGCAATACATGAGTAGAACAGATAACACTGTGAGGAAAGAAGATTATTAAAAACAAGCATGTTCTACTAAATAATATTTGTTTAGGCTGGTGCTATAAATATTCATCAGAAAAATGTATTCTCCAAGAAGTATGTAAATACTTTTGAGATTCTCCCAGTTCCCATAGCAATAGTAAAGTGAGAAGATGCTAGCCAGAGAGCTCTCACATCTCCTTTTTCATCCCTACTTGCTTTTGCTGACCTTGCTTCTTACTATACTGTGAAAAGAAGAAAGTGTCTATGGACTCTAATTACCATATCTGCCCACCTAGAGCCACTACTCACATACTCTGTTTTTCACCATCTCCTGTGCATGAACTATATATTTCTGTCTCTCTACAGACAATTCCTTCATTAGTGCCTTAGATCTTATTCTCTCTCATCTACTACAGACTGCTGTGGTCTTAATTTTTCTTATTTCTCCTTCATTACCAATTTTTCCACCCTACTTCCTTGAAGCAACTTCCATGTCAACTACAGACTAACCTATTTCTCTGCCTCTTATTCCAACAAAATTTCTTGATAGAATGGTCCATTGTCACTATCTACAGTTATTTCTTTTTTTTAACTTTTATTTTAAGTTCAGGGACATATGTGCAGTTTGTTATATAGGTAAACTTGTGTCATGGGGGTTTGTTGTACAGATTATTTGGTGACCATAACAAATGTCATTTTGAAGTCATGAAAATGGAAGTTTAGTTACTGTAGGTTTAAAAGAAAATGAAAATAATGTGTACAATTTTTTTTCATTTTCTTTTAAACTCAACAGTAACTAAACTTTCATTTTCATGACTTCAAACCGACATTTGTCAACGTCACCACATACTTAATGTTGCTAAATCCATTAATTGTTTTTCAATACTCATAAGCCTTAAACAGATCAGAAACATTTGATATACTTCCTCCACCTTCATACACTTTCTCTACTGCTTACAGCTAAGCACTGAAGGACATTTACCTTGGGGGCATTATAATCTTAATACAGTTTTTAGAAACATATTCCAGCAGATGGCAGTACTGTGCCATGAGGAAAGGACACATTTTTGATTTGCACAAAATTACCATTTGTGCTTCCTAGAGCTGGGTATCACATGGCTTTTGATTTTTCTTCTGTTTTATTTGCAACACTATCTCAATCTCCTTTGGTAGTTTCTCTGCTTCTCCCCAAGCTCTTTACATTGGAGTATTCCAGGTATCAGGCCTTAGACATCTCTTGTGTATTCATGCTACTGCTTTTGATGACCTCACTCATTACCATGCTCTAAACACTCTTGAAAAGCCAGTAACTCACATATTTACATCTCCATCTCAGAACACTTTTCTGACTTTCCAACTCCTATTTGCATTCCACTTGAATATTCAATATACATGTCAAAATTTTAAAAAGTCCCAGAACCTGAATTCCTGGCTTCTTCCACCATGCCTGGCTAATTTTTCATATTTTTAGTAGAGATGGGATTTCACCATGGAAGCCAGGATGGTCTCAATCTCCTGACCTCGTGATCCACCTACCTCAGCCTCCCCAAGTGCTGGGATTACAGGCTTGAGCCACCGTGCCCAGCTTGGTTAGGGTTCTTATGTCATCAACAAATCATCTCAAGAAAAAATGATTTTTAAAGTCACTAGACTCTGAGCCTGCACACCAAAAAAGATTTTTTTAATACAAACATATTAGAGAGATGTGATATTCATCAGCAGAATTATTTACATGCTACTCCTAAGAAACCACAGGAAATGCTCTCTGAGTAACTACCAGGAGCCTTTTGGTAGTTGAGTTCCATAGAACTACATGTAAAAGGTAAGAGCTTTGTCTGTTTACTGTGTGTATGATGTCTGGATGGCCTGAGGCCTTACCCTCTTCAAAAAAAAAAGAAACAAAACATAAAAACTGATTTTCAGGCAATGGTAAACACTCTCTTAAAAGCCTTAGTTCTAACTTTTGGGATACCACAGTATTTGAATCAGACAGAGAAAGTTATTTTATCTGTACCATTGCCTAGGATTTATGCAAACGTGTGCTGATTTCCATAATGTAGCATACACCTTATATTCCTCAGTCCTCCAGATAAATAAAGTAGATAAATCAAATTTTAAAAAATAATTAGCTAAGATTCAGCTATGTACTGGGTTAAAATCTCCAGAGTTTTATCATTAGTCTTTTTCCTGCTGCCTCTGCATTCAAGCACAGAATCTTCTCTTTGAACCTACATTTGGCAGGTCCATGAATTTGGGTCTAAGAGCACATCCTGTGCCTGATATAAGCAAATCCTCTTCTAACCATTTCCAATGCCTAAAAGGGTTTATATCTTCCCTAGAAACCCTAAAACTTAAAGACAATAGGATCTGGAAGGACACACCAGTGGAAATTGGCTATCTCTGTGGACCAGGAAATTTCATCTACAAAAAGGTATTCCAGAAAGAAAATACAGTCACCATGCTGGAAAGAAGGCTTTCGAGTGCTGCTGATCACTCGTTTGGCTATCAGAGATTAAAACAAAATAAAACAAAAACCAAAACCAAAACAAAAGAGAAACAACTCAGCTGGAGTCATGCTTCCCACACGGAGACAGCACCTGGGCAAGACTTGACTGTGGTTCTCACAAGGCCTTGAAATTTAAGTTTTCAAGAGTAACTGATCTTGGTACTGAATTCAGATGAAGAGGTACTCTAGAGAACATATTTACATATTACATTTTAGATGGTCTTACTGTCTTATTTCCAGTGGATTATTTTGACTACTTTAAGAATCACATTTTACTAGGAATCAAAACTTATTTGTTACATGACCTTTTCTTTCTGTACTCCCAGTAATGGTTCTCATGATGTCCTTTCCAGTTAGTTCAAATTGTCCTCCCAGCAGAAACAGGACCTGGAATTGTATAACCAACAGTTTTATTATTGGCAGAGTAAAAGTGACACCATCTTCTTTATAATTGTTGATAATAAAATAAAACTAATATGCATCCAAGTATTCAAGCCTAGCTATGGTTTGAATGTGTCCCCAAATTCCATGTGTCAGAAATTAAATTCCCAAATTTATGTGTTGTTGCTATTTGGAGGCAGGGTCTTTGGGATGTAGTGATAGATGATGTCATAAGAATAGGGCCCCCGTGATGAGATTAGTGGCCTTTTAAGAAAGGGAAGAGAAATCTGAGCCATATGGTGCTTTCTGCCATGTTATGATATGGCAAGATGACCTCTCCAGATGTAGCTCCTCAACCTTAGACTTCCCAGTCTCCAGAAATGTAAGAAAAAGTTTTCTTCTTAAATTACCCCATCTTAGTATTCTGCTATCTCAACACACAATGGACTAAGACAAGCTCTACTTGTAAAACAAACAAAAACAATTAATTGGCTTAATTGAAAACAAACATTCCAGTTAATAGAAAAATAGAAACTTGGCATTGTAAGATAGCGACCACAAAAAACAGGTCTATTGTTACTTAATTAACTTTGTGATGTAACTTCTCTCCCACCTAAGTATAGATTGATACATGAAACTAAATTTCTGTTACTCATGAATATTTTGTTGACTATTATAATGTAGAGCTATTGGTTTAGATCCCACGCTGGGAAAAAAAATACCTATAGGCTAGAGGTTTGTCTTCAAGACTTAAAATAATAATAGCTATATACATTAAACACTCAAAGTTTAATCGGTGCCTTTCAGTTTGTACCTTATAATAAGACTTTTTTTTGTGACAGAGTCTTGCTCTTGTCACCCAGGTTGGAGTGCAATGGCATGATCTCGGTTCACTGCAACCTCTGCCTCCCAGGTTCCAGCGATTCTCCTGCCTCGGCCTCCCAAGCAGCTGGGATTACAGGCCCCTGCCACCACGCTCAGCTAATTTTTGTATTTTTAGTAGAGACGGGGTTTCACCATGTTGGCCAGGCTGTCTCGAACTCCTGACCTCATGATCCACCCGTCTCGGCCTCTCAAAGTGCTGGGATCACAGGCATGAGCCACTGTGCCCGGCCAAGACTTTTATATTAGATGATGGCCATGGATGCTACTGAGTTGCAAAACTGAAAAAAGCTATTTAGGAAGATTGAATAATTACTAAAAGGCCTACATATTCATGTGCTGCATCACAACATTTTGTTCAACAATGGATCATGTTACGATGGCGGTCTCATAAGATTATAATGTATTTTTCATGTACTTTTTCTATATTTAGATACAGTTAGATACACAAATACTATTGTGTTATAGTTGCCTACAGTAATTGGTAAAATGTACAGATTTGTAGCCTAGGAGCAATAGGCTATACCATATAGCCTCTGTGCTATAAGAACATCCAATTTTGTGTAAGTCCATTACATCCTATGATTATCTCACAACAATGAAAAGGTGTATACAATAGGTTGCATCTGTTTGGCTATATAAAAGGGTGAGATTCCTTTCTGTCTGCATTCTCTTTAGTGGATTGCCTGTGATGTGCATCACATCCTGGTTTCATGCTTATTCAATAATAAAATTGCTTTTTTTTTTCTCTTCTACCTCTGTAGAGAGGTTTTCAAGATTGGAATAAGACTGTTTTTAATTATATTTTCTCAACAAAACCTAAGTTGTTTTAGGATAACAAAGGTAGCTTTCTGATGTTCACACCATCCTTGATATTAGGAAGTTAGATATTTCTTTTATGTTCTACTCAAAAATATTTGCAAATCTAAAAACGTACTATAGAGTGAATACCTTATGCTCTATGAATACATGAATATGAAAGAGTGTTTTTATTCTTGAAGATGATATTTCTCAAAGCCAAAATGTAATTTTTCCTTTACTAAAGGATTTTAAAATTACTAAAATGTACTACCAGTATGCTTCCTATTTTCAACAAATTAAATTACGGAAGGACACAGTTGATTGTAAACTTGGAAAAAGATTTCATTTGAATTGAGATATGTATTCTGACATAATAGCCACATTTAAAATCTTATAACCAAACAAATCTCTCATAAAAAATCCAATAGAAAAAAAAATTAATAAAAATAAGACACAACTAATAAGAATAATAGTGGATAATGGATAACATTGTCAACAAATGTTGATTTAAAAGAAACATTGTCTGTATATTGTCTACTAAAATGCACTTTGTGTATATAACAGTAAGTTAGATCTTGTGATATGTTTTTAAATTAGATTTCATTTCGCTTTTATTTATTCTGAATAATGTAGCCCCACAATCTCTAGGTCTCTTTTTAAAAATCCCTTCTATCTCATGTATTTTCATGGTATGTGCTGAAGAAAAGACTGAAAGGAAAATACATGCCAGAAACCATTAGGTAGATTATATATTTGACTTAGATATGTGTATGAATAATATTTCCAATCAATTTAAATGTATTGTAAGTTCAGAAAAAAGTGTTCCAATTTTAAAAATAAATAGCCTCTGGTCTCAACATAATTTCTATAAGCTTGTGCTTCTTTTCCACTTTGTTTTAATTCTTTCCTTGATGTTTCCAGATGACCTTTGGCAAGTAACTCAATTTTCTGTGCATTTTTCACTTTTGTCTAATAAGTATTTTCTGCTCCTCTTGATAGTAAATAATCTTCTGCTAAATCTTTTCTTCATCCATTCATTCATGTATTTATTTTCAAGCTATTAATAATAAACTTTAAATGCATATTAAATGCTGCATCTTTTCCTATGCACTTTCACATCTCTACTTGGGTGTGTAATTTGCACTCCATGTAATTTCCTAGCATTTTCCACTTTTAGCAAATAATTCATGCTCACTTCTTCCTAAGGACATTCTGCTGTTCCTTTTCTTCCTAGAATGAATTTATCCCTTTTCCTTACCAGCTCAATCTTCATAAATTCTTAGTTTGATTCATTCAAATTCTCCCTACAAAGCTTTATCAAAATCTCTAGACTTGTCATATCCTGTGGTTTATGCTTTCATAGCAACTTATAATTTTCTCAAACATCATTTATTAATATTTAATAAACTAATTCTGTAGACAGAAATAAACTTTGATTTCTGTCTCTCCTTTCAGATTCCAAGCTCAAAGCTTCTTTGGCTTTTTTATAGTTGTTAACATAGTGGCATGCTTAGCACCTTGCATATTGTTGACAGTCACTAAATGTTTGACAAATAAGTAAATACAAATATTTATGTCATAAATAATATTGTTATATATTATGTATAACATATATTTATATATATTTATGTCATATATATTTGTACATCAATTATATATAAATTATACACAGACACACACACACACATACACACATATGAATTTAAAAGGGAATGTGACCATAGAATGAAAAAGAAAGACTTCCCCTCTAAGCAATTAAGTTGGCACCTTCTACGTATATGGCTGAATATACACACAGTAATTGCTTTATTTTCTTTTCTGAATTAAATATTCATTTTGCTAAGTAAGCTATTTGATAGTTTTAACAAATAGATGAAGTCAAAATATTTAAAGATAATTTTAATGCAAGCAGGATCTAATACAATAAAAGCTTTTCTTTCCTTACTGGGAATACTTGGGTCAATGATAGAAATAGATTTTTCACCATACAAAACCACTGTAAGATTTTTTAATTTCTAGATAAGAAACAAGTATGTATTCATCAGGTAATTCACAAATGCCAAAATTACTGAGTTGGGTAAATGTTTAAGCTCAATTTCTGTTAAGCTGATTTTCATTTCAGGTAAGGGAAAAAGCCCCTCTTCCCTGAAAACGGCAGCATTTTACAGATGCCTTAGAAATGATTGATGAAAGAGTGCTATTTTACTTTCCTGAACATCCTTGGTGCATCATGCAGTGGATTGAAGGGGCCAAAAGCTGAGAAATGGTTGGTATTCATCTGGGATTTTGTGCCCACTGATGTGCTCCTGCCTTCTATCCTGTGACCCCCCAGATTTTTACATTTTGAAATAACTTGTTTTATTCTCTGTTGGTTGTACTACTTTACCAAATGAGAATAAATACAAGGGTTAACAATATAAGAAACAATATCTAATGTATGTGTAGATAACAAACATATATTTGGAAAAAGTGGAATTATTACTAATCCTAAAGGCATGTTGAAGACAGCCAAATTCATGGAAGTGGTCAGTAGCTGAACCCATGTGCTTTATTAAGAGATGTTCTCTTCTTCCCCTTTCTTAATGTTTCTGTTTCAGTTGTTTGTTCAATATTTTGTTGGCAGATACATCCTCATTCTTCTGTTTGTTTTTTTTTTTTTCCTTTTTGAGATGGAGTCTCACTTTCTTGCCCAGGCTGGAGTGCAGTGGTTCTTTCTTGGCTCACTGCAACCTCTGCCTACTGGGTTAAAGCAATTCTCCTGCCTCAAGCTCCCAAGTAGCTGGGACTATAGGTATGCACCACCACACCCAGCTAATTTTTGTATTTTTAGTAGAGATGGGGTTGCACCATGTTGGCCAGACTGGTTTTGAACTCCTGACCTCAGGCGATTTGCCTGCCTCGGCCTCCTTCCCAAAGTGCTGGGATTACAGGCATGAGCCACCGCGCCCAGCCCATCCTCCTTTTAAATATAAATATTTTATTATCTTATTATTTTTTCTTTCCTTTTAAAGATTTTCTCTAGAAAATGTTAACCATCTCTGTATTTTGAACCTTTATACTTTCTCACTAATTTGTATCTCCAAAAATGATTTCCCTGTTGATGCCTAACATTAGATTTTTAACTGTCTCATAGATATCTCTTCTTGGATATTTTATAGTAGATCAAATTCATTACATGACTAGATGATTTCTAATCAAGAATAGGAATTTCTAAGGCGGAGATAAAGTTAGGAAGTTATTGCTAGTTTGGTACTTTGACATTTTGGACAGATAATTCTTTGTTATGGGAACTTGACCTAGGCATTGTAGAATATTTAGCATATTCTTCAGTGTATTAGTATTGGCTACAATTTAGCCAATATACTTGGCCTCTACCTGCTACATACTACTAGTGCTCTTCCCCCACTTGCGATAATAAAAAATGTCTTCACACACTGCCAAATATCCTTCACGCATGAAAATCACCCTTAGGCAGGAATCCCTGATCATGATGACGTGAAACTTTATTCAGCAAGTAACACAAATAGAAATGAAGTAATAAAATTAAGAGGCATTTTGGAGGAAGACTCAGCAAGGTTAATGATGGTGTATAAATGAAATTAAAAATAAGGAAGAATCTCAAGTTGTTTTCTAGGTTGGTTATTAAAAATTTCCTAAAATTTCTTGTATTTTTAAATTTTTATCTTCTATGCTTCTCTTCATACTATTTCGTTTACATAGATTTGTTTCCCCTTCCTCTATATGCTTAATAAAGTTCTATTTATGTTTAAGGCCTAAATGATCTATTAGTCATCATCATTGTGACTGTTTCCCCAGCCTGAAACTCTAATAACACAGTCAGAATATTTTCTTTCTTTTTTAAGCCATTAGATATCATTTATTGTGATAAGTTTATTCCTCATGTCTTTAATGATAGAACCTTGTGTCACCTTATACATCCTTTCACAACATATCACACTGCATGGCATATAATAAGTGCTTAAAAATGGTGAGTGATTTACTTAGCAATTAGATACAGGATAGTAACATTTTTTTCAGAATGTACAGTTATTATCATCACAGGTATTCAACATACATTAACATTAGTATTAATTTTGAAATAATATGCTGACTACAGTCTCCATGTACTTTTTCTAAACATTTTTTGAATAGACAAAGTAAAATATAGATGTAAATTATAATTTTATTATCATGAAGTATTTGATATTCAGAATGGTTATACTTTTATGTATGGAAACTACAAGTTTATCAAGTAACTCAATAACCATCTCATATTAAGCACAATAGATGGTCAAAAATAACTTTGAGGAAAGTAAGTGATTCTCTCAAAGACAGAAATCCTGTTTGACATGAATTAATATCATTTTCTTAAAGTTATCTGTTAGATCAGGGAACGTGGGCTTAGACTCAAAAAAGATTGGAATATTAAGAGGGTCTGTTTTAAGCCTAAAATTTCAATCTATAAATATTCTGTTCAATTGTTTAGAAAATATATGAGGGGTTAAAATTATACTTCAGAAAAGTCTTTATAAAATTAAGTTTAAAATTGTAATAAAAGTATTATACTCAGAATAAAGAATTAAAATGAACTTTCAGAGCCAATGTATTTAAAAGTAACTGTTAGAAAATTTTGTATGTATGTATCAGAATCAAGTGAATTATGTTGCTTCAATCTCTTAAACACCATCCCTACTAGGTTATTGTAAATTATTTCACTAAGATTGAACTTCTTTAATAAAAAAAATTTTGCTTTTCACTTGTAGCAGAGTGCAATAGTATTTTGAGACTGTGTAATTTATTCTAAGAGAGTCTAAATTTTTAGTTTAAAAATAAATCCTGCTTTTTAAAATTTAAAACACAAATGTGATTTTTATTGTGCCATCAAATGGAATTATGGATTATCAACATATATCAAGTGGTATAAGATTTTACATTGTTTAAATAACAAAATTAATTTAAGAAAAATTAAAATCTGAATATTTGAATGTCTATTTTGTTTGCAAGACCTCAAAAAAAACTAACTTGGACATTTATACAGAATTGGAAAAATGAAATGATATAATGATCTTTTGTTGGAAAAAAGCCTTCTATTTGCTACTCAGACACATTATTTAAAATAATCAGATAACATAAAATGAAACAGTAGATATTTGCATTAATGGTTAAAAAATAATTTTCTCTTGCCAGTTAAGCAGAACCATATTCCATTACGCAAATGTAGTTTTTGTGTTCTGTACTCTATTCATCTGCCTCCACATAAAACTCATTAGGTAAAGTTCAACATACAGATTTTAAAATCAGTCGTAGTATTTCTATCTCTGCTATGGCAAATCTAAAAGCTGACCTGCCTTATAATCACCTTCTCCTACTTTTTACATTTCACTTTACCACATATTTGATACTTGTCATCTCTAAACTACCCGGAGTCACCAGTTGATAGTTTCTTTTTAATTAAGATTGCAGAGTTTGTTGTTTAAGTTTGAATTTCTTCTTTAGTAATTAACCCTTGCAAGGGAAAGGCAGTTTCACATCTAGTGAAGCAGCCATTTTCTCAGTTTTGTGCCAAAGGTTATACATTTAAAACGAAAATAACATGAGGGTTTTTTTTTATTCCTAGAGAAAGTTCTCACACTAAAAATAAAAAAACAGAAAAAGTTTATGCTATGTGAAATTTAACCTCCTTTGTTAATCACACTTAAATGAATGAGACTTGCAACAGTAATTTCACAAAATTGGTTGTATAATTTTTTAGTGAACCAAAGTTTTCACTAAGTGTTGACTTTTCAGGATTCATAGCTAGAACTTTTGACTATTTCTACAAAACACTCATAAAGCAATAGCACCTTATTTGTTGATATTTGACTAAAATATTACTATGATTATAAGAGTAATATTGTTAATTATATAATAAATCACATTTAAAATAACCTTATATTGGGGCAATACTCACCACTTGATATTTATATTATTAAAAGTGTAAATACATCTAAAAACCTCTGTACTGGGACAACACTTAATGTGCAAAACATTATAATAGGCACTTTAAGTAATATATTATTCATTTGATCCATTTGTGAGTTATTACTAGTGACTTTATAAAAATCCCATTTAGTAGGACCTAGTGTGTTGAAAGAACAAGATTTCAAAAATACTTTCAGACAGAATTAATGTCAAGGGCATATGATCTGTGAAGTCACATGGGGTCCCACACTCAGAAGGGCTTTGTGTCTGAATTTACAATTCACCCCAAATATATGTATTTCTTTTCTCTAGGCTTAATTGTTCATATGGGTTTGATTTTTAAAATGCATTATGTTTCCTAGGTCTTGAAATAGCTTTAAAAATAAAATCTGGGTTTTGAAAAATTGTGGACAATGCTTTCAAAGAACAGATTTTCCTTGATATAGATATTTAAATTTACTCTGTTAAACAAAATAAAGAATTCCTTTCCACCATAGGAAAGGTAGGCAAAATCATGACTGGGGGCCAAATCCAACTATTCCAATCCATTTACCTATTGTTTACAGCACGGGTGAGCAATTGTAACAAAGACCATGCGGTCTGCAAAGCCTAAAATATGTATTATCTGGTCACAGAATAAGTGTTCTGACCCTGATTCCTCCATTAGAGCATAATAAATATTCTTTTTTGTGTATAGGTGCATACTAAGTGGGAATTGTATTTATTGCAGGGCACTGACAAAACAGGGAGAAGTCAGCCACACGACTTACAAGAACATTAACACCTTATATTTGTACTCGGTTAATTAGTGGCCCCTGAAAACTCATGCCCACCCAGAACCTGCGAATGTAACCTTATTTGGAAATAGGATTCTTATAGCTGTAATCAAGTTCACATATAGCCATCTTAAACTAGTGCAGCCACAAAATCCATTATTGAACTTAAGACATTGGATACTAGATAAATTCCTTTCCCTAATAAGGGAGAAATTTGGACATAGGAACATACACAGATGAAAGATGATGTGAATATACAGAGAAGGAAGATGATGTGAAGACATGAAGACATGAAGACACAAGGGAGAGGACCATGTGATAAAGAAAGTAGAGATTTCAGTGCCAGGTCTACAAAACAAGGAATGCTGAAATTTGACAGCAAACGCCAGAAGGGAGAAGATCAAGGAGGCATTAATTCCCAGAGTCTTTGTGGAGATCATGGTCCCACAGAAAGCTTGATTTTGGATTTGTAGTCTCCAGAACTGTGAGAGAATATGTATCTGTGACTTTTGATCACCCAATTGTGGCATGTTGTTATGACAGCCCTAGCAAAATTTTAAATAATTTTGATGA
Source organism: Homo sapiens (assembly GCF_000001405.40). Classification (NCBI taxonomy): domain Eukaryota; kingdom Metazoa; phylum Chordata; class Mammalia; order Primates; family Hominidae; genus Homo; species Homo sapiens. The sequence goes on along the minus strand of NC_000017.11, from coordinate 22,590,239 downwards.
ATTGTTTAAATATACTAAAGCTATTAAACATTTTCTAACATTTTCTTGATTTAAAGTAGAAGACTTATGGCTATTAGTATTATAGCAGAAGGCTTATACTCTGAATAGGCTTTTACCATATGGCAATTTTACAAAATACACAAATACTTTATTTCCTTTTGACAAAATAAATTGTATTGCATTTTAATTATAAATTATGACTTAATGATTAACATATTCTTCAAAGATAATATAGATTATATGAAGGTTCATCTTAATATTCATTTAATAAAAGACCAATCATCATTATGATTCTTAAGAGCATACAAATTAAAGTTATGATGAAAAATGTAGCTTAATTTCTTATTTTTATTACTTATCTCTTGTTAATTTTATAACCATTAAATCATGTAAAGCAATTATTGCCAATCATCACAACCCAAGAGCAATAGCTGTTTTATTCTTAATTAAATACTTATTTAGAGCACTTCATTTCAAGCGTTACCAAATACTAACTCATTTTTTGTTAGGAATAAACTTATTTGTATTTCAGGAGGATAAGCTTGGATATCTAAACTACTGGGGATTTTGAAAAAAATAACTTTGTCAAAATTACATAATCAAAGGAAAACATGAAAGCATGGGTAACTATGAGTGGCTTAGTACCCATTTTTTTGTAGCAATTTATTACCTTTACTTACTCATAAGCTTTCCTGGTACATTCCAGGATGCTCTACATATTTTAGTGCTATTAGAGACCACTGAACTTGTGCTGCCACACTTATCACTGTGTAATTTGTAGATCCAAGTGCTGTTTTCAGAACCCCAAACAACATTTATTAAATTTGCTAAGTAATTACATTTACTCATGATAATTTCAATTCCACAGTGAGAATCAGCACAGGTGTGACTAGCAGTTATATTTCTTCATGCACAGAGCCCCTGCTGTGCATAAAGCATCCAGTAGTAATTTTCTTTAATTAATTGCTTGGGGCAGTCTGAGCCACTCTTTTCCCCTAATTTGATGCTTTCCGTTGTGTTTCATAGAACAGAATAGTCTGAAGTGGGGCCACTTATAATTACAAGAATTGAAATACAAGCACACTTGTGTCTAACAGTGTCTTGGAGTTAACCCTGCAGCATTTACGTGGGTATCTATGTGATACAAACAATTTGAGAAACTCTAATAGCCCAGAAGCAGACAGAGGGAAACAAGGAAAGGAAAGAAATGCAAAGTAAAACAGATGATTGCAGTTCTTAAAATGATTATGAAGTTTACTTCTAATAGAATGATACTAAAATCCAAACCAATCTTGTGACAATTCTCTTTTTTATTGTTTCAGGATTTAAAAGTATATTCATGTGTTTTCCAAAGATGTGTTATGAATGTGCATTCAACTGTTATTGAACTTCTTGGAGTACAAACATACTGTGTTTGTGTGTGTGTGTTTGTGCGTGTGTGTATGTGTTTTTACTGACCTTACCTGTGCACATTCTGCTTCATCTAACTAAAGTGCAAGGGAGCAGATTTATTTTGTGCTTTTAGGTACACTCAGCTTTTGTTGCACGTGTTTTAAACAAATGAACAATTTGATGGATGAATAGTGCTTTTAGTACCTTTAAAATGCTAAATGATGATCACTAAAAGCTCTTGCAATGCAATATTTTAGCTTTCAGCATCACAGTTAAATAATAGTCAATGAGTTCATTTCATTGCACTTGTGCAGTATATAAAAAAGTAAACTAATGTTTTAAAGTGTTTAAAGAAACAGAACTCTTCATATATTCTGCAAAAATTTCATTCATGGAAACATAATTGAAGAAGCAGTTTGCTTTTGGAAAGCTCAATTACCATAGAAAGTAGAATGCTATTACTAAAGAAAGAGTTTTCCCTAGAACAAAGCAAATGGCCATACAATTTGAAATCTAACTTGCACCTGCATGAGTGAGAGATAATTTTTGATTCCATTAATCTCTGTCACTCTTAGCAACACTGTGGGTATTGTGCACAATTTGAGGAAAGCAACATTGGCTAATGTAAATGGAAGACCCCTGTTTAATAAAATCATTTTTGTTCCATTTATGTTTTTTATTTTTTATTTTATTTTATGTATTTATTTTTTTGAGACGGAGTCTTGCTCTGTCGCCCAGGCTGGAGTTCAGTGATGCTATCTTGGCTCACTGTAAGCTCCACCTCCCAGGTTCACACCATTCTCCTGCCTCAGCCTCCCAAGTAGCTGGGACTACAGGTGCCTGCCACCACACCCGGCTAATTTTTTGTATTTTTTAGTAGAGACGGGGTTTCACCGTGTTAGCCAGGATGGTCTCTATCTCCTGACCTTGTGTCCCGCCCACCTCGGCCTCCCAAAGTGCTGGGATTACAGGCGTGAGCCACCGCGCCCGGCCCATTTATGTTTTTAAGTATGATATTTAGATGATGGGCCTGAACTTACCAGAAAGCTGTGCATGCCCAGAGGAATGTCTAAACATACTACCTCTATATCACTATTGGAATAGCTGAAAAATCACTCTGGTCCAACAAAAGAGATGCTCTTCTATTAATTTAAATGGGTTTGGCCTTAAGAGTTTGAAGATTTAATCCATTGAGAACTGACTTAAATAGAAAAACTTCTTGCCCAGGAAAATACATAAACATCACAAAATCTCCATGTTAGTTTGGGAGGAGACACATATTTCCTAAAGCTGTCCTTGAGAATTGACAGATCCTAGGAAAAGACGCCTTATTCAAATAGCTACCCCATTAACAAAGCTATTTCTCACTGTGTCTCTAGCACACTGTTACCTCATGTACAGATTTTACTCTTGTTAGGGCTCAGAAAACCATACCCCAAAGTATGGCACTTGGGCATGCTGAGTACTTTGAAATAAAGGAAATGGAAGCCTCGGAAGCAAAGTCTCTCTGACCTTCTCCTGTACTCCACATTGGTTCACTCCAGAAAGGCATGAAACTGGCTTCCAAGTCACAGTTAGACTCAAAGATTTTCTGATTGGCAATTGGTAGGAAGAGTTAAGCCATTATACAGACTCAGAATCAATGGAAAGGAATTGTCTGGATTAAGTTAAAGGGTTGTAGAGACCAAGGTTTTATTATGCAGACGAAACCTCCAGGTAGCAGGTTTCAGAGAATAGATTGTAAATGTTTCCTATCAGACTCAGAGTCTGTTCTATCAGCAATTCCAAAACAGAGGAGAGTATAATGAGACATGGCTTGTTTCCCATTCCCATCATGGCCTCAACTAGCTTTTCAGGTTAACTTTGGAATGCTCTTGACGGAGAGGAGGTGGTCTATGCAGATGGCTGAGGGGATTTACAATTTTACTTTTGGTTTGTACCAGTGATTTGGCACTCTTAGGGCTCAGGATACATCTGAGCCTAACTCTCATATGACTGTTGGAGAGCAGAATGTGCCACTGCAAAGTAGATTCTTTTGGTATATTTTCAGCTGGTTATCCTGAGAAACTGCAGAAAAGGAGTAGCTCTGAAAATTGTCCTTTTGTAATCTATAAAGAAAATCTACTGAAGAAAAAAATATTTTATGCTGTACTAGTTTGTTTTTACAGTGCTATAAAGAACTGCCTGAGATTGGGTTATTTATAAAGAAGAGAGTTTTAATTGACTCACAGTTCTGCATGCCTTGGGAGGCCTCAGGAAATTTACAATCATGGTGGAAGGTGAAGGAGAAAGCAAGCACCTTCTTCTTCGCAAGGGGGAAGAAAAACAGACAGCAAGGGGGAAACTGCCACATACTTTTAAGCCATCAGATCTCATGAGAACTCCCTCACTATCACAAGAACTGGATGGGGGAAACCTCACCATGATTTGATCACCTCCAGCCAGGTCCCTCCCTCAACGCGTGGGGATTACAATTCAAGATGAGATTTGCGTTGGGACACAGACCCGAACAGTATCATACCCCAAAATATGGTTATTTGGCATACATGGAGATGGCTGTTCAGAGAGCCAGCAAACAGATGTAGCCTTACAAAGCTATCTTTTGTGGCAGAGATTTGCATCTGTGGACAATCTGCATTGATGCAGCCAGGACTTCCCTTTCCTGGATCTAGCAAAGAGTAACTGAGAGTCTGACAGCTTTAAAGGCCTGAAAGAAATATATGCCATCTATTTTATCTGAGGGCAGCTACATGCAAGGTTTCATTTACATTACAAGGTCACCTTTGCTAGCCAAGCCTCCGCTTCTCTTCTATCCATAACCTGCCTTACTGCTATAACCTGATTTACCAACATAACCTATTTTTGCCTGGGCTCTGAGTCCCCATTCTATCTGTAACCTCATGGTGGTATATAAGCTTCTATACCCCACTAGGGGTTTGGGTAATCACTCCGGATCTCTCCATGTGCACCTTAATAAATGAGATGGCTTTTCTCTTATTAATCTTTCTTTTGAGAGTTGAATTTTCAGTGAGCCTTCCAAGGGTGAAGGGGAAGTTTTCTCCTTGCCTCTTCACTGCTTTAGTAAAAGTACTTAATACAGATGTCCAATACAGGAAGATAGCTCCTCTGAGACAATTTTATTACCTATTTTTGATCTGCAGAACAAGACAACATTTATTTACCATACATCTCCACCCCCTCACCCTTATAACTTGTCTTCACCATCCTTCACTAACCCCAAGCCTCAAATATTTCTCTATAGCTCAGAATGCTATGTAAGCATCAATCATCTGGCTTTTCATTGAATCTCATATTTCTGTTGGACTCCTGTGCATGTACATAGTTAACTATAGTTTTTTTGTTGGTAATCTGTTTTATGATCATTTAATTTGTAGTCTAATGAAATAATCTAGGAAGGTAAAGGGAAGCCACTTTTTCCTCACTGGTAATGAAAAGTCCATTTCAATATATCATCAATAACTCAACAACATAAAGTTTATCCATTGAAAAAACAATAAAAAATAACATTTTTTGTGATCATCCTATGAAAGACATTTCTCATGAAACAGCTGGTACAAAGGTGTTTTCGACAAACCCCCACCAGCCCACACACTGGGATTGGTGTGCACTGTGGTAGAGCCTCAGGAAGTCTGAGCCATTTGCAGCAGAGAGGAGCCAGGCTCCTCCTCTTCCTGGGCAGAACCTGGTATTCAATCTGCAAGGCAGGAAGTGAACAGCAGGGACTCTGGGTTTGTGGAGGCTTCCTTTTTCCCTTTTTTCCCAATAAATCCCATTTTCCTCACCCTTTGAATTGTCTGCAAGACTAATTTTTCATGGCTATGTGACAAGGATCCCATCTTTAACTGAACTAAGGAGAGAATCCTGTAACACAGAGACCCTCAATCACAAAACAAGTAATAGGACAAGTTAGTGACTCATGCCCATAATCCCAGCACTTTGGGAGGCCAATGCTGGTGGACTGCTGGAGTTCAGGAGTTCGAGACCAGTCTGGGCAACATGGAGAGACCCCATCTCTACAAAAAATTCAAAAATTAGCAGGCATGGTGGCATACACCTGTAGTCCAAGACACTAAGGTGGGAGCATGGCTTGAGCCCAGGAGGCAGAGGTTGCAGTGAGCCAAGATCACTCCACTGCACTCCAGCCTGGGTGACAGAGTGAAACTCTATCTCAAAACAGCAAAAACAAAGTCCACAGGTAATAGATTTTATAACAACTACAGGGTAAATGAAACATCAATTTGATATGACTACTTTTTTGATAACTATTGTCAAATCAAAAATTGCACTGGATAAAGTTAAATAGGAAAGGAATACTTTATTCAAAGCCATTGCAGTAGATGTTAAAGGCCAGAACTCACTGTGAACTCAACTCAGATGAAACAAGAAGTGGGAGAGTTTTTATATACTAGGGTAAGCCAGTGAAAATGTCTTGCAAGATGTTAGAAGGGAGGCTGATCTGTGGGATGTATGGAGCATATTTAGTTATTCCTGAGTTTTCAAAATGTTTTTCTTTGAGATTATGTCATCTGTGTTAGCTAATTGGTACTCATTGATGTTAGGAGTCTGCCCTCCCAAGGAAATTGGAAACTGGGGTGCTATCTCCTCAAATATTTACATTTCAAAGAGATGGTTCCCAGATTCTTTAGGAAGACATTCCTAAATTCTAAACTGGTAAGATGCTTTTAACAAGATTTATATCTCAAAGGGGCAAAGAGATAATATGGAATGGGAAGTGTTCCAATGTAAACGTTCTAAGAAAAGAGAGGTCAGAGGCCTAGAATAAGAAGAATCCTGTCTAAGGATTAGTCATGCTGAAAAGAATATTAACATCCTCTTGATTTCTTGCAATAATAGTTTAAGGCACAGCATTAATATCAGAGGCACATAAACAAGGACAACTCCATCTTGAATAGGAGCTGTGTAAAATGAGGCTGAAACCTACTGGGTGCATTCCCAGACAGTTAAGGCATTCTACATCACAGGATGACATAAGAGGTTGGCACAAAATACAGGTCATAAATCCTTGCTGATGATACAGGTTGCAATAAAGAAGCCAGACAAAACCCACCAAAACCCAAAATGGCGATGACAGTGACCTCTGGTCGTACTCACTGCTACACTCCCACCAGCACCATGACAGTTTACAAATGTCATTGCAACATCAGGAAGTTACCCTACATGTTCTAAAAACGGGAGACATGAATAATCCACCGCTTTTTAGCATATCATCAAGAAATAACCGTAAAAAAGGGCAACCAGCAGCCCTCAGGGCTGCTCTGCCTATAGAGTATCCATTCTTTTATTCCATTACTTTCTTAATAAACTTGCTTTCACTTTGAACTTACCCTGAATAGTTTCTTGCATGAGATCCAAGAACCCTCTCGTGGGGTCTGGATTGGAACCCTATTCCTGTAACATATTTCTGGTGACTACAGAAGGGACTATAATGCAGAAACCCTAACCCAATGGCCACCTTTGGGTAAGTGTTGGTGTCCTGTAACATTAAGGCAATACTTTAAGAAATTAAACCAAACTAGCAAAGCATTTGCCTTTATGATGGCAAAAATGATATGCCATTGAAATTTAGATTAGGTAAAGGTTTAGACTTATTTCCTTAAATATCACATTTACCAGGGAATCTTTGCTGCAGCATGGTTTAGAAATTATACTTTTTGCTAAGGCTCTTGTTTTGTGTTTCTATTTGAATGATCATTAGCCTTTGGGACTCAGATGTTTGAACACAGAGAAACATGGGGAAAGACATATGGAAATCTTTTCTGAGCTGGATTTTTAAGTTCAAGAGAACCTCTAAGTGACAACCTAGACCTAGATCAGGAAATATTCTCAGGCAATTTATACGTGTTGGATCTGGAGGTTCGGATAGACCCTAGTTACAGAATGTGTTTCTGAGATCTGAACTCCGGGATAGGCATTCTAACAGGAAATGTCAGTTATTTTAAAATGAATGTATTACAGATTCTGTTCTCATGTAGTTTACAATCGAGCAAAAGTGGTAAGTTGTGCATATAAATGCAGTCAGGCAGATGATCTACAGATGTTACATATAGATATGTATTTACTGATAAGTTTAACAATTTAATAACCTATTTTTCTTATTGCCATCTTTCTATTAAACTCATTAACTTTCCTTTCACTTTTTCTGCATACCTTACTATGTTTCACAGTAATTGCTTTTCTGTGAATATTCTATTGCTCTCCTCCTCAAGGGAAAACATTCTGTTGTCTATTCATATGTTTTTTTCTCTTCCTTCAGTTAATTTACTGAGCTCTAGCTACTATTTACTCTCAAGGTGAACTTCCTGCATTTATTATTAAAAAGTGACATCATGTAAGAGTTCAATTCTCTAGGTTATAAAAGACACAGGTATGGTGTTATTATGATGTAAATGTATTATACCCTATGGCAAAAGTAAATCCTTTCTTCTTCCCCAAAGAAGATTGCTGCCAATGTTTTCTGGTTTTATTTATTATCAGATTTTTAAGGTATTACTGCATGTCGGTCTGTACTGAAATATGCAAAGGAATAACGTTCTTGTCTCATGGTTTATCTCTTGTGTTTTTTTTTCATAATCACTTCCAATAGTGTCATTAAATAATTCTATTAATTTACACTTAAGAAAAAAACAAAGTGGCACAATAGATGTTTCAGCTCTTCCATTACCAATATTCTAGTGAAATTCATTGTAATGCCTGCAGCATGAAACATTTATGATTAATATCAAATTTATTTAAAAATTATACATAATTTGTTAGATTATGTGAGACTTCCTGGCCTTGTCAAACAGACTTTAGTATTGTCCAGGCACAATGAGGAGAGAAGTGTATGTGGAGAGAGAGCAAGCCAACACAAGTCAGCTTGCCTCTTCCTGTGCTAAGAAAGAGAAATTGGCTGTCACTGCAGTAAGCATAAACCTGGCTAAAGGGGAACCATAAAAACGTGTGATGGAGGTGACTTTTCTGTCTCCTGCCAAATAAAGAATGATACTAGCTCCCTCCAAACACAAAAGGAAGAGTGAACCGAAAAAGCACCAGATAAATGTTAATGCTTGCGAGTCAAGAACTCCTTTGAAAAATCTCTCCTAAAGGGGGAAAAGTAAACAAAAGAATACACATTCATATTTTTTCTACCACTTTTGCAGCTGAACAGACCCTTGCTTGCAGCAGCAATTTATGGACCCTAAGTTAAAACTTTTTTCATGTAAGAAAGTAAAATGTTAGAAAGGAAAACCTTACGTTTTCTACCCCAGATCTAGATCTCTAGTGAACGCATAAGACTGAAAGAAAGAAATTGACTTTCTTGGATGGAATTTTACTGAGTCACAGTCAATTGATACTTTTTAAAAATCCTTAAATTCATTTGTTGATAAAATAATTCAGGAAAAGTACAACTTAAAGTCAGACTGTTAATTCCACATACTTTAAACAATTTTGCTTGCTAGAATTTAGAAATTAAAGGTGCAAACCCATTTGCACTTAACCTCAGCTAGGGTTTAGGCTGCTCTTATCTATCCAAAGTGACTCTCTGCATGAGAGGAATTAGATTACAAATCTCATGACCTTCCATCATGCATAGGTTAGGCAGAGAAGCCACTTGCTTATTTTAAACAATAGAGTCATGCACCACATAATGACTTTTCAGTCTCAATGACAGACTGCATATACAACAGTGGTCTGATAAGATTATAATAGTGTATTTTTAGGTACCTTTTCTATGTTTAAATATGTTCAGATACACAAATACCACTGTGTTAAAATTGCCTACTGTATTGAGTTCAGTAACATGTTGCACAGGTTTGTAGTCAAGGGGAATAGGTTATGCCATGTAGCCTAGGTATGTAGTAGGCTATACCATTTAGGTTTGTATAAATATACCCAATGATGGTTGCATAATGACAAAATCACCTAATGGCACTTTTTTAATTTTTATTTATGTATATTTATTTTATTTATTATTTATTTTTGAGACAGTCTTGCTCTGTCGCCCAGGCTGGAGTGCAGTGGCGCGATCTCGGCTCACTGCAAGCTCCGCCTCCTGGGTTCATGCCATTCTCCTGCCTCAGCCTCCCCAGTAGCTGGAACTACAGTCACCCGCCACCACACCTGATTAATTTTTTTGTATTTTCAGTAGAGACGGGGTTTCACCATGTTAGCCAGGATGGTCTTCATCTCCTGACCTCGTGATCCGCCTGCCTCGGCCTCCCAAAGTGCTGGGATTACAGGCGTGAGCCACCGCGCTGAGCCCTTATTTATTTTTTGAGATGGAGTCTCGCTCTGCAGCCAGGCTGGAGTGCAGTGGCACGATCTCGGCTCACTGCATCCTCTGCCTCATGGGTTCAAGCGATTCTCCTGCCTCAGCCTCTGGAGTAGCTGGGACTACAGGCGTGCTCCACCACACCCAGCTAATTTTTGTATTTTTAGAAATAGAGACAGGGTTTCACCATGTTGAATGGCACTATTTTTAGAATGTATCCCCTTAGTTAAGTAGTGCATGCCTATATATTCTATATCATATGTATGTATTTTTTAAGCTTGTTTACAACTCATTATTTATGTGATAGTACCAGAGAAGTCTTATCATTATAGTTTCTTCTTGGCTTCTTTATGCAGAAGACTATATGTGCTAAGAAAAAAACCTTTAATATACAATTAAAAATATCCTCTGTATAAGATCTATGCTCACTTTGAATGTACATACATTCTAAAAAAAATTTATAAAATACAACCGATTTCTTTGGTCACGTTAAGTGGAAGCATGGCTTATTAAATGAAAACTCCATAAGAGAAAGGAAGCTCTCCCACTTGGAGCGATTTTTGATGCTGATGCCATTAATGATCTTCCAATAACTAACACTAATTATCTTGGCAATAAGTTTCTGCCTTACTCAGAAATAAAAGCTTATGATCCCTTAGGGATATGGACTCGACAGAGGAGTTCAACTCCACAGCAACTGAGCGGGCAGACTATGTCAGAATGTCAGACTGTGAACTTGATGTAAGAATGTTAAGAGAGGAAGATCACTAGTCTTTGTGATTTTGTGATCATTAAGTCACTTTTAGTATGAGAGCTGATTTCACAAATTACATACGAAATACCTTCACTAAAAATTTTACCTTCACTAAAAATACCTTACACTCAGAAATACCTTCACTAAAAAAAGGAAGACACATCCCTCTATCAGATTAATGTTTCTCAACTTCATTTTTTACCTTTTCCTAGGAGCATTCATGAACTTTTCTTTTTCCAAGTCATTGCCTTCCATTAAATTTTAATGCCACAGTTATACTGTGTATTTATTTACTATATTTATATCCATACTTTATACCTAAGAGTATAATCTTATTATTATTTTACGTAGCCAGTTTTGGTCCCTGAGGGACAATATAACTCCCATTACTCAACTGTTGCTTGACAGAAAGAAAAATTATTCCATAGAGGAATAATACTTTTTTCTTTAGATTCTAGATACCCACTCTTTCCTTCACTTTTTCTTAGCTAAAGATAACTTTTATTGAAAATCTATTTCTCAAAAAAATCATTTCTAGTTAAATACAATATAGTTACTGAAAAGTGGGTAGAGTTTGACTGCTAACTGTGCATTGAAAATTGCTAATGCTATACCTGTAGCATAGAATCTTGTTAGTTCTATTACCTTTCTTCTAGAATTTTGCTGTATATTTTAGTCAACGCTGAATATCTCTACCTGAAGGACCCTCAGCTACTTTAAGGCAAAATGTGCACTGTACCTTTTCTTTCATAGAAAATTGATCTTTGTCAAAACTACTACTTCTCATGCATCCACCACTTCTATTTCTCCTATATGTATACTGACTTCAGGTTCATAATCTCTGAAATTTATATGATTTCTTATATTTATTCTTTGCTCATCATTTACACTCTGCCTGTGTTAAATCGACTCTCCTCCTCCCATATATACCTTATTGAATTATTCTGTTATCTCTCTGACTCCAGTTTTGACTATGAACTCAGTCATCTTCACTGTTTCTTGGATAATTTCACTAGTACAGAAATCTATTTATATGATTCCTCTTTTTTGAAATGACTCCCCATTTCTCAAGAAACAATGTGAAACCTCTTCAGCTGAACATATGGACCTGACCCTCGTTCTGACATATCCAGTTTTATATGTAACCACTTCTATGCAATTTCAAAGCAATATTAAATTATGTCAATTTCTGCAATTACTCCATGTGGTTATACCTTTCTGAGGCTTTGTATATGACTGCCAACCCCGCAGCCTTCTTAAGTGAGCCTTCTCAACCTTCAAAGTCCAGTTCATGCCCTACTTCTATGAAGCCTTCCTCTACTCTCCAGGTGGAGTTTAAGCTCAAACTGTGCTACTTTGTTATTTAATAGTGACTTCAACTATAACAATTATAATATTTGTCAAATATTTTTATGTCTGCCTCAATTATGCTTGATGGCAAGAAAAATTTAATTCGTTTTTATATCTACATCAGGTGGTCCAACTCAATGTTTCCTCACATAATGAATAATGAATAAATGAATTAATAAATGTATTATTAATAAATGAATGAAAAATTGGGAGGAGAAAATATGGCTAGAATGAAAGAATTTAACAGCAACCACCACCACCACAAAATCAAAATAGCAAAAAGTCACTAAGCAATTTAAATTATTCCCATAGCAATAAAATGCAAAGCAATTTTATATTCATTCTCTAAATTAATATAATCTCTGGGCTTTCAAAAAAAAGCCAACTAGTCTATCTATTCAGTGATAAATTAATTATGCTTTCTTAGTGAGGGATATAGTAACCTTGTAAATGTCTGAATCCATAAGCCAATAAGTCTTTTCACAAAATTTAACAGTGTGTTTGCTAGTGTGCTGATATTGTTATCATATGCTTACAGGTAGTTCCAAAAACGTACCTTAAAAAATGAAACGCCCCAAAAGATGTACTGGAAATATTGAAGTAAAATTATTTTCTCTTTTCTAGAGTTAATTTTAATATCTCATGCTATCCCAAAGATAAATGAGCCAATTTTCTATAAAATTATTAATCCTACCAATTATATAATACCAAAATGTCTGATATCAGCATTATCTGCTTAAACTAGAATAAGTAACTCATTCAACTAAAAGGATTTGCATTTATACTTGAAGCTTGTCACTGGAGTACTTGGACCCAAGGATTTGTTATTTCTCTTTTTTTCCCCTAGTCAAAGTCTGTCTTAAACATATTCCCCATCTAAGCCTCATTTTGATAGTTATGAGACATTTTGATTATTCTTTTGAAAATAAAAAAGTATCCAGTGCCTGTCAAATCTCTAAAGTTTTAGTCTGATGTGAGTTTTAAAAAAGAACTGAATTTTTAGTTGTACAGATGATTAATGACAGAAGTCTGTGCACTGAAACACAAAGGAGGAGGTTAATGGGCCATACACACTTAACTAGAATATTATGGAGGAACTGGAAAATGTCACATATTGAACAAATGCAGCATTAATCCAAGCTTCCCTGAAAGTTATTCATATAGCACATTTTAGGTAATAAAAAAAAATAAAAGGTATAAATTGAAATAGATAAAATTTAAAAATAAGATTAAAGATATAAGGAAAAGAAGAAAACTTCCATTGGTGGTAGTATATATGCATCATTTTGTCTAGCTAGATGATGTAAGGGATCAACTGTTATTTGTATTATCTGTTCCTCTGTCAGACCTGAATTCGGAGCAAGGAAAAAATGAAAACAATTATGTGAGCACACTATGCAGTTTGTGGTCTAATTTTATTAAATTATTTGTATTTGATCTGAATGTCAAAATTACTCGCTCGACCAAATTACTAGTTTACATATCAAGCATGCTTTCATCATTATCTACACCACCATGTCCTAGTTTGTTGAGATTCAATATCTCGATGCTAATTATCCTTATGCCATTCTTCTCCTCTTCTGAGAGTTCACGTCTTCTCTCAATTCATATCCTATTTTTGTTGTCCACATCTTTCCTGTTCTATTTTTAGAAGTGAATACAACAGAAATATGTATGTGGTCAAACGTCAAGACAAATTTCAAAGCAGAAAAAAACCTGAGGTGTAAACAATTTATTACACTTGATATAGATTCTTTTTTTATGTGTTTCATTTATTTGGACTATTTATCCCAATTTGTTTCTTGTTAGGACTGCAGGTGAAACTTTCAAGCTATAGCTTATTTTTAAAAATATAGAACCAAATGTATTTTCTTCTGGAACACCTTGGCTTACTTTATCCACTTTCAATATAAAAAGTTTGATTTAATATACAGCAAGCTATCATGGGACGTATGACTGTTTGTGGAAAGGGTTAACCAAAATCATCAATGTATGTGTATCCATAGAAACACAGATTGTCAGTAATTAGGCAGCCCAGGGTTGATTTCCTTCCTGTACCAAACAATCTAGGTGATTTCTAAAATCTCCACAGCAAATGTGAACAAAATTATGAGGCAGAAAAAAAACTAAGAATTAGACAAACACATCTGCTAGTGACTGCCGGATAAAGTACCTTAAAGAAGTTGCGAGGACTGTAGTCACATGTATACTTAACTTTGAAATTTTAAAATATGAAAAAAATACTTGTATGAAAAATATAAAATAAATGCATCATTACATTAACTAAATAGAGTCAGTTATATTGAGTTTCATTTTCCCTACTGATTACCTACTAAGTTGCTTCCAGTTTTACAGTATTTCGTACTGCCATTCCTAGACTCATATCTGGACTGTTTCACGGTATCGACTTTAGAGAATATAGAGGGATAATCTTGGAAGTAGAGAAACAATATTGTTCCATTGATTTTAAAATTATATATATATATATATATATATATACACAAATAGTCAAAAAGTCATTTTAGCCAAAATGAATTCCATGTCAATGAAAATAAAATAACGAAATGATACCATCAATCAAAAAGAGATGAAAAAATGGAGGAAATGAATATTGGAAAATAGAGTCACTGACTTAATTGTTGGATTTCTAGTGAAGCAGGCAAACAAATTAAATTCTCTTCTGTAGAGTTATCCTATCTAGGGCCACATGTCTTTAACCTGGCACCAACAAAGTACTAAAACCATACAACAAAACATTATTTTATTAATTCCATATTCATCAAATGATTTTCTGGTATACAGTTGGGTCCTCATGTAACTTTGACTATCTAGAAAGAACACTTTTGTTAATTTAAAAGGAATATTTCAGTTCCTACAGCATTTCTTTACATTAACTGGTTTAAACACCAATCTCCGTTAGTTAACGTTAGTGTACCCCTAACAAAAACTGGATTAATAATCAGGTATCTGGGCAGGAAATGCTGTGCCTCAGGGTCTACTAGCAGTGAATGAGTAAGGAAATGATTCTTTGTGTCTTTATGTAGTAAGACATTCACAGCTTCTGTTTTACAAAGCATAATTATAGCTACCAATATTTTGGAGCCATAGATCATCAGTAGGAGGCCATATTCGTGTGCAGAACATTTGATATAAAAAGTTAAGGTTCCAGTCTATTTTCTGTTATGATAACTTTTCTAATTACATGGTATTATATTTTCAGATGAGTACACACAATGAAAACAATTAAAAC
This sequence comes from Homo sapiens, assembly GCF_000001405.40. Lineage (NCBI taxonomy): Eukaryota > Metazoa > Chordata > Mammalia > Primates > Hominidae > Homo > Homo sapiens. The sequence continues at coordinate 22,575,200 of NC_000017.11, read as the reverse complement.
AAAATTACCATTCACAGTTTTGCCTTCTTTCCATCAAATTGGTCTCATGTCATATAAACGTAGTTTATTTTAGAGATGCAGTGTTCCTTTGTATTCATAACATCATCACTCAAGATGGTAATTATTATGGTGAACATTTGGGTCATTAGACTGGCTTAAACTTTAACAGACTGCTATGAAATTGGATCTTATCCTTAAGCTCCAATGTCTCTATGGCCCTGATAATGTTAAAAATGCAGTCCTCATTGTACCTAACCTTAGGAAATGAATAAATGGCTATTTGGAGTCCTGGCTCCCTTTGTGCTTTTATATTCCTGAGGGCCTGGTTTTATAATACTTCACAGAATATTTCAAAAACTAATTGTGAAATATTTGGATGTAAGTTGATTTGGATGTCCCTGATTACACAACATCTGCATGTAAGATAGTACACTATTTTCAATTATGATTTTGTCAAGTTCTCAAAATACAGGATTGACTTTTAACTGGAACTATTTCTGTGTGCTGGCATAATACCTTTTGTGCTATTTTCTATTTATTCTGTATATTAAAAAGGGATATTAATTAACTAAAAGGGTTTTTGTGCTTATTTTAGACAATAGAGAAAGGTATTATGAAAGTTTACTCATAAATATGCTGGATAGTCATATCATAATAAAGTATGACATTCTTTTATGTATCTCTCCCCAAGGGTAAAGATCATTCAAGCAGAACTATCTCCTGTATCAGTATGTATTCACCTAAATAGACTGTTTTGCTTAAATTTTAATGAAAAGTCATGCTTACACTACTGCATAATTTTGTATATGCAAGGATATTTATCTGTTCAAAGTAGAGTAGAGATGTAGTTGACATGAAGGGATGTCTGCCTAGTTCACAGAAGTATGACCATGAAAATATCATTTCTATGATACTCCCTTGTTAGGGAGCTATCCCTTTCTCACTCCAACCTTGAAACTGTAATGTCAGAGATTACAGTATCTACTTCCCTGTGCAGTACTTTTTGATCCAAGTAATATACCCATAATCTGAGAATAGTCAAAGTGCATCTCAGATTTTTCAAGAGTTGGAGAGTGTGAAGGTTTCACTTCTGATGGTATATGTTGTAAGAACGAGTCTGTATCTGTCAGTGCCACATCAAGTAAGATGGAATAAGAATAAAGCTAATGCTCAGAGAAAGGGGAATGAGAGTTAGAGGGATTGACTATTTAAAATCGGTCCTGAGGTCAGACCCACAAATGCATTTTCTGTTATTTTATTTCAATACTGATAAAACCTTCCTTTTATGGTTAGTTCAAATTAGTTTTTTTTTTCAATTTCAATTGAAATAACAGGTGTAAAAAACCACAAAAGTACCCCATTTCTCCTTGCTAATGTATTATTCTGAAGTTAGACTGATGTTGAAATGCTCGAGGTCAACCTAAAATGATACTGTTTTACTGATGCCTTCATTTTTAGTATATTTTCCTTAGATTTCACAAGAGGTAAAAACATCTACTATAGATGGGTTACTTTTTGAGGTTGCTTGTAGTCTTCATATCTGGTGTGTGTGTGGCTGGGACAGTGGAACACGATGGAAAGACTGAAAATGATACAATTCCAAAAAGATGTTTTTACAGTGTGAAGCCTAGCCTCAGAGTAAAATCCCAATACTATCATGCAAAAAATTACTAGGTTTGCACTAAGTATGAATAGGTTGGAAAACTAAAAAGGCCTATGAGGCCCTATAAGAACCACCTTATTAGTGATTAATAAAGGTAAAGGTAAACTAGAACAGAAATAAAATGCAGGAAATCATTGAAAGTCTGTCTTTCAGGAACAGAGCCTTTCTCCCTAAAGATCCTTTCTCAGCCTCACGGACACATTTTATCTGTATATTCTGAACCTTCAAGATTTGAGCTTACTATAATAATTTAAGGGAAGTGCAGAAAAGTCTTTATAGCAGGCTCTCTCATACACTGTTGGTCATACACTTCTTAAGTCAAGTTGTGTAAACCATCAAACTAAACATTCTCAACGATGTAGACCAGTTGGCACTAAACTTAAAGCAACATATTAATGAATCACTAGCACATGCCATTTTCATCTTGCTCACGGGTCAGTGTTATGTTTCCAATGCATCTCTAGATATAAATATCAAGCTGTTCCAGTCCAGCTGTAAAAGAATCCTCTCCTATGTAGCCATACATTAACATGTATGAGAATATAAGATGCGTTCAGGAAAAAGTATCAAAGGATTGAGAAATCTACATTAATTTTAAAAAGAATTAAGAGAAGACCAGGCTATATTTAATGTCATCAAAGATAATTCTAGTGCATTGGCATTATTTTTTCACGTGCCTTTTCTCTTTTCCCCTTGATTCTCTCTTATCTAACTAGTTTTAATCAATTTTATAGAATTATAATTTGCGTGTAAGGCACACATTTTAGTCCAGTTCAGTTTTATAAATTTATAAAGCTTGATAATCACCTACATAATCAAATATGGAATGTTCCCTTCACCTACACATTTATTGCATGAACTTTGCCAATGAAATTCCCCACTTTAACCCCAGAAAAGTTTAAGGTATTGTGTCTTTATATAATTTCAAATTTTATCTACATGGAAGCATACAGTATTTATTTAGTATCTACCTTCTTTCCTCTAGCATATGATAAAAATTCACTTTTTTTGTATAAAGGAATGACAATCCTTCAATTGTAAAAACTAAAGAACATGCCACCCAACTAATCACATGCCTTAGGGTATATTTCTGAAAAATAAGATACATATTTTAAAGGCAACTTTATTAAAACTCAGGGCTACTAAAGTATATATACAAATACAAAAATAAAAAATAAAGTTATGTTTCAAGGCCAGGCACAGTGGCTCACGCCTGTAATCCCAGCACTTTGGGAGGCCGAGGCCAGCGGATCACGAGATCAGGAGATCGAGACCATCCTGGCTAACACGGTGAAACCCCGTCTCTACTAAAAATACAAAAAAAGTGTCCTGGCGTGGTGGCAGGCGCCTGTAGTTCCAGCTACTCAGGAGGCCCAGGCAGGAAAATGGTGTGAACCCAGGAGGCAGAGCTTGCATTGAGCAGAGATTGTGCCACTGCACTGAACCTGGGCGACAGAGCAAGACTCCGTCAAAAAAAAATTAAATTAAAATTTTTTAAAAATGAAGAAACAACCCAGAGAATGGAAGCAAGTATTTGCAAACTATGCATCAGGCAAGGGGTTCATACACAAAATAAAGAACTCATCAAAATCAAAAATACAAATAATCTTATTTTAAAAAATCTACCCCAAACCTTTGTCCCCCAAAATTATTTCCCTACCTTCTTTTCCCGACCGCCTTTAGCCCCCTCCCTCTCGCCACCCTTTTTCTTCTGCCATCTGCCCCCAAACTTCACCATTTTTTGCCCACCCTCATTTCACAAAGCCTTCTCTACTCTCCTGCTCAACACTCTTTTCCCCATCCATCTACCCAAACCCTTTCCCCAGTTTCTTCCCACCGTCTTTTCCCCTTACCCTGGCCACCCTCTTTTTCCCCCTCCCACTCTCACCACCCTCTTTTGCTCCTTCATCTAAGCAAAAACATTTTCCCCCGTCTTTTCCCTAAACCTTCTCCCCACTCCTGCTGCTCACCAACCTCTTTTCCCCTTCATCCACCCAAAAACTGTTCTCATCATCATCTTTCCCCCGTTCCTCCTTGCCATTCTCTTTCCCTTCTCCATCTACCCAAAAACATTTCCACCCCCCGTCTTTTCACAAAGCCTTCTCCCCACTCCTGCTCACCTCCATCTTTTCCCCCTCCATCTACCCCCAAAAACTTTCCCCACCATCTTTTCAAAGTCTCCTCCCTTTACCGCTCATGCTCTTCTTTCCCCATCCTGCTTGCCACCCTCTTTTTTGCCCTCCATCTACCCCAAATTATTTTTCCGTCGTTTTCCCAACCCTCTATCCCTGCTCCCTCTTGCTACCCTCTTTCCTCGTCACCCTCTTTCCCCCCTCCATCTATCGAAACACTTTTCACCCACCGTCTTTTCTTTGTCCATGGTCTTTCTTTTCTGCCACTGTCTTTTCACAAAACTTTGTCTTCCTCCTGCTGGCTACCCTCTTTTTCCTTCTCCCACTTGCTGCCCTCTTTTGCTCCTCTACCCAAAAACCTTCCCCCCCCACTCTATTTTCACCCCACCATCTTTTCACGAAACCTTCTCTCCCTACTGCTCACCCCCGTTTTCCCCCATCATCTCCCTCTTTTTCCTCCTCCCACTTGACGCCCTCTTTTCCCCCTCCATCTACCTTTAAACTTTTTACCCACCGTCTTTCTGCAAAACCTTCCTTCCTTCCCACTCCCCACCCTGTTTTTCTGCCTCCATCTACCCAAAAACTTTTTCCCCCACCATCTTTTCACTACCACCTTTTTGCAACTCCTTCTCTGACTAAGCTACCTTTTTTTCCCTTTGGCACTATCTACCCTCTTTACTCCCCTCCATCTATCCTAAAACTGTTTTCCGTCTCCTACCACTCCAGCCGCGCTGCCAGCTCCGTCGCTGCCAACAACCACAGCGAGGTGAGCCGCCGCTCCCACGGCTCCAGCCCCTAGCATAGGAGGCCAGTGACTCCTGATTCCTAGTCCTCTACACCGAGCAACTCCACAGGAAGATACATGAACCCGAAAAAACCTCATCCCTCTTCAGCATCATTTATATACTGCAGTTATGCCCAGGAGGGTTCCTGGGCTGCATGTTTTGAGTAGATGAGAAAAAACCTCCAGGCTTACTCTGATTGGACTTTATTATAATGTTGTAATTGGATGAGAGCAAGTCTTAACACAACAAATCACAGCATGAAAATAAAGTCCAATCAGAGTAGGCCTAGAGGTTTTTTTCTCGTCCTATCAGAACATGTAGTCCAGGAACCACATTTGCATTAACCTCGGTATATAAAGCATGCTGAGGTCGTGTCACGTCATTTCAGGCTCTTCTGTGCCAAGCAGAGGAGCTGCTCTGTGCCCAACTTAGAAAACTGGAAGAGGCCGCAACCTTCCGCTTGCTGGAGACTGGAGGATGGATGGAGCCTGGAGCCTGGGACACTACCTCGCTGCGGTTGGTGGTGGCGAGAGAGCAGTAGGAGGGCAGCCGGCAGCAGGAGCTTCTCCTGCTGGGCTGGAGGACTAGAACGAAGAGGAACCGCCACATGCTGGAGGCTGGAGCCTGTGCCACCGTGGCTTACCTCGCTGTGGTTGGTGGTGACGTCAGAGACTGCAGCTCGGCCACAGTGGTAGAAATGTGATGGGGTAGGTGAGTTTTCTGAGGCTGCCCCGTATGCCTCTGGGGACAAGGGTTGGGTGTCCTATTGGCGCTCACTGCTAGAGGCTACTCTGCCTGTGGCAGTGGTCTGGTTGGGGGCACTCTCCAGTGTTGCATTGCTGGTAGTGGGGCAGGTTGGCTGGCTATCCGGGGCTATACAGCCCATGGTGGCAGGGGTGGTGTCGGGGAGGCAGATTGTGTACACTAATGTGTACTGCAGGTGGCTGGGGAAGGATTAGGGGCACTATCTTCTGCTGCACTACCCGCGGCAGGGGGTGGGTTGGGTGGAGTTATCCGGGGCTACAATGCTGGCAGTGGGCGGTGGTTTAGGGGCGTTGTTGGGTGCTGCACTGCCTGTGACTGGGGAGTGCGCCATCAGGAGCTGAACTGCCTGTGGCTGGGTCAGATTGTGAGAACTACCGGGTGTTATGCTCCCTGAGGTGTGGAGGGAGTGCTTTAGGGGGATATTGGGGTTACATTGCCTGAAACTAGGGTGTGTTGGATGTGCTATCCGGGGGCTACACTACTAGTGGCAGGGGGCAGATTAGGGGTGCTATGGGGGCTACACTGCCAGTGGCGCTGGCGAGCTGAGGAGGTGGTGGCGGCAGTGACAGCAGTGGCCTCCTTCTTCTGGTGGTCTCCAAGTAAGGGATCGTTCTCTTCTCAGATGCCAGACTCTAGAAGGCAATTTTCTCCCGCTCGAGCTAGATTGCAGGGCAGGGCCCCCACACCCACTGTGGTTTTCTGGCCCGCCCTCATGCTCTGTGTTGGGAAGACCACCTGGGACTACCGGGTAGGTAGTAGGAGGCACCATGGGGGAAGTGGGGGACAGGGCACTTTGGGTGGAGGTGTCAGGAAAGGGAACCAGCTCTTGGGTGGGGAGGGCTGGCTGGGTCTGAGTTTCTCCTACTCAGGCTCCCTGAGGAGGGCAGCCTTGGTGGGCCCAGCAATTCCTGGCCAGCTGGACTTGGCCAGGGGCTGGTTTCAGTGAAGGCACTCACTCCCACCCCAGGCCCCAGTTCCTGGCCAGCTTTTGCCAGAAGAGGAGAGGCTGGACTTTGGAAGTGGGTGTGAGTGCCTTCAATGAAACTGATCCCTGAAACCCAGTCACCAGCATGACAAGGTGAGGCTCTAACGGTTGCACTCCCTGAGTCCCGTTTTGGGCTTTTCTAGCTTTGCCTGCCCAGCTGCTCCAAGCCAGGCTGCAGGAGGAGAAGGAGGAGTCGCCAGTGGTATGGTCGAGCAGATGACATGGCTCTGAAACTTGCCTCATGAAGTTGGTGGTAGAGATGGAGACTGCAGCTCAACTGGAGCGGTAGGAGGGCACCCACGGGGACCAGGTGGTAGGAGCCTGGTAGGGTGGGCTGGTACATTGAGGGTGACAGTGGTTGTATTGGCATCGGCGCTAGTGGTGGTAGCAGTAGGAAGTCTGGGGGCTGGGAAGGGGGAGTAGGAGCACTGCAGGGCCCATCCCGTTCTGGGGTGGGGAGGAACCTGTGGGTGTTGTAACGAAGGCCTCGGTGGCAGTGGTGGTGGTACATATAGGGCAAAGAGGAGTCCTCCCCCTTCTCCTGCAGTCTCTGGAGGGTGCCCTCCTCCTGCTGGTGCCCGAGCTAGGCTTGAGTGGCAGCATTATCTCATTCCTAACCAAATTTAGGGGGTGACTATTTGTGTATCCTTTTGCTTGTTTTTTGTTGTGATACTCTTGGAGTTACTCAAATTTTATGAATCGAGGAGGGGATAAAAGGTATCATAATAGGCCTTTTAATTCCCACACCTGTTCTTTTTCCTTTCTTCCATTGTGTATTTTCTTCTCATTTTCTTGATACTCTTCATTTTCTTTTGCTACTGCTTCTATGTCATGTTTGTATTCTTGTTTCTCCTCCTGTTTTTGTTTTTTTTATGCCAAGCAACGCCCTTAACAAACCAAAACTGAGTTAAAAATAAAATACTTGTCACTGTGTTTTTTAAATAACTGATCCCTATGTTTTAGAGATGAGGAAAAAAAAGTCAGTTGTATAATTAGTTACTTGAATAGCTATGCTTTCGTAATTGTGTTAACCCACTTATGCCTAGTGTTCCACGCCAAGCACGTGGGAATTACTTGTATCCTACTGCTAAATGTCATCGACAAGGTCTAATTTTTCACTTATGCAAAAATTCAAAAAGTTGCAACCTCTCGCATAAATGGGCTAATGCGTTGTGTTCTTCAAGGAATCAAAAAATGAAGCATCACATAAAATATTGGTAGCAAACAGCCATTTCATGTCTCTCACATATTTTTTCTGGAGCTATTCAGGAGTCACAGGGGTAATAAGTTCTAATTTATGAGATGATTAAGTGAACCATATTCCCTTCATTTTTTTTCTCTGCCACCATTTTCAAGAGTATTGTCATCTGCATGAGCAAAGGGTTCATCACCACATCTTTGCAAGAGGAAAAAGAAGGGGGAAGAATCATGTGTATAATGTTGTAAGGCAAAGATTCACAATGAAAAACAAGGTTTTATTAACTTTCACCTTTAAAAACCTGCAGAGTTTAGCCCTCTTTGATTCCTAGTATTACTACCTTTGGTATGAACTCCTTTTTTAAACTGATCACTCTAGAAGTTTATGCATTTTGTATCATTTTTCAAGCCAACAGAAATGTGTAAGGCCTATAATTCTGACACTTTTTAGTTATTTTTAAGGCTATGAGCATGTAAGATACGGTTGATATAAGGAAGAATATGTATAAATACCACTAGGTAGCTTATTTAGAAGAGACCATATCTAAATTTTTGTCCAGAGTAGATTGATTGTCTTAGGTGTGTTTCTTAATACGTTGCCTCAGTGTCTTAAAACATGTAGAAATTTGAATACAGTTTTAACTTCATATAGTCCTTTGTTTATAGGTTTAGTATTTCTAAAGACTAAAGACATCTTAAAGCTCCCTTTAAGATTCAGTAATATTAATAAAATTTTAGAAGCATAGGGTTAGAATCCAACAAATTCAGAAGAAAATTGTTAAATTATATAGCTGTAGAGCAGGAATGAAACCCAGGTTCTAAGCTCTAAGGGGGCCATGAAGTACCATACAGGTGCATCAGTGACTGGGCATAGGTTAGGCAAAATTACAGGATGGTTAAGAGAGTGAGCTGTGGAGCCCAACTCTATGTAACATGCATTTTTAAACTGCATGATGCCTCAGTTTATCCATCTTTACAGTGGGGACTGTAGTTTTTCTTTTTCTACTCAGTTGTCTGTCTTGTTGCCAGTGTTCCCTAGTCTGTCTTGTTGCCACTCAGTGCCCACATGAGAGGATCTAAGGTAATTTCTGACAGGCTGGGACTCCTTAAAGAAAAACAGAAGGTGCTACAAAACCCATTTTAGGAGAAACCTCTTTGTCCTCATGGAATCCCAAGAACTTCAGGCAGACAGGTCTCTCTCAAAATGTAAAGCTCTCCCTTGTTTTGCTTTGTGTTATCTGACCTTTTAGGTTTGGATGGGGATCAGAAATCAGTCGGGGAGGGAGATGTAAAGAAAGTTGTGGATATGAAGATGTATTTATGGTAAGAAAGTTATGAAGGAAATAAATGTTACAAGAGAGAGGATCTTGTATGGCAAATTCTTGTCCTAAAGTAGAATGACTAATTATGAAAGAGGGAAATACAGGAAAAGTCAGAAAGTTCATGTCATAGATGGTCTATGGAAGTTGTGTTAGGATTCATAAAATGAGAAAGAAAAACTTACAACTGCTAGATCGTTTCCTGTCTAGAAGTGTTGTGTATGTATGTATATATATAAAGGAGCCCTAATTACTTGGCTTAGAAGAAAAGGAAGGCTCTTACATATTTTGTCAGAAAAATAGAATCTCCAATGCCTTTTATTTCACATGACTTCAGTAATCTTTGGGAAATAAAGACAGTGTTAAAATCATTGGTAAAAAAATCATCAAAATTTATCCATTTTGTCTAATTTAAGTCAGAGGTTAAATTTTAGAAGTGCTTTAACGTCATAAATTGATTGACTTTGGAAAATTGTTCTGTTTACCTGGTTTGGAGCTGTTCAACTTCTAGGTAAGGCCTGGGGACAGGTGGAGTTAGCCATGTCTCCTAGCTATGCTGGAAAGACTCAGACTTTACCTATAGTTCTGTCTTGTATCCTATACACTGCACCTGGTACGTTATTAAAACTTCCTGCTGCTTCTAATCTCTGAGTTCCACTTAAAATTTTTCCATCACATGAATACTATCCCCTGCACTAAATTTTTCCACAATTAAATACTTAGAATCATTTTTGCCCACTTGACCCAAGCATTAGTGATATATCTTTAAAATACTTATAATGTGTCACAGTATGTTTAGCAAATGTAGCGAATGGCATTTTTACTTTTGTCAGCATTTACATAGCATTTATGTAGCAATGCTATCTCAAGTATTTTTAGTCATTTCAATGTTACATAATATGCTTTTGATTCCTTTGTTTCTATGTAAATAAATATGAGATATTCAATAAATAGTATCAATTAATGTTTCATTTCTAGAATATACTTATGATTATTTTTAAACACTACATTGTATTTACTTGTTGGCTTTATGGTAAGTTAGAAATAATATTTTGGATTAACTGTGTGCCTCATGAGAGAGGGAGTTTGTGCGATTATAATCTTTACAAATTTTTACTTGATTTTCAAGACTTACACTACAACTGTTAGAACAAGGTAATAAATAAGCATATCTATTAATATCAACTCTTGGCTAGACCCAATGATAGTGTAGGAATTAACATAATTTTTCCTACTAAAGGTATTGGATTTGTTTTGAGAGACCGCAGTTTAAAATCATTGACATAGAAAGTTTAAAAATTGTTAAATTTTTTAAATGCCTTTGAAATTGTTTTATAGAAAAATAATTATCCTAGTTTAGATTGGTAGGTTTTTTTTTTAAATAAGGACTAGACCAAGAGAAAGGGAGAGTAGTGATAAATGTCCAGGTTTTCAAGTTGAAAAGTGAAAATCAGTGTATTGCAACAGATGGATTTCATGTCAAATTACAAATGCTGAAAACATTGTATGTAATCTACTATCCAGAGTAATTATACAAGGCCAAGAAATGAAAGGCATCCAAATAGGAAAGGAAGGGGTGAGATCGTCTGTGTTTTCTGAAAATGTAATCCTAACATAAAGAAAATCTTAGACTCCACCAAAAAAACCCGTTAAAGCTGATAAACACATTCAATAAAGTTGAGAGTTACAAAATTAACATACAAATAGTATTCTTGTTTCTAAACACCCATGATAAACTATCTGAAAAATAAATTAATAAAGTAATTACATTTATAGTAGCATCAAAACAAATATATAAGTAAATAAAATACTAAGGAGTAATTTTAATGTAGGATGTGAAAAATGTGTATACTGAAAATTATAGCACATTGATGAAAGTTGGAAGTGACATAAATAAATAGAAAAATATCCTATATTTATGAACTCAAAAAATAATATTGTCAAAATCTCAATGCTACCCAAAGCAATCTACAGATCTGATATTTGATAAAGCAAACAAAACATAAAGTGGGGAAAGGACACTCTTCAATATATGGTGCTGGGATAATTGGCAAGCATCATGCAGAAAAATGAAACAGTTCTTCAAAAGTTTAAGTATAGAATTACCACGTGACTCAGTAATTCACTCCTATGTGTACACCAAAAAAATTAAAACAAACGTCTACACAAAAAGTAGCATACAAGTATTTATAGCAACAAAAAGTAGGAAACAACAGAAATGTTCATCAATTGAGGAGTAGATTAATAAAATGTGGCCTGTCCATAAAATACATTACTTGGCAATGAAAAAGAAAAAGGTATTAATACATGCTCCAAAAAGGATGAACATTGAAAACATAATAAGTGAAAGTAGTGAGACACATGTAACTATATATTATTATGATTCCACTTACATGAAATGTCTAGGATAGGCAAATCCTTCCAGAATAGGCAAATCCTTAGTTAGGAAGTAGATGGATGGTTGCCTAAGGCTGGGAGGGGTTTAAAGAAAGAGTAGGGAAAATGAGGAAAGATTGCTAATGGGCGCAAGGTTTCTTTTAAGGAGCATAAAAATGTTCTAGAATTATGTTGTGGTGATTGCATATTCACCCACTTAATGCACTAAAAAATTGAATTTTATACTTTATATGAGTGAATTAAATAATATATAAATTATATCTCAATGAACCTGTGAAAAAAGTTAAAAAATATGTGGTATGCATACACAAAATTTCTTCATTTTATTTTATTTCCATAGGTTTTTAGGGAACAGGTGGTGTTTGATTATAAGAGTAAGTTCTTTAGAGGTGATTAGTGAGATTTTGATGCACCCAACACCTGTGCAGTATACACTATCCAATTTGTAGTCTTTTATTCCTCACGCCCCACACCCTTTCTCCCAAGTCCCCAAAGTCCATTGTAGTAGTCTAATGCCTTTGCATCCTCATAGCTTAGTTCCCGCATACGAGCGAGGGCATACGATGTTTGGTTTTCCATTCTGACGTTACTTCACTTAGAATAATAGTCTCTGATTCCATCCAGGTTGCTGTGAATCCCCATTATTTTTTCGTTTTGTGGCTGAATAGTATCCCCATATATTTATTTTTTTATATCACAATTTCTTAATCTACTTATTGATGGGCATTTGGGCTCGTTACATGTTTTTGCAATTGTGAATTGTGCTGATATAAAATAAGACATGGACAGGATGCTGAGGAGGGCATCAACAAATTTCTACATACAAGTATTTTATAGCATTGCTTTGAAATATTTGATTCTTATATTTATTTTAATGGATGCAAAATTGTTGGGCAGAGCAGTGTTCAAAAGTAGCTAGTATGAACAAACAATTTTTGCCTTATATTCCAATTTTTTCCTTTCTTGTGTAATGATAAACAAGACAGAGATCTTCATCAAATTTTGTACTTTTTATCTGTACCGAATTCTGATAATATATATTTTATTTATTTATTTTATCATATTTTTTTCTTCAAGGTGGGTTGAGCTGATGACACACACAAAGACATACACTCAGATTCATATGCACACACATCCCAAACAAAACACTCAAAAGAGATCTAATTAACCTATTGCCCAAACATTTTCAAATCTAAAATAAGTGTATGATTTTGTTTTTTATTAAATATAGTCGTTCATTCGCAGTCTTTATTATTTTGGTGTGAGTTACAGCTTGGAAGCATGTTTGGCTTATATAATCATATATATAATCTTGACAAGGTAAAGCAAGAACTGGCATAATTCACTGAAATGAAAGTGCTAATGGTTTGTATCAACACATCACAACTGGAAATAAAAAGGTTATTCACTTTTCATGGCAAACCTTGTCTTTTTCTCTATGGTTCATGGTCTAAGGCTTTTTTTTTAGACACTTTGATATTTCTTCAAAACTATTTGGAAAAACCTTTATTATTGATAAAGTATTGAGAATCAGCCCGCTTGTTTCATATAATTGAGTAGATATATTCTAGAGAGTTAAATCATATATGTTAGATTTAAATTTAACTTTTATATTTTAGATCTTAAACTCAACCTTACATATTATTAATTTCCATATTTCAAGTAATATCACTGCTGATTCTCTGCCCCAGATGGATGGTTCTTTCTTCTATTTTTGGTATTATCCAGGCCCTTTCTCTATAATCTCTTTTCACAATAATTGTAAAATTTGACCCTTTGTCCTTCATTGTCTCTGAAAATAGAGAATTTTAAATTGAAATAGAGACTTATTATGATACCTTTCTAAATATAGTGTATTGATTAGTGGTAAAGTCTGGAAAGGCCTCTGGATTTGGACTGAGCCATGCTAACAACTTTCTTGGTTCTCCAGCTTGCACATGGCCTATTATGAGACTTCTTAGCCTCTGAAATCAGATAAGCCAATTCTCCTAATAAATGTCTTCTCTTCACTTCTTCTCTCGCTCTCTGTCTCTCTCTCTCTCTCTATATATATATATATATGTATACACACACACACACACACACACACACACACACATCTTCTATCACTTCTGTTTCTCTGGAGAACCCTGACTAAATCAGAGTTCTTAACAGTTTTATTTCCTCTGGAGAATAATATATGTACATCTTATATATGTAATTTAAATTACTACACATGCTACTTTTAATGTTATATTTATCAAAAAGCATGTAAAGTCTAAGATTATATGGGCCACCATTTAATGTTTTCCAAAAGGGAATTTTGAATAAAGTGAAATTGATTTTTTAAGAATAAGCTGAAAAATTAAGGACACTTACAAAACTCTAAAAACACAATTAAAATGCTACATTTTGATTAGAAATGATTTTTTAAAAATTTAAATGATAGCTTATGTATATCTTTTTCTCTATTGAATTCATAGACTGAGTAAAGTAGACTTCCCCAATGATGTGGGTGGGTCCCATCAATCAGTGGAAATCTTGAATAGAATAAAAAGGCTGAATTTCCTAGGAGTAAGAAGGAACTTCCTCCTACCTGAATGCATTGAGATGGGACATTGGTTTCTTCCCACCTTTGGACTCAAACTGAAACTTTGGCTTTCATTGAGTGTCAAACCTGCCAGCTTTCACACTGGAGCTATGCCACCATCTCTCCTGAGTCTCCAGATTGCTGACTGCAGATCTTGGGACGTCTTTTCCCCCATAATCATGCTAAACAATGCCTTATTTCATCTCCCTGTCTCTTTTTCTCTCCTGTTGGTTCTGTTTCTCTGGAAAACACTGACTAATATGATCACCATAACTGAACTTCAGATTAAAATTATGAGAGAAGTATGTAAAATGTATTTACTTTTAGTAAAACAATAACATTTCTACTTAAATTTTTTTTTGGAAGAAAGTAGTTAAGTCTTGTTTTCCTGTAAAAGCATGTAAATAGACATTTTTACTCATTGCTGTTTTTTTCTTGTCTCAACCTTATTACTTAGAAAATATTGTATTTGTTTTACTTCTGAAAACATAAATGTCTTGTTTTACTTCTGAAAACAAATGGGCAAATAATGTTCTACCTTCTCTTACTAGCAAATACAATTATTTTTATTTTTTTCCAAAAGAAACTTAAGTAAATTTAATCAAGGGATGTACTTCAGAGCATATTTTTGGTTAATGCTAATTTGTAATGTTATGTTTGTCTTTTTATATAGGGCTATTTAGATGCCTATATTATTCTGTTTTTACATATATTTATTGCACATTTTTAATTTAAAATTTTTCCTGACTACAACTGCATGTTATAAACTCCTTGGTACATAACATTTTTGCAAACAATATGACTTCTTAAGAGAAAAGCTAAAAATGAAATTATTAGGTCAAAAATATTTTACTAATTTCATATGTGAAGGCTCCATTTTGATATATTAGGAAATAAAGTATATTTTTAAAACTTTCTTTTTTGGTATATTCCTATATTAGACTTTTTAAATTACAGAGTTAATTATCATAGAATTATAATATGCTTTGATATTTAATATTTGGATTTGTTTCTATTACTCCTGGACAAATTACCAAAAATGTAGTATACTATTTTAGCACATTATACCAGTATATTAGTATTAATAAATCATTAAAATTAATATAGTATTATTTTCTGTTCCTTTATTGTCCTGCCTCAGTGCCTCATAAGAATTTTGAGCCCAGAATTATTATCTCAGGATTCTTTGGCAAACTACTGTAATCAGCAGATTAATATTGTTTCTAATGGTCTCCATCTCCTGGGATTCCAACCCTTGTCTAATACCTTCCCCATGGGTGTCAGCTGGATCTATAGGCTTGCTGCTGTTGCATAGAATACAGCAAACATGATGAGAGGTTGATTCTGTGATTAGGTGACAAAAGATGTGACTTCTGTCTTGGACTCTTTTCAATAGCTTTTTTTTTTTTGGCTTGGCACATTTTGATGAAGAAACCTTCCATACCGAAGAGGCTCACATTATATGGAATTCTGGACAACAGCTGTCAAAGTACTGAATACACCATCAAGCATGTGAGTGAGATTGATTATAACTTGTGAGAGTCTCTGAATGGAAGACCCAGTTAAGCCATGCCCAGATTCCTGCACCACAGAAACTTTGAGATAATAAAGGTTGTTTTTTTTTTCCTGTGGTGAAGAATATGTTTCTCATCTTTTTTTAAATTTTATTATTATACTTTATTTTGGGATAATTTGTTATGGAGGAATTGACAAATAATATAAATACTTTTGAAATGTAACTTTTTTATCTTAATAAACATTTAACAAATCATTTGAAGATGGATAATCACAGATATCAATTTTTACCAACATAACCAGGACTTTCCTTGTAACTTTGACTAATAGATGATCTTTTGAACATTACCACTTTGTAACTGCATTTCAGACTATGATTTAGTTGAATCACCCAAAGTGTGTAATGTCTTTTAATGTGCACTATCAATTCTGTTCTGCCATAATGACCTCATTTTGGGTTCTTAAATATATTCATCTCAGTCTTGTGGGGTGACTCTCTCAAGAAGAATGACTGCTGCTAATACCAAGAACTTCTGTTGTTTCCATAAATAACAGCCAGATTACAGCCAGAACCTCAAGGCTGAGCACAGCCGCTCATGTTTGGAATCCCAGCCCTTTGGGATTAATAGGCCTAGACAGGAGGATCACTTGAGGACAGGAGTTTGAGACCAGATTGGGCAACAATGCAAGATTTTGTCTCTGAAAAAAATAAAATAAAATAAGCTGGGCATGGTGTTACATGCCTTTAATCTCAGCTACTCAGAGGCTGAGCCTGGAGGATTGCTTGAGTCCAGCAGTTCAAGGTAGTAAGCTACGATAACACCACCACATCCCAGTCTGGGTAACAGAACGAGACCCTGCCAAAAAAAAAAAAAAGAAAAAAACAAGCCAGACTTCAGGATTTCCATACATTTTGCAAAATTCCATACAAACTGCATGCAAATTTTGGGCATATACAATTTTTAAAAAATAAAATTCACGGGTCCTGTCAGACATTCTCAAATATTAAGGACCAGAGCCTAAGAAGACTAAGATCAGAGCAAGGGGCCAGGCACGGTGACTCACGCCTGCAACCCCAGCACTTTGAGAGGCCAAGGCAGGCAGATTACGAGGCCAGGAGTTTGAGACCAGCCTGGCCAACATGGTGAAACCCCATCTCTACTAAAAATATAAAAATTAGCTGGTATGGTGGCATGCGCCTGTAATCCCAGCTACTCGGGAGGCTGAGGCAGGAGAATTGCTTGAACACAGTAGACGGAGGTTGCAGTGAGCCAAGATTGTGACACTGCACTCCAGCCTGGGTGACAGAGGTACTCTGTCTCAAAATAAATAAATAAATAAATAAAAATAAATAAGAAATCAGAGCAATGTATATTTCATAAAGTCAGTGAGACCTTTCATACATTTTAGGGAAGCTTTTTATAAGATACAAACCAAAGGTCTATGTTTTAAAAGTTATTATTGATTTATTTATAGGTATATTCAATACATATATACTTGTTGACTAGTATGTATGCTATGCTAGCAAATCAAGATACAGCTAGTATTGTAACCCAAACCCTAACTCTACCCACTTTAGTCTTTTTATCCTAACTCTCTCCTAACAGTTCTTACTGTATAACAGGTTAGCTATGTTAGTTAGTGTGGCAACACATCGCAGTGGAGGAAGTGCTATAAGAGGAAATCAACGCCCAATGGGAATATCTAGGAAGTGCAGCCAATGTAAATTTCCACAAGAAAACTAAACCTTAGATGATCCAAGAAAGATAAAAAGATGCTAAGCCATAAAATGGAAGAAAGAAGGCAAATTATATGAACAGAAAATTGCAACTGTAAAGATGATGGAGTGTGTTACAATAAAAGCACAGAAGGCAAAGATTTAGTATGATTTCAACATATTTTGTATGGAGGGAGAAATTAGAAGTGACATGGAATGAGTAGGCAGAGAAAACATTATGAAGGGTCTGTCATGTTTTTGAATTTAAATTTATTTTGTTTTACATTTCTAATAGAATCGGGAAAAGCTGAAAATCCGTAGTTTCTAATTGAATGTTTTAAGAATCCTTTTATTTTTTTAATTAAAAAATGGTCATTCAAATGAAAATATATACATTCTACATTTTATGCATTTTGCTTTTAAGATATTTGAATGATTTATTATAATTTTACAGGCATTTCTCTTTTTATTGACACATAATTATAATATGCCTTGTATTTCTTGTAATACTTTTACAATTATCAGTTAATATTTTGTCCACTTTTATTTCATATAAAAAATAAACATAATTGTTCCTGAAAATATAATCTCATACAATTTAAGTGTTGAATAAATGAAAAATGTTCTCAAACTGGAAAGTTATAATAATTCAGACTGAAGCCCTGAGAGATTCAAGGCTTGAAATGGCTCTTTGAGAATGGTAAGAGAGGCTTCAATCTTAAAAATATAACTTTATTTACAAATCATAAAACATTAATTGCTGTTTACTATATTTGTTTTTAAATTTCTTCCCCAACATAGAAAAATAAATTACCAGCTACCTCCGTTTTACCATGGACCAATCTAATTGCTGCATAAGATTTACACTCTCTCTTTGCTTTGTTAATTACAGGCAAAACCTGTATTTTAATGTTTTTGAGAGTTTAATTTGCACTTAAATCACAACACTTCAATTTATCTTATTCATTTTGAGTTGCAGCTCTTTAGATATTGAATCTGTTATAATATTGCAGAATAGCTCACCACACTAAGAAAATTGCATTCCCAGTCTCTTCCCCATTCAAAGCACTTGTGTCTGCACAAGTTGTCAAGAAGGGGCCAACTCCTTGTTTCACCATATTCTTTCCTCTGTTGCAACAAAACTGAGAGATGTATGAGGACAGGGATACAGAAGATGTCAATACATATTTTCAAAGAGTACATAAATTAGTGAATAAATAAATTAGGATCATTTGATGAGGATAGCCATCAAATATGTTGAACACTGATACTCAGAATTATAAAAATAACAGTCATCAAAGTAAAACCCTAAGCCTGTAGTTTGTAGATCTTATGGTAATTAGTTTACCACACAGCAGGATTTGACCTTCCTTTTGGAAGATACCAATGCTGCTCTTGTCAAATTTTGAGTGGCTGAATCATGCTTAAAACACACATAAAATGCAGTCTTATAGTATGATAAATAAAATATAGAGAATAGTAATTGATTGAAATCAGTAAATTGTCTCCCTCTGATTATATGAGAAGTCAAATTATAATCAGAAACAGGTTGAAAGTATAAAGGGGGAAGGTCAAGCTACTAAAGACAAGGAGCCAGCATTCCCTGATGGAAGCTAGAACCACTTAGAGGACAGGTAATGGTGTAGATGTCACCCATAGCAGAGGCAAAGGAGGAGGAACAACCTAACTGTTACTCTTTGGGCACCGGCCAATTTCCTACACACCAGTTTTCATTGACTGAACCTGATCTGAAGCCAGCTGGCAAACGAACTTGAAAAAATATAATTTGCAGTTACTAAAGGACGTCTAAGTAGGCAAATCGTCTTAGAATGCAGGGTAATGGTCATTTGAAGATGCTTGAATACTTTCATCCATTGTGACTGTGAGTTAGGAAGTACACAGTGGGGGTTAAGGAAAGATTAAGTATTATCTTGATTGGAATTCCAAGACGGGAAAGTCTAATCCCTTTCTTGTGAAAGACATCTCGATGGATTTCAACTAACTTTCAGAAGCAAATCAGAATACTGACTCAAACCAGAGTTAAAGAGAGAAGTGTTTTTTTCTAAAAACCAGGTGTTGAGCTCCTTGGTAACCCAATATTGGCTGCGCGCGTGCAGAGTGGCCAGCTCTCTCTCCACGCAGCTCTGGCTCTGTTCAATTCGGCAAGTGCACTCACAGCAGAACTGCCACCAGTATAACGTCTTGATGATGGGCTCCAGGGTTTGACACTCAGCAGCGCCACCAGATCTGTTTTCTTTTTTTTTTTTAATTTAATTTTTATTATTATACTTTTAAGTTTTAGGGTACATGTGCACATTGTGCAGGTTAGTTACATACGTATACATGTGCCATGCTGGTGTGCTGCACCCACTAACTCGTCACCTAGCATTAGGTATACCTCCCAGTGCTATCCCTCCCCGCTCCCCCTACCCCACAACAGTCCCCAGAGTGTGTTGTTCCCCTTCCTGTGTCCATGTGATCTCATTGTTCAATTCCCACCTATGAGTGAGAATATGCGGTGTTTGGTTTTTTGCTCTTGCGATAGTTTACTGAGAATGATGATTTCCAATTTCATCCATGTCCCTACAAAGGACATGAACTCATCATTTTTTATGGCTGCACGGTATTCCATGGTGTATCTGTGCCACATTTTCTTAATCCAGTCTATCATTGTTGGACATTTGGGTTGGTTCCAAGTCTTTGCTATTGTGAATAATGCTGCAATAAACATACATGTGCATGTGTCTTTATAGCAGCATGATTTATAGTCCTTTGGGTATATACCCAGTAATGGGATGGCTGGGTCAAATGGTATTTCTAGTTCTAGATCCCTGAGGAATCGCCACACTGACTTCCACAATGGTCGAACTAGTTTACAGTCCCACCAACAGTGTAAAAGCATTCCTATTTCTCCACATCCTCTCCAGCACCTGTTGTTTCCTGACTTTTTAATGATTGCCATTCTAACTGGTGTGAGATGGTATCTCATTATGGTTTTGATTTGCATTTCTCTGATGGCCAGTGATGGTGAGCATTTTTTCATGTGTTTTTTTGGCTGCATAAATGTCTTCTTTTGAGAAGTGTCTGTTCATGTCGTTCGCCCACTTTTTGATGGGGTTGTTTGTTCTTTTCTTGTAAATTTGTTTGAGTTCATTGTAGATTCTGGATATTAGCCCTTTGTCAGATGAGTAGGTTGCAAAAATTTTCTCCCATTTTGTAGGTTGCCTGTTCACTCTGATGGTAGTTTCTTTTGCTGTGCAGAAGCTCTTTAGTTTAATTAGATCCCATTTGTCAATTTTGTCTTTTGTTGCCATTGCTTTTGGTGTTTTAGACATGAAGTCCTTGCCCATGCCTATGTCCTGAATGGTAATGCCTAGGTTTTCTTCTAGGGTTTTTATGGTTTTAGGTCTAATGTTTAAGTCTTTAATCCATCTTGAATTGATTTTTGTATAAGGTGTAAGGAAGGTATCCAGTTTCAGCTTTCTACATATGGCTAGCCAGTTTTCCCAGCACCATTTATTAAATAGGGAATCCTTTCCCCATTGCTTGTTTTTGTCAGGTTTGTCAAAGATCAGATAGTTGTAGATATGTGGCGTTATTTCTGAGGGCTGTATTCTGTTCCATTGATCTATATCTCTGTTTTGGTACCAGTACCATGCTGTTTTGGTTACTGTAGCCTTGTAGTATAGTTTGAAGTCAGGTAGCATGATGCCTCCAGCTTTGTTCTTTTGGCTTAGGATTGACTTGGTGATGCGGGCTCTTTTTTGGTTCCATATGAACTTTAAAGTAGTTTTTTCCAATTCTGTGAAGAAAGGCATTGGTAGCTTGATGGGGTTGGCATTGAATCTTCAAAAACTTAATGAATCCAGGAGCTGGTTTTTTGGAAAGGATCAACAAAATTGATAGACCGCTAGCAAGACTAATAAAGAAAAAAAGAGAGAAGAAACAAATAGACGCAATAAAAAATGATAAAGGGGATATCACCACCGATCCCACAGAAATACAAACTACCATCAGAGAATACTACAAACACCTCTATGCAAATAAACTAGAAAATCTAGAAGAAATGGATAAATTCCTTGACACATACACTCTCCCAAGACTAAACCAGGAAGAAGTTGAATCTCTGAATAGACCAATAACAGGATCTGAAATTGTGGCAATAATCAATAGCTTACCAACCAAAAAGAGTCCAGGACCAGATGGACTCACAGCCGAATTCTAACAGAGGTACAAGGAGGAACTGGTACCATTCCTTCTGAAACTATTCCAATCAATAGAAAAAGAGGGAATCCTCCCTAACTCATTTTATGAGGCCAGCATCATTCTGATACCAAAGCCAGGCAGAGACACAACAAAAAAAGAGAATTTTAGACCAATATCCTTGATGAACATTGATGCAAAAATCCTCAATAACATACTGGCAAACCGAATCCAGCAGCACATCAAAAAGCTTATCCACCATGATCAAGTGGGCTTCATCCCTGGGATGCAAGGCTGGTTCAATATACGCAAATCAATAAATGTAATCCAGCATATAAACAGAGCCAAAGATAAAAACCACATGATCATCTCAATAGATGCAGAAAAGGCCTTTGACAAAATTCAACAACTCTTCATGCTAAAAACTCTCAATAAATTAGGTATTGATGGGGCGTATTTCAAAATAATAAGAGCTATCTATGGCAGACCCACAGCCAATATCATACTGAACGGGCAAAAACTGGAAGCATTCCCTTTGAAAACTGGCACAAGACAGGGATGCCCTCTCTCACCACTCCTATTCAACATAGTGTTGGAAGTTCTGGCCAGGGCAATTAGGCAGGAGAAGGAAATAAAGGGTATTGAATTAGGAAAAGAGGAAGTCAAATTGTCCCTGTTTGCAGATGACATGATTGTATATCTAGAAAACCCCATTGTCTCAGCCCAAAATCTCCTTAAGCTGATAAGCAACTTCAGCAAAGTCTCAGGATACAAAATCAATGTGCAAGAATCACAAGCATTCCTATACACCAACAACAGACAAACAGAGAGCCAAATCATGAGTGAACTCCCATTCACAAATGCTTCAAAGAGAATAAAATACCTAGGAATCCAACTTACAAGGGATGTGAAGGACCTCTTCAAGGAGAACTACAAACCGCTGCTCAAGGAAATAAAAGAGGATACAAACAAATGGAAGAACATTCCATGCTCATGGGTAGGAAGAATCAATATCGTGAAAATGGCCATACTGCCCAAGGTAATTTACAGATTCAATGTTTTCTCCCCAAGTAAGCCACTCTCTACCTCGCGAGCAGCAGATCGCCCTGTGCGCGCTATCCTTGGGGTGGGGAGACCTGGCGCTCACCCAGCGAGCTCGACTGGTGCTGACGTCCGTTCAGGCCTTTAAATGTCTCTGTCCTTGCGCAGGAGGGAACAGACTTTGTAACAGTCACTTTGCCCGAAGGGAGACGCGTCTCTGCTTTTGCAGATGGCAGCACCCCTCGCTCTTCCCAGCGTTGCGTTTGCCTCTGTCTTTGCCTCGAGATTCCTGCAGCCTTTCCAGCGGGAGGTGCTTTTGGTATTCGCACCCCGGGCGTGAACCAACAGGACTCCCCATGCCTTGTGCTTTTTCAGTGGGTTCGAAGATCAGAGATTGCGAGGTGTGCTCAGTGATCGCTCAAGGAGCAGGAAGATTCCTCCCCCTGATTTTGGTAGGGGGTGATTTATTATTATTTTTTTTCCGAGCTGGCGAAAGCGTCCTCCCAGCTCCTGAAGCTGCAACTTCTTTTGGTTTCTTCTCAGTCCTGTGTGTGGGTACAACATCAAAGTTTTTCTCCCTTACCCTTCCAAAAATCTATCCTTTTAATCCACCCTCCTCCCCCTGCGCTGTCTCCGCCAGGCCTTCTCGGTGTGCCGTGAGTGGATAGCGGGCGCGCAGTGTGGCAGTGGTGGCGAAGATTGGCGCTATCAGGAGGAGCAAAAGGGAAGGATCTGCTGCTGGTGGCTCCCTGGGTGACCCTTTGCGAGGCGAAAAGAGCTGGGTAAGGGCGCAGAAGAGGAGCCGGAACCTTCTGGGACCCTGGTGCCTGACACTGGATTTTGATCACCATCCTTGTTGTGAGTCTGATCCTTTTTTTCTCAATTGATAACTAGTCGAGAGAGAAGCGCTTGGCAGGAGCTCTCGGCGGGACCTAAGCTCCCTGGCTGCTAGGGATCCCTATGTCTGCTGCTGCGGAAGGAGCAGAGGGGAGGACGCCAGAGGTTGCTTACTGGAGCCTGGCGGTAGGCAAGGGGGTGGGATCCTGATTCTCAGCCTAGATTCCAAAAGGGTGTCTGGTTTCATGGAAACATTCTTCTCACCCTCATTTGTCATCGCAAACCCCACCCCCGCTTTTCGGATTCAGGTTCAGGAATAACCAAATCCTTGGCACCCTCACAATGTGGAAGTACCTTTCACAGCTCATCTCCTGAATGTCTCGCTCCTTACATACATGTGTGTGTTTTGGGGGAATGTGAGCTTCTCAGGGAAGTTGATACCTTGCAGATTATGAGAATGTCAAACTTGATTTTATTCAGTTTCTTAAAGGATGTGTTTCCTGTGGGCAAGAATTATGGGAAATAAATGTCAGTGTCATATATAACTGCAGTAGCAGCTCGGAAATCACCTTCATTTCCCCCCAAAAGTTTTCCCCATGCAAGTTTTCTTACTGTCCACATGCAGTGAATGGAGACTTGGCTTGTTCCATTATATGTAAACGGGGGAGGGGGTCACATCCTTCTCTTTTAAATTGGGGGATATCAAAGACATTAGAGTTTCCCTCTTTTAATTCTCTCATCGTTATCTCTAGCTCTCCTTCTGTCTCTCACTTTCCTACCATCCTGACTTCTTTCCTTCTTTATCTTTTCTTCTCTTCCTTCTCTCCTTCCTTCCTTCCTTCCTTCCTTCTTTCTCTTTTTCTCTCTCTCTCTCATTTTCTTTCTTTCCATGTGCTGCTCATTAATAAATATAATGTGAATTTAGAGAGAATGGAACACTTTTGCAATATACAGGGATGATAAAAGACTTCTTTCCTACCTTGCCTGAAGTTTTTATTTAAGTATCTGATCCTTTTTAGTTGTGAGGTAATTTGAAGGATGACTGAACTAATATCTTGGGTGCAATTCAGGATGGTAAGATTTTGTATACAGTATGTTTAATTGTTCCCTACTCTTACACATTAGCTAATAACAGGAATTACATGAATTGTTAGAAAAGGCCCTTGATTTTTTGCAAACAATATTTTTGAACTGTGGGGAAATGTTAAAAATCAATATTACAATTTACGTGGCAAGCATATGGATTCAGGTGAAAAGAGAGGGGCAAGTTAACCTTAAGAGAGTGGTTTAATGAAAAATCAGTGCCTGGAATTTCATATCTGCATACAGTAATCAGTGAAATAAATGAACCCATTAGTATTCAGATCTTGTTTAGTGCCTGAAGATGCTTAACAGATTTACAACTCCTGACACACAAGATACGGGTTCAAGAGGGTCCAATTAATTGCATTCTAACAGGATGGGTGATTCCAGTTCTCCTAGTTCAAGAAGTATTCTATGAAATTTACAGGCTTAGTGTTAATGAACTTTATTTTTGTGAGGGAGGGTATCATACTTGCATGTTAATCTAAAAACTTTCCCTAGTATTTATCTTCTTGAAATTTTCTTGTTTTCTTCTATCAAAGCCATTATTATTGTCATGGCTGTCCTACTAGAAGATGGGTATTCTTAAATACCAAAATTTTATCATTTGTATATTTGCAGCCTTGGATGGTGGCCCTTTGAGATTTAAACAAGGAAGCACTAATACTGAGGTGACGGAAATACTTCAGCATTATTAAAATCTCAAGTTAAAAACAATTAGCGTACTGATGGGTTTGGTTAGATGATAGCTTTAACTAAACATTATGATTATCACTTTCTCACTGGAAAGATAAAAACTTTTTATGTATTCTCACCTTTTAATTTCATAAATTTATCTTTTTCCCTACTAATGCTGCAAAGCAGTTCAGGTCACTTTCATGAAATTATACAAAGAGAAAGTAAATTTAACAGTGCCTGCAATCATGTTTTTCTAGTAAATTTCTTCATTTCCATTAATAAAACTCCACAAAGGTAACATAAAAGTGAAAGAGATGGTTGATCACATTCTGAACCCAGTGGTGAGTTTGGTGATTTTATTGAGTCTATTTTTGAAAATAACATCTCCATGAAATTCTTAATTTTTCCCACTCTTTCCAGCCTAAAGATGTTGGTCATTCACTACTGTGATCTTCAGTCTGTGTGATGTTCATTGATACTGTGGTGTCAGAGTTCTAATTTCCCCCTTTTGTACTATTTTCATATACAGTGCTATTTTACAGAACATGTTTTTGTCATCGTAAGCATTAGAGTTTTCTATTATTTAAAAAGTTTGCCCAATAACAGTACAGCATCACATATCAATAGACAAAAAGAATATTGTGTTTCCTTATTTTCTTTAAATAACCACTTTAGTCAACTGACATTTCCCAGTTGTCTTCTGCTATATCAAAGTGTTGGCTGGCTTTTAGTTTAAACTATCTACATGTCAAAATTTAAAAAAAAAAAATGCAACTTGCATGCTTTAATGAAATGTCCTCTCTAATAATGCATGTAATTAAATAATGTGAATTATAAGCTTACTCTTTAATTTTATTTATTGTATCGAAACTCTAATAATCTATTTTGATATTTGGTTGGTGTTACACTAAGAATTTGGAAACCTGGGGAAAAAAATTGGGAAACTAATTTAAATCTCGGAAAATATACTTAACCGAAGAGAAGTTTGTTTTTCCTTCATATTAACCCCAAATCACACGTGTTATGATTGATATATTGAGATTGACACATAGTGACAGAGCATCCAGAAGTTCTGCCATAGTTCAAGGGCTTCTTTGTAAAATAATTACATCACTGATAGCAAACACTATCAATTTCTATGTAAAAAAATTAAAGAATTTTGTTTTGCTGCGCTAGAAATTCTTTTTCTTTTCACATAGCCCCTTTCCCCATAGGGTGAGAGAGAGAGTAGTCCACAGGGTGGCACTATTGTGATGCATAGTATTTTGAATAATTTTACCCTTGAGCCATCTTTAGCCACATTAATACTAATGGAAACATTGACTTTTCTCCAATGATAAATTTTCTGACACTTTGTTTTCTGCAAGCCAGTGGATATCTATTAGAAGGTGTTAGTCCCCTTTTATTGCCAAAAACTGCCTTTTTAAAAATAATCCCCCAAAAGGATCTAGTAGCCACCACTCCTATCTTCTCTCTTCTCTCTTCATCCTCTGTGCTCTGATGAAAATCATATTATATCTATAGAATATATTTATGTAATCTCTTAAATTGATTTCACATAAATCAGAAATATATATTTTTCATTAACTATAGGTTATATATATTCTCATCCTTGTCCTATGTTCATAGAATGAGAATGGCTCTTCTTCCACATACTACATTTGCATTTACATTGAATTCATCCATGCTACCTAAAAAAGTCCATTCGCACTAATAGTAATTTAATGGATTCCTTAACAGGATTGATTTGTGTTTTAAAAGAAGATCACTAGAAGAAGACAAATCTTAACTCACGTCTCCCCTGAAGGTTTTCAAGTCCTTAGACAAAATGAAAAAACAAAACAACAACAAAAAAACCACTACAACCTAGTCTCACAAGCCACAGCCACTTGTATGTAAGTCCAGTCCTATGACCTACTTAAGGCCTGCATCTGTTTGATATCCCATGTCTGGGAGTGCCAGAGCCTATTCAAAGTCTTCGGGTACAAATAAGAAACAACTTGTGTAGAAACTCACATTTTAAAAATGAAATTGGACATTAACATTACAAAATATATAGAACAGGAGGTGGAATCCAGGGACTAGTGATACTTCAGAAAGGTCAAACACATATTCGAGAACATGTTTGAAAATACGGAGAACAGGAGGTGGAATCCAGGGACTTGAGATGCCTCCAAAAGGTCAAACACATGTTAGATCCTCTGTCTTGGTATGCCATTTGCTCAGCTTTATGAGTGAGATTAGACTAGAAGACAGCCCTGGGATACAGAGAGCAAATCCAAGAGGCAGGAGAGATCATGGTGCCTCGGTCTAGCCCATATTTTCTTTAGGAGTGGGAGTGGGGAAAGGACATTTGCCTGGAGGTTTCTGGAGGTTTTCCTTTTGCCAGTGTGAGAAATTATTTTATGCTATGCCAACTAAAAGTTTGATTCCTGGTGAAAAGTGATTACTTTTTCTTTAATTCTTAAAACTATTTCATGATTGTTTTGTAAGAATTGTACTTCTTTGGTTACTTTACAGTGGAATTCTTATGGCTGATCAGCCATTCAATTTGAATAAAATATCTTACATTTTATGAAAAAATACTCTTACACTAAGATGTTTCTGGACTGCATCCTACAGCTGAGTAAAGTTGGGTAAAATAGAAATATTGGCCTATGTTTTAAAGATGAACAAATCATTGGAAATGATTTGTATAACTATGTTTTTTCACTTTTCTAAAGTTCTTATTTGTGAATGACTCAGTTAAGTCTCCACCTCTTTTTCAGTGTTGAATTCCTTTCAAGAATGAAGCGAGGAAGAGAAAGGAGGTACAATGATCAGTTTTGACTTAAGTACTTAACTATGGGCCAGGCACAGTGGCTTATGCCCGTAATCCCAGCACTTTGGGAGGCCAAGACTGGATCACTTGAGCTAGAGTTTAAGACCAGCCTGAGCAACATAGTGAGACCCTGTCTATATAAAATGTATATATATAATATATATAAAACATGTATTATATATTATATATACATATATGAATATGTAATTATATATAATATATATGTATATAAATATAAATTATATAAAATATATAATATATGTATATAAATATATACTATATACTATATGCTATATATTATATATGTATATAATAAATATATATACTATATATTATATAGTATATGTATATAATATATATACTATATATTATATATTATATGTATATAATATATATACTATATACTATATATTATATGTATTACATATAATATATAATATACTATATATTATATGTATTATATATTATATATACTATATAGTATATAATACATATATAGAGAGAGCGAGAGTATATTAATGAATGATCCTTAAAAAGGTTTTCAATGTCATTTTCTCATTTTTTATACATTCTTCAAATCAGAAAATCATGTATATGTAAGTATATATGTCCACATATACATATGATGTTAGAGTTTTTTCCTATATTTATTGAACTTTTTTTTTTTACAATTACCACATGTACCCTTTTTCACCTTAACACAGCATTCCCCAAACTTTTTGGCACCAGGGACCAGTTTTGTGGAAGAAAATTTTTCACAGACCAGGGATGGCTGGGTGAGTGGGTTGTGGGGATGGGGGAGTATGTGAAACTCTTCCACTTTACGTCATCAGGCATTAGTTATTAGATTCTCATAAGGAGTGTGCAACCTATATTCTTCACATGCGCAGTTAACAGTAGGGTTCCTGGTCCTATGAGAATCTAATGCCGCTCTGAGTTCTGACAAGAGGCGGAGCTCAGGTGGTAATGCCACCCAGCATTACCTGTCCCGCAGGTCACCTCCTGCTGTGAGGCCCAGTTCCTAACAGGTTATGAGCAGCTAACTGGTCTGCAGCTCCTGGGGTGGGGGACCCCACTCTATGGTGTTTTCCACATTGTCAACAAGGCAGACTTTTTTAAATAACTAATAAGTTATTAAATAATCTGTGGGCTTCACTCAAAATGCTTCTATAAAGAAATTTTTAAAAGGAAAACTAACAAACAAATAGGCATGTTAGAAACCCATAATATTCCAGTTTTTATTTCTTCTTTGCTAAAACATATAAGTTAAATTCTATTCAAATTATTATCTCTACTGTATATTCTCATAGATTCCAATATGCTTAGGAGAGTAAAAATTGAGTTTAGCAATGTTGTGATTTAATAATTTGATGAATCAATAGAATCGAATTGCTGTTTAAAAATAGTTTTCTAACATAAACATATGTATACAGAACAGTTTTTACTAATGCATTGTGTATTAAATTAACATTTGTATGACATGTTATGTTCTTTAAAATGGGTTCATAAATGTATGACAAAATTTTAAATTATTTTTAATTTTAAAAGACGTTAGCTGCAAAGATGTATACATGAATTTGAGCTGATATCATTTGAGTTGCTTTTATATAGTATTATTTAAAAATTTTAGGAGCATTGAGTTCTTACAACTGAATATAATTGAAAAAATATATTAATTATTGTACCACTGATAGATTATATATTATTTATGGCTTTGCAATATACTTGAAAACCTAGTAGTACTTCATATTTTTAATTGTCTTCTTATTTCTCTAAGAAACATTCTACTAAATTATTGAAAATGGAATTGGAAATTTTTAGGGTGCAAATATTCAAATTTCACACTCAGAATTATTTTTTCCCTCCTAAAATTCTAAAAGTTATAATAAGTAAATGTAATAATGTAATAACTAAAATGTGACATTATAATCAATGGGTATTATGATTTGCTCTCTTTAAGGTTCTGAAACGTATTAACTAAAAAAAAAGAGTAAATACTTTAAACTTCTGTAGATGTGTATTCTTGCTATTTTGTACAGATGTGAGGGAATATAATTTATTCCCTATTTTTATAACTGGAGCTATAAAACATATAACCTATGCAAATGCTTGACACACATGGAAAAAAAAATAATAGTTTTCCAAGAATGCCTACAATCCCCAGGCTTCTCACAGTTGTTCACTCTGTGAAGTATGTTGTGTGTTCTTAGCTTTAAGAATGTTTTTCAATTGGTATTTAGAATACATCTGGACCACGATATACTGATGACATTTGGCATGTATTAAGAAATAACAAACCCATTTTTAAACAAACCCTGTTTCCAAAAATAACAGGTTAAATTTGGTGAGACAGTACAGTGAATCTGTATTATTAACTGGGGGCATATGCTTAGGCAAGGGCATATTGGTTATTATAATGAAAATAGAGGAAGGGATTGGCAAGAAAGGAACAGTACTCCCACTCATCTCCAAATGGGAAAAGAAAGGCTATAGATTTGGGAATTAAGTCTTAGAAAAGGAGATTAACTGTGCTAGGCAAAAATTTAATTAATAAATAAAAAGTTGGCCAGTGCAGACTTACTTTAATGAGCTCCAAAATAATTTAAAATGATAGCATTCCAGTTTAATAAATATTATTTGTGACTTCTACATTATATACTATATTTTCATCTGGAAAGCTGTATTTTTCTACATGATAAGTAATCAAAAACACATGTTAGAAATTTTAATTATATATATTTATCTGTTCAAAATAACTACAAGCTAGAGAATTTAGATATTAAAATAATGAATTATTATTTTGCACATTATTACATTAAGTACATTACATTTATTAACTCATTTGATTCTTGTAACTTTACAAACTCCTAGTATTTTCTAAAGTTATTGCTAGCTAGGCATTTTATGTTCAAGAAAGTTTAAAACTTTGCCCAAAATTTCCCAGTTAGAAAGAGATTGAGTGTGGATAAGGGTCCAGATACTGTGTTCTTGATTTCTAAGAGCTCTTAAGAGTATTTTAAATGAATACCACCTGTCATAATTTTAAGACCTTTGCTTGACGTTACTAAAGTTACCTCCAGCAGAATGTGACTGCTTATTGCCAGAACCAATTACGCTGTAGATTTTTTGTAAATTCTGATGCAGTTTTTGCATGTATTATGTAAAAAAAGCCTTAATTGGTGTTTCTATATTTTAGATTCTAAGACATTAATTTTGTTACTCCTTGATGCCTGTGTTTTTTCTTCATTACAGGAAGGAATTCCTGTTTTTAGTATATAAGCCAAAAGAAACATTGGGTTTAGTACATCAATATATGTGGTTGCATTTTTTTACAACTTATACAAGGTTTAACTAATCCTAAAAAGAAAGTTTCACCTTCATAGTACAGTGTTGACACAGTTTATTTATGATCACTCTTTTGTTATGTGCACATGAACATATTTAATTTTCAACTTGGTTCCAAAGTCCCTTGTGTTCTTTTCTGTTTTGTAAAGTTCATTCACAGTTCTTTCTTATTTTTTTGTCATCATGCTTAAGCATATTCTCTTTATGTGCCTTCATCCAGATTGGGATATTGTAGGACAAACAATTTTCTTTATGTCATGGATCTTAATGGGTTGATATCTCATAGGCCTTTTTAGGTCAGTTCACAATACTGGGCAATGGTACAAGGTCAGTAACTGGGCTTCCATACTCTACTGTTCAGTTGCTCTAAAACCGGACATTTTACTTGAAGCTTCTGTGCTTCAGTTTCTTCACTGCTAATACCACATGAGTATCACAAGAGTTTAATGAGTTAATTCAGGTAACATGCTGATGTCAGTGCTTGACACACAGTTCAGACCCTTTAAAAGTAAACTTTTTGAACAAGTGTTTGGGGGAAGAGTAGTAGAAAAGCACAAAATCAGATATGACTTCTTGGTAGTCTGATGTATATACAAAAACCTTCTTATATAATTAAAGTGTTTGTTATGATCCTGAAAGGTAAACTATATGAATATTTATTTAAGTAAAAATACAGCTGAAATTGTTAATGTTTCTTTCTTATTAGGACACTCCTAGGAATGTTCAGTTTCTTAGCATTAATAGATTCATAGACAAAAGACTACAATAAATAACACGCGTTAAATGCTATGAAAGAATAATCAAAAAAGTTTACCTGAGTGAATTTTTTCTTGTGAATGACTAGTTGAATTAAAAATGAAAAAAGAAAACAAAACATATTAACAAAAGAAGGGCAGTTTTACTGGTGTTCAATTTCTCAAAGCCTTCAAGTAGCTATAATTTAATAAAAAGCCATGCAATAGAAAAAAAATCCTGGATTCTTCTGGAATTGTATTTATTCTACATCACTAATTTGTTGAAAATTATTTGAAATGAAAGTACAGTTATTAGAAATAATTGTATTTCCTTTTATAAACACTATATTTTATCTTGATTTCGTTAGAATTACATTTACAGGATTTACATTCCTTTCTTTCTTCATTTTTCCAAACAAAGCAGTGTCCTTCAGGCTCCTTTGCTGCTCAGTAACATCAATTAAAAGTTAGAGTCAAATTAACTGAAAAGTTTAGATGGAAAATAAAGTCTTAGAATGTTCTGAAAGCTGATGACTATGAAAGAGTGATTTGTCTGCAGCCAAAATGTCTTTACCCAATGCTACTCTGAACTGAAGGATGTAATGTAATCAGAGTTTTCCCAATTTAAAAGATCATTTTCAGACGGATAATTAGGATAAAAATTAAAAGAAAGACTACTGAAGAAGTTATTAGGTGATTTCACTCTAAGATAATGTAGAATCAATATAGTTTATCTGGATATGCTTGCACTAATTGTTAGAAAGAGAATGTAAATGCAGTTTATTCCCCTGCCATGGAATTATCTGGTTATGTCAGATCTTACATTCAAGCTCAGTGGAATTTTTGATGGTATAATTCTACTGATACTAATTGATCTGCTGTTGTAGTCATTTGTTTTTGTGTAGTTTTTCAACAGCAAAAATATAAACATGTTATTGACCTTTCACAAACACACTGCATATTATTTTACAGTATTTTATTGTTTGCAGCAATTACAGTGAAAAGTGTATCTTTTTATAGGACGAGTATTACTAACATGAGTATTCTGTAGTGTTAAGTCTTAACCTGGGATCTGGTTATGCTCTCTTGATCTAAAACTTGTAAATTAAATCTCTCTGCTCTCCCACACATTCAGTGTGTAATGTGATACAGGAACAGGAAAACTATAGTAAACACTCCTATTTGGAAAGAAAAAGAAAGTTCTGTTTTTCTTTCATATAGGCATTTACAAAAAATACCTGAAGTTTTGTTAATGTTTGCAAAACAAGCAAGGTTGAGAGGCTGCTTATGAGGTCTAACTGGCTTTGCTCAGGGATTCGTCAAGCTTAGTTACCATTTTAATGTATTAAGTAATACTATACTAAGTACTGTATTAATGGAATAATGTCTTTAATATATTATAATGTGTTGCATTAGAATACATGTAACATAATGTATTTAACGTATATTCTACAATACTATATTAAATAATACTTTAATAGGTTTTACTAGCTCTCTAGGCAACCCTTAGTCCATTCAAGTTGACATCTAAAATTAACCACCATACTCACTATTGTAGAGACCAAATATCAACCAGTGCTAATACTCAGTGTTCTTACCTATGTTTGATGACACTGGAAATCATTAGGTACACAAATACTTCTGAAGTATATGACAGTGATAAAAATTTTCTTGCTACCTTCAAACTGACTCATAGGTGGGTTTGTTAGGGACACACCTTACTTCTCAATACAAATTTCTGTATTGGTCAGATACTCTCTTTTTTTTTTTTTTTTTTTTTTTTTTGCTAATTTCAGCATAATACATCACAATAATGAAAACAAAAAATAAAGAAAAATATATCCTTAATTCTAAACTTGAAAGGTATAAACTATTAATTTGTAGTTGTCTGCCATTCATTTAGCTCCTTTTTATTTAAATAAAACAGACTACTTTTTCCATTTATGAATTTGCTATGAACATTTTTATGCCAGTATTTTTCTACCATACAATTGTTTTACCAATATTATGCAGTTTCATTATATCTATTGGTACAGCCTGGTATCAGGCTGAATTAGATTTACTGTTATAGTGTGTTGTTACTTTTACAATTATTTAAAAGTGATTTTTCTGTCAATACTTATAACTTGATTTTTGTCTTAGAAACTGGATTTTCTGCTTTTCTTTAAGAATGTGGAAAATTCAGAAGTAATAGAGCAACTTTGCTGCATGGTAATGGTAGGCTGCAGCAGAGAAATTGTTGTCCTACTTAGATACAGCATTCTGACTCCAGATTTTAATTGTCATTGGTGACTCTACCTTAATCTTGGTACCCCTGTCTCAATGTGGCATTGATTTTGCAGTATTACAAATGCAGCTTTCAGAAATATATTTATATATTTTTGGGCGCATTCTGAATTATTTTCTTTTGCGTGTGTGACAGGGTCTTGCTCTGTCACCCAGGCTGCAGCGATGGAATGATCATAGCTCACTGCAGACTTGACCTCCTGTGCTCAAATGATACCCCTGCTCAAATCAGCCTAGGTCCATATGAGTCTCCCAAGCAGCAAGGATTCAGGTGCCAGCCACTATGACTGGCATTTTTTTTTTTTTTTGGTAGAGACAGAATCCCACTATTTTGCCCAGGCTGATCTGGAACTCCTAGGCTCAACTGACGTTACTGCCTCAGCCTACCAGAGTGCTGGTATTATAGGTGTAAGCCACCATTATTTTCTTATGATAAATTTCCAGTGGTAGAAAGCTATTGGGTTAAAGTATACATTGAAGAGAGGGTGCTAGTACACAATATATATATATTTGCATTTTATTGCAGTAATATAAATTATCCCATTTATTGCTGTTTTACACTGTTTCTTAAAGGTGAGGTGAGACTGAATTTAAAACTATGATTATTTTTCATTAACGTACCTTCATTTCTGAAATGTTTTCATGACATTTTGCAGTGTTTCCAATGAGTCAGTGATTTTTATTGTTTACTACTGTTTTTCACAATTTGACAGCTTCAAGTTTTGATGGCTTATTTTCGTATATGTAAGTTATATTCTTTAAATGTTGATGTCAAATCTATTAAACTTTTTTATTATAGTCACTATTCTTAATTATTTGCATACAATTGTTACACTGTACAATCATTTGAATATTCACGTTATGATTTGTATTTTCTTTTTTTTTTTTTTTTTTTTGAGATGGAGTCTTGCTCTGTTGCCCCAGGCTGGAGTGCAGTGGCGCGATCTCGGCTCACTGTAAGTTCCGCCTCCCGGATTCAAGCCATTCTCTGTCCTCAGCCTCCCAAGTAGCTGGGACTACAGGCACCCGCTACTGCTCCCAGCTAAGTTTTTTTGTATTTTTAATAGAGACGGGGTTTCACCGTGGTCTCGATCTCCTGACCTCGTGATCCGCCCGCCTCAGCCTCCCAAAGTGCTGGGATTACAGGCGTGAGCCACCATGCCTGGCCATTATGATTTGTATTTTTAAGTCTTGTTTAACTATTTCCAGCTGAGTTAATTATTTTAAAGGACATTGTCAGAAGTTTGATTTTTTGCAGTTTTCCAAATAACCCAATATCTAATGACCATTTATTGAATTATTACATTATAAAATTAAAATGTGACTCCAAATTAAAGTTGAGAGCTTCCTATAAAAGGAAAATTATGTTCTTAGAAATAAACAATTTGTTGTTATTTGTGTAGAACATCTTGTGTATTTTAATCAGGTGGTATTAAAGGGTAAACTGTCACCCTCCTACCAAGTAAACCTTGGTTGGCCAGTTATGACTATATGTGAATGACTGGTATACTAGTTATTAATCAAACTAGGCAAAAAGCTATAGAAATAAACAAAAGACTTTGGTTCATTTAAACACCTATGGTTTGAAGTCGATCGTGCCCAAATAGTGACCAAACCACTTTAACAAACTGTATATTATCAAACTTTTAACATCAATAGAAAATTTATTTAAATTTAGATCATAGTAATGTTACAATTTTATGTGGAAATAACCTTCAGAAGTAAGGGTATTTTGAATTATTTTACTGTAGGTCATTTCTGTTATAATAGAAAATACTATTAAAATGAAATGGTCTAACAAAAATATTTCTAAGTCTTGCTTTATCCCTCATGCACTTAAAACAGTAGAACAAATTCCTTCTCATGAACTACTTAGATAGCTACTTGGTTTTCTTTCCAATAAAATAGAACTTTTTATGTTTCACTGTGAAACCAAAATAACTGCTATAAAGTTAATGAATAGGTTTGAATTCATTACAATCTCGGAAAAAGAAGCACTTTCTCTGTCTACCTCTGTTTTAGAGATGAGTATGAGAAAACGAACATCTTTGATTTAGGTAACGTCGGTTCAGAGATTGAGTTTACTGCACGCTTCCTGACTGTTAAGTGATATATAGCTCACTTTTCAAACCTAAAATAAAATTTAAATCATAAAAAGGAGTAAAAGAGTTTTCTTACTTTTTTTTTTTTTTTTTTTTGAGACGGAGTTTCGCTCTGCTGCCCAGGCTAGAGTGCAGTGACGTGATCTCGGCTCACTGCAAGCTCCGCCTCTCGGGTTCAAGCCATTCTCCTGCCTCAGCCTCCTGGGTAGCTGGGACTACAGGCGCCGGCCACCAGGCCTGGCTAATTTTTTGTATTTTTAGTAGAGACGGGGTTTCACCGTGTTAGCCAGGATGGTCTCGATCGCCTGACCTTGTGTTCCGCCTGCCTCAGCATCCCAAAGTGCTGGGATTACAGACGTTACTTTTCTTTTAGTTTTAAATGGCTAAAAATATATTTAGTAATTGAAAGTTGCCTCAACACTTGTCCTATGAATGATTTGGATCTTTTCTATTTTGCTTTGAGCTACGTGGCTAGGACTTTCTAGAGAGTTAAAAAATAATAATACTAGGGACTTAGATGAACTTTCACAGACTCATTTAATACAGTTTGTAGGACATTTGCAAATTCATAAGAGCAGGAAAAGAAATAGGGATCATTGTCACCATTATCACAAATAATTATCCTTATATGTGAACTTTGCATTGCATCTTTTTGTTTTCCCGATGTCCCTTGAGTGAAAGGGAAGGAGGATGTTGGTGTTTAATACAGAGCATACCTGTTTGAAAGTTGAATGTCTAGAAGTGAAATCAGTTCACACATTATAAGGTGGGGCATGTAATCGAAAGTCTAAAAGTGGTGTATATCCCAATTATGTTTTTTGTTGGTGCTGCCTCTATGGAGTCCAGGTAACCTGATGTGAATATTCACAGATAACTAGGAAGCCTGGATCACAAGGTGGCACATAAAGAAAAGCTATAGTGTCACCAGTTACCTTCAAAGGATTTGGAGAATTGAGCCAAGAATAGTAACTTTTATTTGGGGCTGAAATAGAAGGTAAAGAGAAGGTGGTTAGGGCACATGAGACAAAACTAATAATGGATTACTGACTGGACATGGTCTGGAGATTCCACAGTTAAGATATGGGGAGTGCTTGCAGTGAGCCAAGATTGTGCCACTGCACTCCAGCCTGGGCGACAGAGAGAGACTCCGTCTCAAAAAAAAAAAAAAAAAAGAAAAAGAAAAGATCTGGGGAGTAAATATGTATTGGAGAGTCTCAGATTTTCTGACAGGAAGATAGTATCCTTATAGGGTAGATGGAGAATATCATCCCATAGCTTATTTAATAATAAAGTTTGTATATTGTTTCAATTATAAAGTGTGAATATTTGAAGTTTATAAAATGATATGGGAACCATGCAGATACATTAAAGGCA
The DNA here is from genome assembly GCF_000001405.40 of Homo sapiens. NCBI lineage: Eukaryota > Metazoa > Chordata > Mammalia > Primates > Hominidae > Homo > Homo sapiens. The sequence goes on along the minus strand of NC_000017.11, from coordinate 22,537,652 downwards.
GTGTTCAGAACTTGTAGGAATTACACTAGGTTGCTAAGACATAGATTAGTAGAGCTGGGATGAGACCTCAATAATTTTTATGTCTTTTGAAAGATTTTTTGCCATTGGTACCATTCTGCTATTCTGCATAGTACAGTCTAAAACATATACTTATGTTTTGCTACTTTGAGGGATTTTGCTTTAATAATCTCAATAAAAACTTTGCATATATATGATTCACTTTTTTAAAAAAACTCTGTGTTTTGAAGGTTTTAGGTTTGCCATAAAATTACAGTATTACAGGAGTTATAAAAATTTTCTTAAAATATTTGATTTTCTTCTCCTAATAATATGTTACAAAACTGACTAAAAATATGAGATTATATGCAGCAGTCCCCCCATTCCTGTCTTCTTATGACATATTCTTTTGGACATGCCATATTCAATTTTAATTTTCAGAAAACACTTTGGCATAATAGAAAATGAAAAATCTAAATTCAGAGACTTGGATTCTTGGCTCAGCTCCATCTTAACTTTTTATTTGATAATTAAGTATTGTATGTATTTATGGCATACAATATGATGATTAGATACATGTATACATTGTGGAACATTTACATCAGGTGAATTAACATATCTTTCAACTCACGTATTTATCACTACTTTATGGTGAGAGTGCTTAAAATATACTCCACAATTTTGAAATATATAATACATTATTATTAACTATAATTACCCTATTGCTCAATAGATCACTAGGACTTATTTCTTCTATCTAGCTGAACCTTGTACCATTTAACAAATTAATCTTCTTTTTTCTGTCTATCCTGCCTCCTCCAGCCTCTGGTAACCATCATTCTACTCTTTACTTCTATGAGTCTGACATTTTTTACTTTTCACATGTAAGTGAGATCATGATGTATTTGTCTTTCTGTACCTGACTGATTTCACTTTATGTAAGATCCTCTAGATTTTTCTTTGTTTTCACAAATGACAGAATTGTATCCTTTTTAAAGGCTGAATAGTATTCCATTGTGTGTATACACTATAAATATGTGTATATAATTTTCTTTATCCATTCATCCCTTGATATGCGCTTAGATTGCTTCCATATCTTGGCTATTGTGAATAATGCTGCAATGAACATGGAAGTGTTGATATCTAGTCAACATACTGATTTTAACTCGTTTGAATATACACCCAGAAGTAGAATTTCTGGGTCATATAGTAATTATGTATTTTTATTTTTGAGAAACGTCCCTTCTGTTTTCCATAGTGGCAGCACTAATTTACATTCCCACCAACATTTTACAAGTGTTCTCTTTTCTTCAAATCCTCACCAACACTTGTCTTTCATTTTTTTTGTAATAGCCATTCTAAAATGAGTAAGGTGAAATCTCATTTTAATTTGCATTTCCCTAATCAATGGTGATATTGAACACCTTTTAATATCTCTTCTGGCCATTTGTATGTCTTCTTTGGAGAAATATCTGTCCAGGTCTTTTGCCCATTTTTTAACAAGGTTGTTTTATTGTTATTGAGTTGAATTCGTTGTATGTTTTGTGTATTAGCTCTTTATCAAACATATGATTTGCAAATATTTTTTCTCAGTCTGTGAGTTGTCACTCTTCACTCTGTTAATTGTTTTCTTTGCTGTATAGAAGCTCTTTAGTTTGATGTAATCTCATTTGTTGTATGTGCGTTTTGGTCATATCTAAGAAATCATTGCCCAAACCAATATCATGGATCGGCTTTGTCTTTTTATTAGCTGTTTAATCTCAGCTTCAGTTTCAAATTTAAGAAATGAAAAGCCTAACTGAAATGATCTCAAATATTTCTTACAACACTGAGATTCTTTGATTCTACAAATGTACTTTTTTATTAAAGAATATCTTCTCTTTTGGTAACTTGCATGAAGTGCTTAGTTATAAGTTCACTCTTTTTAGCTGAAATGTCATATTGAGCTTAGGTGTCTTAGACAACCACCCAATTGTTCCGTTTAGATGTTATAGGACAGATTTCTAGCAAACTGTTTAGTATGGGGTTTGTTATTACCCCGTGAACACTCAGATCGTTAGACATTTTGATGACTGGCAAGTTTGACTCCGGGGGTATAATTGAATTTTCAGTGAGCACTGTCAAAATAAGTGTCTAACCACACCCTACAATAGATTAACTGTTAAATTTTCAACAGTATCTTTTAAGCTTTTAAGTAAATAAAACGGAAAAGTCTTAGCCCTTTATTTAAATAGCTTTAAGATTTCAAATAGCTTGCTTTGTTTAATGAAAGCTTCAACAACTTGAAATGACTCGTACTTATCCTTTACCATCTACCAAAATGTTATTTCTTCCAGCTTTAACACTCTCTGTAACCGAGATTGGAAGTTAAAATGAGATAAAAACCAGTGAGTCAAAGCGAAGCTAAGTCATTAGAGTAGCTTTTTCTCCTTTCTGTCAGCTGAACATGTGAATAATCACATGGAACCTAAGGGTATATAACCCGTATCACAGTGAATAATGAATGATTTAGTTCCAATTAAGAAGTTTCCTTTTTAAAAAGAACAAATTTAATGGCCCTCATGCATAAATTAAAGTAAGTTTGAAAACATGGTTTTGTTAAACAAATTTAAACCACTTTTCCTTCACTTCTGAGGAGTTCCTGATATTGACTGGTCTTCCAGCTTTTAGAGCTTGCAACTTCCTCTTGATGTAGTCAACCATGAAATCTGCAACTGATGGATTCAAGTTAGGATTTTGTTGTTGTTGTTGTGCTTGGTCTTATAATTACCTAAGATATATCTCTGGAAGTTTTCAGTATAAAATCCACAAGGTTTGAAGAACTCATTCTATTTTGCCTATTATTGAAAAATACCCTGGGTACCAAACATGCTCAAGTGAATGAATGGTGTCCAGGACAAAACCCAGCAGGTGTCCAGGCAATGGCCTCCCACCAGAGATCTTGTCAGCATGCCGCTCTGAGCACTGTGTGCCTTAGTGTCTTTCTGTCCTGGTTTCAATGAAGTCTTTCTCCGTAATGTCAGTTTTTATACTTTTTGACCTAGTAGGACATCATGTGATGAATTTTCATGTGATATGAATTCAGCCTAGGTGTGTCTTAGGATTGGTTTAGAGGGAAGACTGAAGCAGGTGAAATGGCAACCCCTTGCATACACACCCATAATAAATTGAAAAATATTCTGCATGACTTAATGATATCTTTTAAAATGGGAAACAAAATCTTTCTTGTTCATTAGAATCATTACATCAACTAAAGTCATTATAACTAAAGTCATCATTACATCAACTAAAATACAAAATACGGAATCTGATCTTCAGCAGATGTTGGCATTTCTTTAAGTACATGTCTTCACTTCCTCAGTGCACTAACAGAGACTCAAGAATGACAAAGGGAAAAAAGGCAAAATTAAGAAAAAGGGAGGCATTTTGTAATTGATGTCGGATACACTGGATGGACTATCCATTTGATACACCTTCTCATTGATAGAATAGGAAACTTCAGATTTCACAAAGGCAAATCATGTTTCATGAGAAAAAGCAACAGAAAAACATTGATAATCAAAATATTGTAGTGTTTTATGAAGAACTGTATTGTAGCTTGAATCTTTAATTAAATAAATGTTTTCTTTTGTATGTAAAATAGAATTCAGCCTTTCCTAACTCATGACAGCAATGGGCTGAAGACACTGCTGGGCCCATCCTGCCACCTGCTGGGAGGACTTGTGCCCTCAAAAGCCTTGGTTTGGAAGGATGGTTGGAAAATAGCTTTACACACCCACCCTTTACTGTGTTTTTATTCACAAAGCCTTAATATACCGCCGTACTTCATGTAGTTGATTTTTCATATCTCTGATAAGTTTTTAAATGTCAGTATTCCTACTAAAGTCTCTCTCTCTGTCCTATGTTCTATGTTCTAGAGTGTATGAAGAAAGGGCTTCAGCAGAAACAGAGGCTGAAGCCTGTGTGCTGGGGGCCGAGAGGCCAGAGGAGAATGTGATGAGACATAGAATTGGTAGTGCAGGAAGTTGGAAGATCAAGTACCGTGATGTTGGTGCTGGCTGCTTGTGTTAAACTGCCTAGGTTTTAATCTACGGTAATTTTCGCCCACCTGTGGGGCTCCCCTGGTGCCCCAGCCGTGATGGGGTAACTGAACTGCCACTGGGGCCAAGCTGCCAGCGGCCCAGGATCTGGCACTTGGAAGAGTTCTCAGAAGCACCCCTGGATCAAACGAGGAGAAACAGACTTCAGCCATACATTAAATACATTCCCATTGTATTTAAAAAAGTGAATATTCTCAGGGATTTCCACATTTTTAAAAACTTCTTTTAATTGAAACATTTAAAATAAAATACCGTTGAGATAACAACCAAGTTACAGTTCTTCCAGCAGCACCCAGCCAGCGAGAGCCCTCAGATTTTAGAATTTTAGAAGAGAAGATTGTGGCCATGTCTGGAATTCAAAGAAGAACCAGTGAGAAGAGCTTGATAGAACTGATGGATGCTAAGACATCTAATATTAAAATAGAAGGGCAAACTTAAATGATAATATAAAATTATAATATTAATGGTAATTAAGGAAGCCATTAATGTTGAATTATGTATGTGTATGTTAAACATATACATAAAATATCATGAACATTATATTGTCTGTGCTGGTTTCATTAATGCTAAATTATAAAATTATTAAACTGTATGAATAACATTTAATAATATAAAATTATAAATTGCTATTGTTGAATAGAACTTTAAAGTTGAATAAAAGGAATATATTATTACTAATATGTTAGATTTGATAAAATAGGAAATTTAAACATTTTAATAAAATGCTAAGTTTCCCAGTAGTATTTGTATGAAGTTATTTGAGGTACCGTTTGTTCAGCAAAGAATGTGACCACTACCACCACCCCATCATACTCCTTCACTCATAAGACCAACCCCACTTCCATTGATAATCCCGCTAATACACTCACCAAGACTTCAATTCCTGACCCCCGTGTCTCAGGATACTCCTCAATAGCCATTGCTGTAGTATATCCAAAAACAACCATCATACTCCTAGATAAATTTAAAAAACTATTAAACCCATATAACCTCCCCCATAATTCAGAATAATAACACACCCAACTACACCACTAATAATCAATATGATTAGTTCTGTGGCCATGAATGTTATGATCAGGGAGATTTGAAGGGTGATTAGTACAGACAGGTAAAGTTTTTTTCCGTAAGGGGCACTTGTTAGATAAGTGGCATTGACTCGCTATGATCATAAGAGGTAGAAGTCAGGCTGTTAGTATTAGAAGGGGTGTCATCAGGGGGTCAGAGGAGAAAGAGAGTAGCTAAATAGATTGTCGTTGGCTTGGTTGAAAAATAACAGTGGGATAGAGCTGTTAATTAGGCTGTGAGTGGTTATGTTAATTCAAATTATATGGTTTTTAGAGAGTCATGTTGTTGGAAGTAGTATGATTGTAGGGATAATTAATTTTAACATTGGAGTAAGTTTAAGTTATGTACATAATCTAGACCGTATCTGTTAGAAATTGAGACTAGTAGGGTGAGGCCCACTGCTGCTTCACAGGCAGCAAAGACTAATATGGTGATAGGTATGATGTTAATTAAGGGAGAGTGTGTGTTTAGGGTTATGAGGGTGTTTACGATGAATGGAGATAATATTATCCCCTCTAGGCATAGTAGGGAGGACGTTAGGTGTGAGCGATAGATTAGTATTCCTAACAGTGAGGTAGTAAATGCTAATGTAATGTTTATGTAGATGAGGGGCATTTTGTAAGTATGACTATCATAATCTAACAAGTCAAAATCATTGTTTTTGTCTGTTAAACTACTTACCAATTTGACTCAGTCTAACCTTTTCTGGGATAGTTCATAAGTCAAACTTAGGATTAAGATAGTAACTAATGTGAGTGATGATACAACTGTTAGTGGTAGATTGGTTGTTTGGAGGGCTCACGGTAGGGGTAGTAATAGGGCAATTTCTAGGTCAGATAATAAAAAGGTGATAGCAATCAAGAAGAATTTTATGGAGAAGGGAATGCGAGCAGAGGATAGTGGGTCAAACCCCATTCATAAGGGTTAGACTTTCCTATGTAGATATTAAGTTGTGGTAATCAAAATGTGATGGTTATTAGTAATGGGGCCAGGAGGGTGTTGACTGTTAGGGCTAGTGCCAGGTTTATTACTCTTTTTCGAGTGTTATCGAAACTAGTTAATTGGAAGTCAGTGGTACTGTCTATACTAAAAGAGTAAGATCCTCACCAGTAGATAGAGACATATAGGAATAGTCAAACTACATCTACAAAGTGTCAGTATCAAGCAGCGGCTTCGAAGCCGAAGTGGTACTTGGATGTAAAATGATATAATAGTTGGCGGATAAGGCAAACAGTAAGGAATGTTGAACCAATGATGACGGGGAGCCCGTGGAAGCCCGTAGCTACAAAACATGTTGAACCATACATACCATCGGCGATAGTAAAGGGGGCTTCAAAGTATTCTGAAACTTGTAGGAGGGTGAAGTAGATGCCTAGTAAGATTGTGATAAGTAGTGCTTGAATTGCTTGATTACAATTGTTCTCTATTAGGCTATGGTGAGCTCAAGTAATTGAAACTCCCGATGCGAGTAGTACAGATGTGTTTAGGAGTGGGACTTCTAGGGGGTTGAGTGGAGTGATGCCTGTTGGGGGTCAGTGTCCTCCTAGTTGAGGGGTGGGGGCTAGGCTGGAGTGGTAGAATGCTCAGAAGAATCCAGCGAAGAAAAAGACTTCTGAGATGATGAATAAAATTATTCCATACCGAAGGACTTTTTGGACGGGTACTGTGTGGTGGTCTTGGTATGTACCTTCTCGTACAACATCACATCATCACTGGTATATGGTTAGTGCATTGGTCAGTAGGCCTAGTGTTAGTAGGGTGGTAGAGTAAAAGTGGAATCATATAGCTAGGCCGGATGTCATTAGGAGGGCTGAAAGGGCCCCTGTTAGAGGTCATGGGCTGGGTTTTACTATGTGATAGGCATGTGATTGGTGAGCCATTATGTATTGTCATGTAGGTAGAGGCTCACTAGGAGTGTGAAAACATAGGCTAGAATCAGGGCGACAGCGATTTCGAGAATCGTCAGTAAAATCAAAATTGTGAAGATGATTGAGGTTGTGGGGAGGTTGATAGTTGATAGCGCTAGTGTGGCACTTCTGATTAAGTGTATGAGCAGATGGCCTGCCATAATATTAGCAGTTAGGGGCATGGCTAGGGCTATTGGTTGGATAAATAGGCTGATGGTTTGGATAATAATTAGTATGGGAATGAGGGGTGAGGGTGTGCCTTGTGGCAAGAGATGGGCTAAGGTATTTTTGGTTTTAAAGCGGAAGCCTGTAATTACTGCACCTGCTCATAGGGGGATTGCCATGGCCAGGTTTATGACAGTTGGGTAGTTGGTGTGAATGAGTGGGGCAAGAGCCCGAGGAGATTGGTTGTAGCAATGAAGATAATTAGGGATATTAGCATGAGGGATCAGGTTCGTCCTTTAATGTTATTTATTGTTATTATTTGTTTTAGGGTGAGTTGAATTAGTCACTGTTGAGTGGTAATTAATCGGTTGTTGATAAGGTGTTTGGAAGCTGGAATCAGCATGGGGAGAAATAGAACGATTGGCACTGCAGCTGGAAGGCCTAGAATTGTGGGGGCAATGAATGAAGTAAACAGATTTTCGTTCATTTTGACTCTAAAGGATTATTGTGGTTTTGCATGTTAATAATTTTTAGTGAGGTAGGCAGATGGTAGTTTGTGTTTAGTACTTTTAGTTGAATGATGAGTAATAATGTGAGGAGTATTGATGCGACGATAGTGGGTCATATGGTGGTGTCTAGTTGAGGCATGTCACTGTAAAGAGATAGCGATTCTCTTAGTCTTTAACTTAAAAGGTTAATGCTGGGTCAGCTCTACAGTGAACCTTATTAAGAGAGTGGGCGGTAGCCTATAAAGTGGATACAGGTCCTATTGCAAAGATTTTTAGCGGGATTAGTTCTAGAATGATGGTTATGAAGCTATGGTCAGCTCCGCAGATTTCTGAGCATTGACCGTAGTATACTCCTGGTCGTATGGCGGTGAATGTGGTTTGGTTTAGGCGTCCGGGGATTACATCTGTTTTTAAGCCTAATGTGGGGACAGTTCATGAGTGTAGGACGTCTTGTGATGTAATTATTATATGAACAGGGGCTTCAATTGGAAGGACTACTCGATTATCAACTTTAAGAAGTCGAAGGTCACTTGGGTCTAAGAATAGTGGTGGAAGTATATAAGAGTTGAAAATTAATCCTCCATAATTGGTGTATTCATAGGTTCAGTATCATTGGTGTCCGATTGATTTAATGGTAAAAGAAGGGTCATTGATTTCATCTGTTACGTACAGGATACGTAGGGATGGAAGGGCAATTAGGACTAGGATAATGGCAGGTAGAATCATTCAAACAGTTTCTATTTCTTGGGCGTCTGTGATGTTAGTGTTAGTTTTGTTGTAATTGTTAGGAAGAGGGCGTATAAAACTAGAAAGCTGATAAGAAAGATGATTATGAGGGCGTGATCATGGAAGGCGATTAGCTCTTCTATGATAGGGGATGTGGCGTCTTGAAGACCTAGCTGGGCTGCGTGTGCCATTAAGATATACGGGGTTTAACCTGTAACTTAACTTTGACGAAGTTATGAAATAGTTTTCCTAATATCTTGTTGAAAAAGTCATAGGGGTTATGAGGCTGGCTTGAAACCAGCCTTAGGAGGTTCAATTCCTTCCTTTTTTGTCTAGGTTTTATGTAGACTGGTTCTTTAAATGTATGGTAGGGTGGAGGGCATCCCTACAGCCACTCTAGGTTAGTGGAAGGTTGCTCATTTATTAGGACTTTTCGCTTTGAAGCGAAGGTCTCTCAGGTTATGAAAATTATTAGCACTACTGCTTTTAGGGAGATGAATGAGCCTACAGATGATAAAATATTTCCTGTGGTATATGCATCGGGGTAGTCGGAATAACATCGGGACATCTCAGATAGGCCGAGAAAGTGCTGCGGGAAGAAGGTTAGATTTACGCCTACAAATATGATGGCAAAGTGAATTTTGGCATAAGCTTGGCCGAGTGTGTAGCCTGAGAATAAGGGAAATCAGTGGATGAAGCCCCCCATGATGGTGAACACAGCTCCTATTGATAGAACGTAGTGAAAGTGGGCCACAACATAATATGTATCATGTAGTACGATGTCTAATGATGAGTTTGCTAGTACAATGTCCGTTAGGCCACCCACTGTAAAAAGGAAGATGAATCCTAGGGCTCAGAGTACTGCAGTGGACCATTTGGTGTTACCCCCATGGAGCGTAGCAAGTCAGCTAAATACTTTGACGCCAGTGGGGATGGCAATAATTATAGTGACAGAGGTAAAGTAAACTCGTGTGTCTACATCTATCCCTACTGTGAATATATGATGGGCTCATACAATAAACCCTAGGAAGCCAATTGATATTATAGCCCAGACCATACCTATGTACCCGAATGGTTCTTTCTTTCCGGAATAATATGGTACGATGTGAGAAATTATTCCAAAGCCTGGTAGGATGAGAATATAGACTTCAGGGTGACCAAAGAATCAAAATAGGTGTTGTTATAGGATAGGGTCCCCTCCTCCGGCCAGGTCAAAAAGGTAATATTAAGGTTACGGTCTGTTAGCAGTATAGTAATGCCAGCGGCCAAGACTGGAAGGGAGAGGAGGAGTAGGACTGCCGTGATTAGGACAGATCAGACAAAGAGGGGCGTTTGGTATTGATATATGGCAGGGGGTTTTATGTTAATAATTGTGGTGATGAAATTAATAGCTCCTAGAATAGAGGAGACACCTGCTAGATGAAGGGAGAAAATGGTTAGGTCTACAGAGGCCTCTGGATGGGAATAGTTTCCTGCCAAAGGAGGGTAAACCGTTCAACCTGTTCCGGCACCAGCTTCTATCATAGCAGATGCCAGCAGTAGTAGAAAGGGGTGGGGAAGGAGCCAGAAGCTTATGTTATTTACGCAGGGAAATGCCATGTCAGGGGCGCCAATTATCAGGGGGACCAGTCAATTGCCAAAACCTCCAATTATGATAGACATTACTATGAAAAAGATTATGAAGAATGTGTGGGCTGTGACGATGACGTTGTAGATGTGGTCGTTACCTAGAAGGTTGCCAGGTTGACCTAGTTCAGTCTGAATAAGGAGGCTTAAGGCTGTGCCCAAGACTCCAGCTCATGCACCAAACAATAAATATAGTGTTCCGATATCTTTATGATTTGTTGAGAATAGTCAGCGGTTGGCGAACATTAGTGGGTAAGATGGCTGAGCAAAGCATTAGACTGTAAATCTAAAAACTCTCTTTTTACCAGCCCTGAGGTGCCTTTCATGTTGAATTGCAAATTCAAAGAAGCAGCTTCAATCCTGCCTGGGCTTCTCCCGCCTTTTTTCCCTTGCGGCGGGAGAAGTAGATTGAAGCCAGTTGATTAAGGTATTTAGCTGTTAACCAAATTTTTGTGGGTTTAAGTCCCATTGATCTAGCAAGGGCTTAGCTTAATTAAAGTGGCTGATTTGCGTTCAGTAGATGCAAAGTAGGGTTTTGCAGTCCTTGGGTGCTGCAGAAATTAAGTATTATTAACTTACTAAGGGCTTTGAAGGCTCTTAGTCTGCGTTTAACATAAATTTATATGAGGTGGGTAGTGTAAGTGGAGAGATTGGTAGGAGGAGGGTGGTAAGGACAGTGAGTGTGGGGAAGAGTGGTGTGGATTTTGTATTTTCAAATTGTCATTTTATTTTTACGTTGTTGGATATGGGGAATAGTGTAATTGAAGCAGAGTAGATTAAGCGTATGTAAAAATATAGGTTAAAGAGAGTAATAATGGCTATGGTAGTGGGGATAATGAGGTTGTTATTTTTTGTGAATTCTTCAATGATAAATCATTTGGGTAGAAAGCCAGTTAGTGGGGGAAGGCCTCCTAGTGATAGTAGGGTAGATGGGATTAGGGGTATTAGTCAGGTTAGTTTATTTCAAGTGCGGCACAGTAGTAGGGTTGTAGTGCTAGAGTTCAAGTTGAGTACCAGGAATGTGGTGGTTGTTAGAATGATATAGATGATTAGGTTGAAAATGGTGATACTTGGGTTGTATGCTAGTACTGCTATTATTCAGCCTATATGGGTGATTGAGGAGTATGCTAGGATTTTACATAGTTGGGTTTGGTTCAGTCCACCCCAGCTACCCACTATAATGGATAAGATTGAAAGGGTAAGGAGAATGTTTATTAATGGGGAGATTTGATATATAATTGAAATAGGGGCTAATTTTTGTCATGTGAGGGGAAGTAGGCTGGATATTAGAGGGGTTCCTTGAGTGACTTCTGGGACTCAGAAACGGAAAGGGGCTATTCCTAGTTTTATTACTAGGGCTGTTGTGATTATTAATGATGAGTATTTGTTGGTGGTGTTGGTTGTGGTTCATTGTCCGGAGAGTACATTGTTGGAGAGGATAGCTATTATGAGGATTATAGATGTGGTTGCTTATGTGAGAAAGTATTTGATAGCAGTTTCTGTAGAGCGGGGGTTTATTTTTTTAATTAAAATTGGGATAAAAGCTAGTATGTTTATTTTCAATCCTGTCCAGGTAAAAAATCAGTGCAAGCTTAATGTTGCAATGAGTGTACCTGTGAAAACGGTGGAGTAGATGACAGGTTGGGCCAGTGGATTGATTAGTACGGGAAGGATATAACCAACATTTTCTGGGTATGGGCCTGATAGCTTATTTAGCTGACCTTACTCCAGGATAGGGTGTGACACGTGGCACGGAGAATTTTGGATTCTCAGGGATAGGTTCAATTCCTATGGTCCTAGAAATAAGAGGATTCAAACCTCTATTATTTACTCTATCAAAGTCACTCTTTTGTCAGACATATTTCTTAAGTTTAGGGGGGAATGTTGGAAATTGTAGCGGATATTGAGATGTATCATATAAGTAGTGCTAGTGTAAATGGTAAGAAATTTTTTCATAAGAGATACATGAGTTGATCGTAGTGGAATCGGGGGTATGCTGTTCGGATTCATAAAAATAGAGAGGTTAGGAATAGGGTTTTAATGGTGAAGCATATTGTGTAGAGTTCTGGTAGGTGAATATTATATATTGTACCTAGGAAGATTATGGCAGTTAGGGCATTTATTTTAATGATATTTATGTATTCGGCTATAAAGAATAGGGCGAATGGGCCTGCAGCATATTCAATGTTGAAGCCTGAGACTAGTTCTGATTCTCCTTCAGTAAGGTCAAAAGCAGCTCGATTGGTTTCTGCTAGTGTGGAAATAAATCATATTATAGCTAGGGGTCATGATGTTAGGAGTAGTCAGAGGTGTTCTTGTGTTCTAATGAGGGTGCAGAGATTGAATTGGCCACTTATTAGTAGGATCGATAATAGGATGATAGCTAGGGTAACTTCGTATGAAATTGTTTGGGCAACTGCTCATAATGCGCCGATCAGGGCATAGTTTGAGTTTGATGCTCATCCTGATCATAGGATAGAGTAGACAGCTAGGCTGGATGTAGCCAGAATGAATAGAAGGCCTAAGTTAAGATTAACTAGGGGGTTAGGTATAGGGAGGGGAGTTCATAGTAGAAGGGCAATAGAGAGGGCTAAGGTTGGGGCAGTGATGTAGAGGGTAACAGTTGACGTTGAGGGTTTTAAGGATTCTTTGGTAAAGAGTTTTATGGCATCGGCAAAAGGTTGTAATAGTCCATAGGGGCCTACAATATTGGGCCCTTTGCGTAGTTGCATGTAGCCTAGGATTTTTCATTCAGTTAGCATGAAGAATGCCATGGCGATTAGGATAGGTACAATAAGAAGTAGAAGGTTAGTTATGGACATGTTGTTAAGAAGAGGGGTTGAACCTCTGGTTGTAAAGTTTTAAATTTTATGCAATTGCTGGGGTCTGCCATCTTAACAAACCCTGTTCTTGGGTGGGTGTGGGTACAGTAAAATGCTGAGATAATATCATCTATGGGGCAGGGGCACTTTATGAAGTGGGCCCCATTTCTCTTATCCTTTCGTACTGGAAGAAATGTAGAATAGATAGAAACCAACCTGGATTACTCCGGTCTGAACTCAGATCACATAGGACTCTAATCGTTGAACAAACGAACCTTTAATAGCGGCTGCACCATTGGGATGTCCTGATCCAACATCGAGGTCGTTAATGCTACTGTCGATGTGGACCCTAGAATAGGATTGTACTGTTATCACTAGGGTAACTTGTTCCGTTGGTCAAATTATTGGGTCAATTGTATGTGGATATTCGCCTTGACTGGTATAGTCTCAGCATATGTTGCTCGGAGGTTAGGTTATACTCCGAGGTCGCCCCAACCGAAATGTTTAACGCAGGTCTGGTAGTTTAGGGCCTGCGGGCCTATTTGGTCTTGTTTGCATTCATAAATTAAAGCTCCTTAGGGTCTTCTCGTCTTGTTGTATTATGTCCGCCTCTTCACGGGCAGGTCAATTTCACTGGTTGAAAGTAAGAGACAGCTGAACCCTCGTGGAGCCATTCAGACAAGTCCCTATTTAAGGAACAAGTGATTATGCTACCTTTACACGGTTAGGGTACCGCAGCCATTAAACATATGTCACTGGGCAGGTGGTGCCTCTAGTACTGGTAATGCTAGAGGTGATGTTTTTGATAAACAGGAGGGGTAAGATTCGCTGAGTTCCTTTTACTTTTTTTAACCTTTCCTTGTAAGCATGCCTGTGTTGGGTTAACAGTGTGGGTAATAATGGTTTCATTGATTATTTATAGATATTGGGCTGTTAATTGTCAGTGAAGTATTTTGGTCTGATGTAGGCTTATGCGGAGGAGAATGTTTGCATGTCACTTATACTAACATTATTTCTTCTATGAAATGATAGATTGGTCCAATGTGATGTGAGGAGTTCAGTTATGTGTTTGGAATTTTTTGGGTGGTTGGGTGTTGAGCTTGAACGCCTTCTTAATTGATCGCTTCTTCTAGGCCAACTTTGGAAGTTATATTTTTTACTCTCTCTACAAGGTTTTTTCCTAGTGTCTAAAGAGCTGTCCCTCTTTAGACTAACAGTTAAATTTACAAAGGCATTAGCTGGTTCTGTAGATAAATTTAAAGTTGAACTAAGATTCTATCTTGGACAACCAGCTATCACCAGGCTCGGTAGGCTTGTCACCTCTACCTATGAATCTTCCCACTATTTTGCTACATAGATGGGTGTGCTCTTTCAGCTGTTCTTAGGTAGCTCGTCTGGTTTCGGGGGTCTTGGCTTTGGTTCTCTTTGTAAAGTTATTTCTAGTTAATTCATTATGCAGAAGGTATAGGGGTTTGTCCTTGCTACTTTATGCTTGGTTATGTTTTTTCATCTTTCCATCGCGGTATTATGTCTATTGTGCCGAGATATCATTTCTATCGCCTATACTTTATTTGGGTAAATGTTTTAGTTGAGGTTATTTGGTAGTAGAATTAGTTGGGTTTGGGGCTAGAATTAGCTCAGGGTGGTCAAATTAAATTGAAATCTCCCAGGTGTAAGCAGGGTGCTTTATGTTAAGCTACACCTTGGTTTATCCAACTTATCTCCTCTATATAAATGCATAGGGGTTTTAGTTAGATAGTCCTTGAAATATACTTGAGGAGGGTGATGGGTGGTGTGTGCGTGCTTTATGGCCCTATTCAATTAAGCACTCTGTTCTTAATTTACTACTAAATCCTCCTTGGACCCTCAGGTTTCATAAGGGTTATTGTAGAATTTTCTGGGGTAGAAAATGTAGCCCATTTCTTGCCACCTCATAGGCTACACCTTGACCTAACATTTTTATGTAGATACTTGTGCTTACTTTGTGGCCTTTGTCAGGGTTTGCTGAAGATGGCGGTATATGGGTTGAGCAAGAGGTGGTGAGGTGAATTGGGGTTTATCGATTATAGAACAGGCTCCTCTAGAGGGATGTGAAGCACCGCCAGGTCCTTTGAGTTTTAAGCTGTTGCTCCTAGTGTTCTGGCGAGCAGTTTTGTTGATTTAACTGTTGAAGTTTAGGGCTGAGCATAGTGGGGTATCTAATCCCAGTTTGAATCTTCGCTATTGTGTATTCAGAAATATTAAAGCCACTTTCGTAGTTTGTTTTATATCAACTAGGGTTTTCTACAACTTAGGTGAAATTTAGCTTTATTGAGGGATAATGTAAAACATTCTTTACGCCAGTCTCTATTAGCTTGGGTTCATCGTATGACCGTGGTGGCTGGCATGAAATTAACCAACCCTAAAGTTAGTATAGCTCAGTTAAACTTTCGTTTATTGCTAAAGGTTTATCACTGCTGTCTCCCGTGGGGGTGTGGCTAGGCAAAGTGTTTTGAGCTGCACTAATGCGTGCTTGATACTTACTCCTTTTGATTGTAGTGATTTAGAGGGTTATTTCACCAGGGTGGCGATGCTTGCTTGTGTAATCTTACTAAGAGTTAATAGAAAGGCTAGGACCAAACCTATTTGTCTATGGGGCAGTGTAGGCCCATCTAGATATTTTCAGTGTCTTGCTTTGGGTCATTAAGCTACATAGACTGTGATTGCACAGTGTAAGCAAGGCTAGGGGATGGGCATACAAGCAATGGGTAGGGGGGAAAGCCTTGCCTTTGGGGTTGGGTTAGTTTAGGGTGTTGGTTTAGTAGTGGTCGGGCATGCGTTGAATGGGATGGCTGAAAAAGGGATAACTAAATTTGTAGAGTCTGTGAAGTGAGGCTAAGAGGGAAAAAGACGTGTTAGTTGAGGGGTGACTGTTAAAAATGCGTACAGCCTAAAGATAAAAATTTGGGCTCTGGTTGAGTTGGATTAAGGCTTTTTGTTTTTGGGGTTTGGCAAAGATGTCTTTTCCTGGGTTGGTGAGGCCAAAGATGGGGGAAGGGGATTTGCAGAATTTTATTGTAGAGTTGATGTGAAAAGCGGCCGTGGGTGTGTTTACTGATTGTTATGTCCTACAAGCATTAATTAATTAACACCTTGTGATAGGTATGCTCGCCTGGGATATTGAATGTAGGTGTGATCAATAATGGGATGGGGCAGGAATCAAAGACAGACACTGCGACATAGGGTGCTCTGGGGCCAGCGTTTCACAATGCTATCGCGTGCACACCCCCCAGATTAAAATACCAAATGCATGGAGAGCTCCCGTGACTGATTAATAGGGTAATAGACCCGTGATCCATCGTGATGTCTTATTTAAGGGGAACGTGTGGTTGGTCTTGACTTTATGGCTGTGAGGTAAGAACAAGATGCCGGATACAGTTCATTATAGCTACCCCCAAGTATTATGGACCTGGATCAAGAAGAGTAGCACTCTTCTGCAGGATATTGATTTCACAGAGGATGGTGAACAACGGACCACTATCTGAGGGGGATATCCGTATTGACGAGGACTTGTTTAACTGGAATGTGCTATCTACCATGAGCGATTAGATGTACTATGTACTCAAGGATATATAGTGTTTTTTGGTACGCTTGTGGTTGAGAAGTTTCTTTTGGAGGGTGGGTTTAATGTGTTACCGTTAGTTAAGGTATTCTAGTCCTTGCTTGTAAGCGTCGTGGGGAGGAGTTGTTGTTGAGTTTCGTTTGATATGTACTATGTACAGTTAAGCAATTATAGTACTATATAATATTCATGGTGGCTAGCAGAAATTCACGATATATATAAAATTATGGTGGGGTGGGTCGATACTTGGGTTGTACCCAAAATGGCTCCCTCATGAGAATACAGAGAGTAGTTTAAATTAGAATCTTAGCTTTGGGTGCTGATGGTGAAGTCAAGTACTTTTTCTCTGAGTTGTCCTTGGGAGAGAGTCTCCATTTCTGGTTTACAAGACCAATATATTGGTTTATACTACAAGGGCAGGTCCATTTGAGTATTTTGTTTTCGAGTAGGGAGGCAAGCGGTATCAGGGCTAGAATTGTAGCAAAGTAAACTACGAATGCTGTTTGTCCGAAGGTGATGAAGGGGTAGCTTGCTGGTTGTCCTCCAACCCATGTGAGGATAAGGAGATCTGTAATTAGGAGTCAATATAGGAATTGGTTTAGTGGACAGAATATTATGCTTTGTTGTTTGGACATGTGAAGTGTGGGAATTGCTGCTAGGATGAGGATTGATAGTAGGAGGGCCAGTACGCCTCCTAGTTTGTTGGGGATGGATCATAAGATTGCGTAGGCAGATAGAAAATACCATTCGGGTTTAATATGGGGTGGAGTATTCAGGCGGTTGGCTAGGGTGTAGTTATCTGGATCAGTTAGGAGGTCGGGTGAAAACAGTACTAGTGTTATTAGGGTGAGAAGGAGGAGAAATAGGCCTAGGATATCTTTGGTCATGTAGTAGGGGTGGAAGGTAATTTTGTTGGAGTGGGAGGAGATTCCTGAGGGGTTATTTGATGCTGTCTCATGGAGAAATAGTAGGTGTAAGACTACTAGGGCTGTAATAATGAAAGGTAGGATAAAGTGGAAGGTGAAGAATCGTGTGAGAGTGGGTGTGTCTACTGAATAACCACCTCAAACCCACTGCACCAGGTCTGTTCCGACATAAGGAATGGCGGACAGTAGATTTGTGATTACCGTGGCCCCTCAAGGATATCTGGCCTCATGGGAGTACCTAGCCTATGAAGGCTGTTGCTATGGTTGTGAGTAGGAGAATGATGCCAATGTTTCAGGTTTCTAGGTAGAGAAATAAGCCATAGTACAGGCCTCGGCCAATATGTAGGAAGAGGCAGATGAAAAATATTGAGGCGCCATTGGCATGGAGGTAGCGGATGATTCAGCCATAGTTTACATCTCGAGTGATGTGGACGACTGAGGAGAAGGCGGTTGAGGCGTCTGGTGAGTAGCGTATAGCTAGGAATAGTCCTGTAATAATTTGAAGGGTTAAGCAGGCACCAAGAAGCAAGCTGAAGTTCCATCATATGGAGATGTTGGATGGGGCGGGGAGATCGATAAGTGAGTGGTTGATTATTTTTACTAGTGGATTAGTTTTACGTGTTGGGGTCATTGGTGTTCTTATAGTCGAAATAAAATGATGGTTTCTCATATCATTGGTCGTGGTTGTAATCCATGTGGGATTAATCACATATGCTTTATTATCATTAAGTGTGGCTTTAGTAATAGGGTTTGTAGGGTTTTCTTCTAAACCTTCTCCTATTTATGGGGGTATAGTATTGATTATTAGTGGTGTAGTTGGGTGTGTTATTATTCTGAATTATGGGGGAGGTTATATGGGTTTAATGGTTTTTTTTAATTTATCTAGGGGGTACGATGGTTGTTTTTGGATATACTATGGCAATGGCTATTGAGGAGTATCCTGAGACATGGGGGTCAGGAATTGAAGTCTTGGTGAGTGTATTAGTGGGATTAGCAATGGAAGTGGGGTTGGTGTCTAGTGTTGGCACTATTTGATTAACTGGTGGAAAAATAAATACTTGCGAGAAATGGGTTATTTCAAGTTATATTTTAATGTCCTTTTATTTCCACATAATAAAATCTTTATGCTGGGCATGGTGACTCATGCCTGTCATCCCAGCATTTTGGGTGGCTGAAGTGAGAGGCTTGCTTGAGCCCAGAAGTTCAAGACTAGCTTGGGAAACATAATAAGACTCTGTCTCTACCAAAAAATAAAAAATTACCTGGGCCTGGTGGTGTGCATCTGTGGTCCCAGTTACACAGGAGGCTGAAGTAGGAGGACTGCTTTAGCCCAGAAGGCAGAGGCTGTAGTGAGTCACGATCCTGCTGCTGTACTCCAGCCTGGGCAGCAGAACAAGATCTTATGTCAAAAACAAAATGAAACAAAAAAGTGAAATCATTATTATTCACTTGATATTCCTGAAGAAATTGTCAATATTGATTAATATCCTCATCTGAATTTTAAGTGATTCATATAATGGCAGACTGTAAATATATTATTTAGAGATAAAGAGGACTTTATTTAAATATTCAAGTTATTGTCAACTAGACTATTTTAATGTAAATCTTGTGGCTCATGTCATATGTTGTTAATATTAACTTTAATTTTCATAATAATTGTGGGCGTTTCAATGTATGCATTTCATTTTAGGTAATTTTGCAATTTTTTCTTTTTCTTTTTTTTTTTTTTAGAGATGATGGCTCACTATATTGCCCAGGCTGGTCTTGAATTCCCGGGCTCAAGCGATACTCCCACCTCGGCCTCCCAAAGTGCTGCTGGGAATACAGGCGTGAGCCACCGCGCCCGGCTCCGATTTTGCAATTTTAATTGTTCTGCAAAAGTTTCCACTGAATACTCATCATTCTGTAGTGTGTAAATGAGCACAGCCTGAAATGTTGAGAGACTTGAGATAGAGTTTAAAATATGGTGATTTTATTCCTCTTGTGTCTTCCAGGTGAGAATCCACACGTTATCACATGAACCAGTGATGTGTGTCATAAAGAAATTAAGAAACAAACCTATACTATTTTTGCTACCCTTGTTTTCTGGAAAATGAACTGTAATAGATTTCTAGAATTAATTTTGATACTAAAAATATTATTCCAATTCAATAGTGAGAACAGCGCCGCGTTCTGTGCTACACTAGGGGGAGCACCTACTTTGGTAATGAACATCATTCCCTGTTAGTCTTTAGTGAATTAAGGGCCGGATGAGGAAGTGGGAAATTAGAGGAAGCTGTGCCTCCCCGGAGGAGCACGTGCCCTCAAAGCCGTAGGGCAGGAGCAGAGGCTGCCTGAGTTTGCAGCGCGAGCCCAGGGGGCTTCCCTGGGACTCAGCGACCTCCCTGTGCGCTGGGACGCGCAGGCAAATCCCCGCTGGGCTGCGCCTGGTGTGCACGGAGCCCTCCTACTTGAGTCCTACGCCGCTTATCCGTTTATCTGCATCGTAAAAGCCAGCGTTACTTTGTTTGAACTACTTTTCCAGTGCCACGGGATTTCATGCAAAGTGCCTTAGACGGTAGAAATGCCTACTCCTCTCGTTTCCTTATTCCTGGAATGTGCTCACATGCCGTTCGGCCACGCAGGGACCCGGGACGCTCAGCCCTTTCTGCGCCCTTGCCCTCTCCAGGGCGGCATCTGGCAAGGAGGGCGGCCCAACACTGCAAGCCTGATCCCGGGGACTGAACTCTGGACGGTCTCAGGGACTGACTAGGGATGCGGCCGCGGGAGGGGGCAGCCCAGCAGGGAGAGGACTGGGGGAGGGGCGCGGGCTGTGCCCTTGGGGCAGGGCGGGACAAGGGTGGCCTCCGGAGGGCTGGGAGGGGGTGACCCTAAGAGAGCGGCTGGGCTCCCTGGCTGCCTGAACACTGGTGCTTTTTTCTTTGCTAACGCCCTGGATGCCACCAGCCCAGTTTGCTCATCTCGCCTGCAGCCCCATTGTGATTCCGTTATTTTCTGAAAGATTTTCCCTTCCCTTCTCTTTTTGCCCTAGACCACAACTGCCAGCAGACACCCCTAGCACCCCGGAAGATGGGCAGTGGTTCTCCGGCAACCTCCTGCCCGTTTCTCATTAAAGCTTGAGAAGGAGGAGGGTGGCTGTGTCCCAGGAGCTGGGCTGGCACCCTCAGTGAGGTTGTGGGGCTCTCCTGGAGAACACAAACTGTCCCTCAGGACACCAGCAGCAGGCAAGACCCCAGATGGTCTGATCAAGACAAAGACAAGCCACTCCAGAATCCTGTCTGAATACAGACAGATGGGAGCATCTCTCAGGCCAGGAGTGCCAGCCGTGTCCTCTCCCAGCCCACATGATGACTGCCGCTTTGGCCTTGGTGATAGCCTGTCCTGCCCGTGTCAGGCCTCCCCGGGGATGAGGTTTATGAAGATTCCAGTGTATACCTACCTCCTCCTGCTTCCTAACAGTGCTCAACTCAGAGCCAGCCCCTCTCCAGTTAGTCCACCCATGGCCAGCTGGCACACACACACAGCCTGTGGCAAGGCTCTTCCAAGCCTCTCACTGCACCCTCCACAGCACCATGGCGTATTTTTGCAGAATGGAACAGTAAATCCAGTTGTAGTTTAACAACAGGTGTGTCTCTGGTAGGCACACTAGGCAGCAGCTCATTGGCCTGTATTTAAAATACGAACATGTGCATGACTGCAAACGCCTAGATCCTCACTTTTTTTCTACAAACCAGAATTGCTGTTCTCAAAGTTTAAACCACATTTGCAATACATGAGATCCACAGCCTGAGTGAAAGGAGTCACATGCTGGGGATGAGCTGGGCCTGGGGGCCAGGCCACCCTTGGGCAGAGAATGTGGGTGCATGGAGAGGGTGTGTGGGGCAGGAAGGATCCCTGAGTGTTTTGAGCAAAGAGGAGTGTGTGATCCTGCCTGCCTTTGGTGCCGTCTACTGGGGCTGGTCAGCGAGGTGGGGACACATGGCAAAACTAGAAGCCCTGGGGGAGCTGGGTGAAGGGAGCAGGCACCCATTATGCTGCTATTGCAGTTTTCTATAAGTTCTATAATTATTTCAAAATAAAATATTTTAAAATGACCATGTCCCTAAAGGAGGGATAATAGTAAGCTGCACGATAGAGATTAGTCTGTACTCAGACCCACTTCAGCTACAGCTGTGAAGCTTCTGCTCTCCGATTCCAGAGCCTGATGGTGTTAAGGAGGCCCCTGTGGATGTTACAGCGATGTGGATGTTATGCTACAGACATCACAGTAATGACCCTTTGGAGCCTTGGGTGATTCCCCTGTGCTGTGCAGGTGGCAGGATTTTTGATTTCCCTTTTCCCACACGAGCCTTTCCCCTACTGGGCATCTCGAGACTGACCACCCTTTGCCCCAGGCTGGAAGCCACAGAGAAGGCCATCTACTTGTGTTTCTCCCTCCCATGGAGCCTCCCTGCCTCTGGTCATCCCCTGGGTCCCTCTCAAAGACCACAGAGGCTGCTCTCAGGTCTAATTTTCCGTCTTGATTGTGCTGCCAACAGTGAGTTTCACACATGTATGTTTCAGGCAGATAGACGCTTGCACAGAGTGTGGGGATACCCTTGGTGGCTCTTCACTCTCTGGAATTCTTCTTCTTCCTTCTTCCTTCTTTCTCCTCTTCTTCCTCCCCTCCTCTCCTTCTCTCTCTCCCTCCCCTGCCCTCCCCTTCCCTCCTCTCCTTCTCTCTCTCCCTCCCCTCCTCTCCCCTCCTCTCCCTCCCTCCCCTCACTCCTCCCTCCCTTCCCCTCTCCCTCTCCTCCCCTTCTGTCACTCAGGCTGGAGTGCAGTAGCAAAATGACTACTCACTGCAGCCTCGAACTCCTGGCCTCAAGTGATCCACCCGCCTCAGCCTCCCGAATAGCTGGGACTACAGGTGTGTGCCACCACTCCTGGCTATGTTTTTATTTTTTGTAGAGATGGAACCTTGCTATGTTGCCTAGGGTGGCCTCAATCCCTGTGGGATTCTACTGGGGAGTTACAGTGTCTCTGGGGCACAAGGGATTGACTTGATCATGACTGCCATTTCCCAGATGGTGACCCAGGTGCTTGAGAAGCTCACGCCTTTCCGGGCCCATCTCAGAGGCAGTGGGGATGATCATCAAGGGTCTTCCTTGTTACTGATGGGGAGCAGCCATTCAGGGGCCCTGGTGGGGGCCCTACTAGGGCACAGCCTGCCACACCATTCCAAAGGTTGAGACTGTGACCTGTGCACTGCAGGTGTCCCTTGTCCATCCCTACAGGGAAGAGCATGGCCATCTCCGTCAGGCAGTGCCTTGGGTGTCCAGATGGCTTCTGGGAGTGACACCACAGGTCTGAGAGAACTTGGATTGGAGAAAGGAACTGGAGGGATGGAGCAAGATTGGGCTCACAGGCTCAGCATCCCCAGTGAGCCAGGGTGACATGAGCCCAAGTGGGAATAGGTGTCTCTGCCTCTGTGGGGGTCCCAAGTTGGTGCCTGGGGAGGGCAGGGCTGAGGGGTTGCTGGGAGGTGAGTGTTGAGAGGCCTAGGAGGCCACGTCCATGAATGGGTCTGGAGACCTGGGGGGCTGGGTCTGAGGGGACGGGAGCAGGTATAACTGAGGGAGTTGGTGGGAGGACTCCAGCCCAGCTGCTCAGGGGAGCCCTGAGTCACTTCGGGAGTGTGAGGAGAGTGGAGGAAGTGGATGGCCCTGGTGCCCCAGGTGAGGGGGTGGGCTGCAGGGGGCCAGCCTTGTGAAGGGCAGACACAACTTAGAGGTGAGCTCGGGAGCATGCAGGTGAGGACCCAAGAGACCAGGGGGGTCCTTCGGCAGGTGGGGCAGAGAGACCGAAGACTGTGGCCCAGCAGGACCTGGGGGAGAGAAGAGAAGGTATAGGGAGGAAAAAGGGGGCAGCTTCACCAACTCATCAACTAAGGGATGGTTGGGGCGGGCCAGGAGCTAAGCAGGGGGTGGGGTGATAGGGGAGATGGAGCCCTCACCGGGCAGTGGGGCCCTGGGCACTGGTTTATGTATGAACAGGTGGGCAAGTCCTCTAGAGTCGTGGAAAGTAAACATGAAACCCACAACTGCACACACGTCATCCCTTGTTTTTGTCATGGCGTTAATCTCCAAGTGGCTTTGGTTCTTCCCCAGGCACAGAATGAAGCGACCCAGGTCATCGCTGTCCTAGAGCTGCCCCCGCTGACTTTGTCTTTTCTTCTTGGCTGGTATCTACACCTGACACACACCGGTTAATTTATGTGTAGGTCTGTATGTTTATTGCAGCACTATTCACAATAGAAAAGACTTGGAACCAACCCAAATGTCCATCAATGATAGACTGGATTAAGAAAATGTGGCACATATACTCCATGGAATACTATGCAGCCATAAAAAAGGATGAATTCATGTCCTTTGCAGGGACATGGATGAAGCTGGAAACTATCACAAGGACAGAAAACCAAACACTGCATGTTCTCACTCATAAGTGGGAATTGAACAATGAGAACACTTGGACACAGGGTAGGGAACATCACACACCAGGGCCTGTCAGGGAGATGGGGGGCTGGGGGAGGGATAGCATTAGGAGAAATACCTAATGTAAATAACGGGTTGATGGGTGCAACAAGCCAACATGGCACATGTATACCTATGTAACAAACCTGCGCGTTGTGCACATGTACCCTAGAACTTAAAGTATAAAAAAAAAAAATACGTGTACGTGAAGCCAGGGGTGTGAACTCTGTCCTGGTCCTGCACCGAGCTACTCCTAGATCTTGGGCAGGTTCCACTCCTGCAGGCGCCTGGCCCCGCGCCTCCCCGCAGGCTCCTGGCCCTGCCCCGGCCCCGTCCTGCCCACATCACAAGGCTCAAGGCAGGCGGCGGGCGATTCCCAGGTTAGTCAACAGGGGGCGCACGGGGCAGTCTGGCCCGGAGGCCCTCGCTGAAATCAGCACAGCAGGAAGGAGGGTGACACTGCCCTCCTATGCAGGTCAAACTACTAACAAATGATGTGGCTGGAGAATACTTGACAGCACGATGACAAAACACGTCAGTATAAAATAAGATCATGAAGCATGCTGTGCCCAGCTCTGCGATTAGTTCACAGTATTTTACAGGGCGTTGTTTCCAAATGCTCAGGAAACACCAGCTACCTGTAATAAAGCGTGACATGCACCTTTGTCAACACTCAGCACAGCTTTGCAATAATGGCCCAGCCTGATCTTCACGTTGGAGGTGAGGACATAGGCCCTGGAGGGTTCAAGTGGCAAGGTCACAGAAGTGGTCACAGGGGACCACAGCCCCCGCTGCCTGGACTGCCCCAAGCTCTGGATCTGTAACTCCTGGCTTGCTCCCCACTTGCCTGCCTGACCACAGCTTCGAGGCCTCTGAAAAGCCTGGCAAGGTGGGCAAAAGGTCCCTGTGGTGTTGCCCCCAGGGGAGGGATGGGCCATGGAGCTTAGCTTGGAGGGAGGATCTGGGACCTGCTGGAGGAAGCAGAGCCCTGGAGAGGGTGCATCTCGGCCCTCACCCCGGTGATGTGGAGAGCCTTGACTGCGGGGGCTGGGGAAAGTGGGCAGGCCCAGGGCAGTCGGGGAGCCACTTGCTCAGCAGGAGGGCCAGAGGGAGAAGTGAGCTGTGTGCAGGGAGGGTGGGCAGCAGGCAGGGGCAGGCACAGGAAGTAGGGCGCTGAGCTGAGGTGGTCCAACTCAGGAGCTGGGGAGGGAAACTGAGAAAGGGAGCATGGAGGGGAGATGGGGGAAACTGGGCAGGTGCAGAGAGGGAGGGCGGGGAACTGAGGAGAAGATAGAGCAGGGGAAGTCAGGGAAGGGGAAGAAAGCACACAAGCAGAGGGAGACTGGAAAGGAAACCCAGATGGCTCTTGGGACAGGGAAGAGGGAGGGAAGGGGAGCTGAGGGACATGGAGCCAAACGAGGTGAGGTGAGGAGGGCGGGGATGGCTGGGAGGGATGTCCTTGGCAGGAGAGTGCAGGGGACTGTGGGAGGGTGGAGAGGTCAACAGAGGCTGAAGGAAAGGGGGAGGGGAGCATGTTGGAGGAGATGGAACTGGAGAGAGAAGAAAGGAAGGGCATGAATGAAGGGGAGGGAGGCAGGAGAGGTCAGGTGCATCCAAGGAAGGTGAGGAGAGGGGAAGGGAGGTAAACTGAGGCAGGGACATGGACAGAAGGGATGGGAAGTGAGTTCACCGGTGGAGTCAGAGTGAGGAGAGGAAGGGAAGGACTGGAATGGAGGGTGAAGATGGAGTGTGAGTGGAGGTGAAGTGGGGGGAAGGGGGGAACCAGTAGGGGCTTTGCATGGGAGGGGAGGTGAGTGAGGGAGAGGAGGAAGGTACAAAGAACTGGAGAGAGGGAGTAAGATAGAGGCCACAGGGGCTCAGGAGTAAGGGGAGGTACTAGAATGGAGGGAAGCATCTTGGAAGAGCTGCAGTGGATCAATTGTGGGTGGGGTGGGGCAGGAGGGAGCATGTGCCTGAGACTGTGCTGCTTTTTGAAGAAGTGACAGAGACAACACCCTTAACAGAGCATTTCTCCTCCCCATCAGCCCTGTCACCTGGTCACCCTATGACCCCACACCCCGCAGCTGCACTGAGCTTCACTGCCCTTGGGTGGGGATGCCTCCTGAGGGCTCTTTCTGTTGTTCTTGCATCTCTCCAGCCACATATTAAAGTGACTCAGACCACTTTGATGACCCTCTGTTCCATGTTGTAGGTGACACTGGTTATCCATGTCCAAATCACTTCTTCCCAGCCCTTTGGTGTTTGGTGGATTAGAACACTCCATGTCTGAAACCCTAGTCAGGGAGTTCACTACTTTGGACATCACAGAAAAATGTTGCCAAAGATTGAAAAAAAAACACACCCTGTTGCTGGATCTCTCTTGCCTCATCCCTTTACCTAATAAGCAGGAGTTGGTTACATCCTTAGTTCATAACCAAAGACACTTAGAAAGAAACACCAACTGTATTTGCACAAACTTTGAGAATCGATCCATAGAAAAACGCAGAGATCAAGATTTCTAACTCGTAGGGAAAAAACTTTTATTTTTCTAGCAATGATAAGACATTTAAGTTTTAAATTTTCTCCTTCTGTGTCCATATAATTAAAATTAATGTCGTGCAGAAAGCACACAGCACCGAATTTCTGGGACCACTAAATCATATTTGGTGCCACTTGCCTTATATTTTCATGACAACATACATAGACACCTCCATTATCTGTAAACCCAAGCGTCCACACATCTGGACAGGGAAGAAGCCTCCTTTACCCTTAGAAGCTCGCCCCTAGCTCTCCGTGCCTGGATGACAGATACTCGTGGGGCTGTTGTGTTTGGCTTTGAGGTCCATGGACACCAAGGACGTTACAGATTTTTAGTCTCTGGTCTCCACATTGGTTATGCCATGAGATTTTACTACGGACCCAGTGGACTGCTTCTCTAGGGGCACGCTCCTCGGTGCTTTTGGAATCGCCCATGTCCCTAGAGAATCCATGTCTTGGGTATTTCCTATCCATGGTCCAGTCCTCCTGGAAGACTGCAGAGCCTCCTCACTATGGCCCCATGCAGGGATGCCAGGAGAGGGCACTTGCCTCCGTGCTCCAAATCCTGAAATCTACTTTTGCACTGATGCTTTTTCCCTTTCCAGCACTGTATCCTGTGTCTTTGACATCCCTATGGCAGCTGGGTGAGATGTGTTGTCAGTCACAGGTGCACTGGGGATGACGCTGACTTGCCAGCTCTAGAGGGTCGTCCAAGGTGGATTCTGGGTCAACACCCTTTTCAGGTAGAAGGAATTGTTCTTCACTTTTCAAGTCTTATTCAGGTAAATCAGGATCTTTTTATTGTGAACTTTAACTTTTTCTTATTTTGAGTGGCTTAAAATATTACTATTTTAAAGAAACTATGGATAATTTTCACTTTCTTGCCCAAGATAAAGATAATTCTATGAAGCAATGAAAGGTCCAACAGTCTTAATAATGGATACCAATAACAGTTACGATACTGTGCTGTTCACTAAAAAAGATGGGCATGGAGGTCAAAGGAAATAGCATTTATTTGAGAAACAAAGAATTGCAACTCAGGTACAGTGAGTCAGGGCGGCCCTGAAGAGTGTCTTGTAAGGCAAGTGCAGGAAACATTTTTGAATCAAGGATTTCCACAAAAGTTATTTTTAAAGGCAGTTGATTTGTTGGGCAGAAATCCGAAGTTGTAAACTCGTTTTGATTGGTCAGTTAACGAGGCCACTCCCAGCTGAAAGATGCTGAAGGCTGGTGGACATTGGCTTCAGTTGTTTATCCAAGTCTACTGGAACATTCTGTGGCTTGACCTTTAGCAGATTTGAGTGCTTCTCCTGCTTCCATTTTAGAAAGCCGGAGGCTTAGTTAATTCATTTTTTTTCACAGTATAAATATGCAAAGTTTAAAGATTTGATGGAGTCATATATGAAAGACATTTATTATTAAGCATGAAATTTATAATATTTTAATCATTAAATTGTATATGTTCACATAATCAGAAGTAAAATATCTAACAATTAAAATTCTCAACAGATTAAAAGTGCCCAACAGATATCAGGATATCAGATATCTCAGCCTTAATTTTCATCTATATCTTCATCCATAACATAGATCAAAAGGGCTAAGAAATGAAAAAAGTTGGTGTCATCTTTGCTCTCCTCCTGCTACGTATTCTCCTGCATGTTCTAAAAAGTAAAAGTACTAGAATGTTTTAAAGAAGGGCAAATATACAGACAAAAATCAATATCCTATAATAGGTAATGAGCACAGCATGTTTAATAGACAATTCTGTAACTTACATGAAACACATCAGCTAAGCAGTTACTATGAAATTCTAATACATGGATAAAGAATATGAACAATCAAAGGACTAGGTGACTTCCCAAACATCTCCAGTAAACACATAGGAGGAATCCAGAGACGTACTACATCCAATCCAGTCACTGTGCTAGGTGGCTATGTTCTATTTGGCACATGTTTATAAATGTGCTGTCTAAAAATTATACTAAAATTATTTTAATTTGTAGGAATGGTGGGATATTTGTGACATCTTGCTTATGAACATTCAAGTATTGATCCTACAAATATTTTTAGTACTCATCTTGCCATTATACACAATCGATGAGATCCATTCTTAGCCACACAGCACGAATGGAGTAGTATGTACCTTCCCTAGCCTTGATTTCATTCTATGTATAAAAAAGATGATTTATTACATGCCATGATGCTTCCCAATAATAGTAGTGAAAATTTATGAACAATTTACTCATTATCTTAACACTGCATGTGAGGTAATAAATGACCAGCTTTAATAGTTAAGTGGATATAACATGTACAAAAATGAGTATCTTATCACACTGAATATTTAGCTTAAAATTTAGAAAATAGTCATGTGACTATACAGTAGTTATAACTACAGAGAATCTAAACTCCTTTTGAGGTGTAACATATATTTTCCTTTCATAATGCTTCAAATAAATGAACCTAAAACATGTTACTATGCCTGGAGTTCAAGAACACTTCAGCTCCCAAAGATCATCAATAGTATCTACACACTAAGCTCTTTAAAAACTGAATTCTGACCCTATCACAAGAGGGGGTCTGCAGGCTCAGCCTGGGGAGAGTCTGTTGAATGAAGGATGTTTTTGCTTTGCTCATAGCACATAGGAGCGCCCTCCAGGTGTTCTGGATTATCCTAACAGTTGAAAACAGCGCCCTATGGGGCTTGGAAACCATGACCTGTGCCTCTGGGCCTGGGATCCTGATGTCTAAATGAAGTTGAACTGGAAGGCTGCTAGATCCTCTTCTAGATATGCCTCCTTATGCAGTTGTTGTGAAAATGGGATGGCTTCATGGGCATAAAATACTTGCACAGTAGTTAGTGCCCAACAGATATCAGGAGCCACTATTATCATTATTATCCCAAACCATCTTCAGCCACCCAGGGTGAGTGAGGGTTCACACCAGGGCTGTCCAGGAGTGTGCAGGGTGATCCTTGGTTAGAGAATATCAGGAACTGGTTAGATCCAGGGGTGGGGTAGGAGAGGGAGGAGTAGAAAGCTGCATTTGTTTTCTGCTGCTACGTAACCAATTGCCACACACGCAGCAGCTTCAGAAACCTTCCTGGAGGCCCTCCACAAGGTGGCAGAGCAGCATAGCGGTGGCACAGCAGCACAGCACAGGAGGTGGCCTCTTCAGGGCCTGCAGGAGACTGTCTGCCTTGCATCACGCTGATCCCTTCTGCTTCTGACCTCCAGCCCACTTTTTTATTCTTCTTCCTGTTATTTTTTTTGAGACAGGGTCTTGCTCTGTTGCCCACGCTGGAGTGCAGTGGTGCAATCACAGCTCACTGCAGCCTCAACCTCCCTGAGCTCAGGTGATTCTCCCACGTCAGCCTCCCATGTAGCTGGGACTATAGGCATACAACCACCACTCCCGTCTAATTTTTGTATTTTTTGTAGAGATGGGGTCAAGTGATCCTGGGCTCAAGTGAACCTCCTGCTTTGGCCTCTCAAAGTGCTAGGATTACAGGCGTGAGCCACCATGCCCAGCCTCCAGCCCTTCTTTGAAAGGGATCACCTGATTAGACCAGGCCTCTCCAGGAAAATCTCCTTTTTGATGAACTTACAGTAGACTGATTAGGGGTTGTAATTACATCTTCAAAACCCCCTAACTGCAATGTAAAGTCATGTAACTTGGGGAGTGAGATCCCAAAGTATTCAGAGATCCAGGCCACCCTGGTGAAAGGGATTCTATACACAGGGCTGTTCCCCAGGGGGCAGAATCTTGAGGGCCAGTTTAGGATTCTCCCTCCCACTCAGCCTGAGGTGCTAAGGTGCAGGCAAGAACAGCTCAGCTGAGACAGAAAGTACAGGAGGGAAGAGACAGGACCCAGGCAGGCCCTGAGTTCAGGGCAGAGCTGGGCTGTGTGCCCACAGGGCCTGTGGGAACCTCACAAGGAAGCGGGGCCACAGATGGGCACCCCAGCTCTTCACCCCACTTCCTCCCTGTGTTGGCCATGTGGCCATGGGATCCTCTAGACTATGAACCTCTTCTCTGAAAACATGACTAAGGTGCCACAAAATCAGACTCCTAGAGGCGCCTGGCAGTGACTGATTTGCTGAGCTCCCCCTCCTCCCTTTTTCTCCCTCATGCCTCCATGTCTTGCTTCCCTGGGTCCCCACTTCCCCCGGCTGTTTAGTTGATCTTTTCCTGGCCCGACCTCGACACCCCTCATCTCATGGCCCTGTCACCCCCATGTCCCTTGTCACCTCACCCCCGTGCCTTATTTCCTCTGAGCTGGGTTTGTCCCTCGAACAGTGGCACATGGCCCCCACCCCCTCACTGTTTCCTTGTCCCTCCCCCCAAAAACATTGGACTCAGTTCTGGGGGGACTCAATCCTCTGCTCCTCATCCAGACTCACCAGGGCCCTTTGACCTCCCCACGTCTCTCTTCCCAGGCCTCTTTAGTCCAGGCCTACCCGAGACCCCTGGACGCCACCCTGGCCCTGTGCTCAGTGTCCCCCCAGGGTCATTGCTCCAAAGTCCCTGCTCCCCCGCAGCCTGGACACCTCCCCAGGCTCTGCCATCACTCGGCCTCGCTGCCCCAAGTCTTCATGGCTCAGCACTCTCTGCACCCCGCAACCCCAGCCTTCCACCAATTCTGACCCCGCTCCCGCCTCCCCGCCTGCTGGGCTAAGGAATGCGGAACCTGCAGGTGGGAAACAGAGCCGGATGCGCGCCTTAAGGTTTGTTTAGCAGGAGGTTTTGAGCTCAGGCTAGCTTCTTCCTAAATTCCAGCCACCCGAAACTTCCTGCCGGGCGGCTTGTTCCCAGTTCCTGCTGCCTGGGCCCCTGCCGCCTCCCGCTCAGGGCTCCGCGTGGAGAGGGGGTCATTCCGCACTCGTCCTAGGGTCAGGCGGGCGGCCCCAGGCAGCTAAAAGCCGCTGTTGGGGGAGGTGGGGGATGAAACCTACAGGAGCAGGAAGGAGCCGGAGAGGCCCACCCAGCTGCATGGGGTAGAACCTGACAATCCGTACACCAGCGAGTGGAAACACGACTTAGGAAACGGACAGACAACATTTTCAGGGTTGATATAAGAGGAAAAATAGAATAGATCTGGGATTTCAGGGATGAAAGGGGAGGGAAACGGTCCAAGGGCAAGGGTCAGGGCAGAGGCTGCAACGGGAAACTCCGACGCCCAGGAGGACAGGAACATATAGGAAGGGAGACTGATACGCATGAGGAATATGACCTCAAAGGAACCGGTCAACCAGCAGCCCCCATACTACCTGAAAACACCATTCCTGGAACTCCGCACCGCGCTCACTAAGACCCTGCTCCCTCCCTGGCTAGGTCCTCCCAGGAGCACACCTGTCTGCGGCTCACCTGGACTCAGGCCCCAGGGAGGACCTTCCCTGCCCTCCACAGCCCTGTCCTTGCTCCACCTGGGAAATTCTCTCTGGCAGAGCTCCTGCTCTGCAGTGAAGCTGCAGGGATTTGAATCCTATGCCAGAACCAAGCATGGGCCTCAGGTTCAGGGCAGGCTCCTGAGGAAGAATGAGGTGGGCTTCCAAGGGCAGCCAGGGAAGAGCACCCTGACCCTGAGGACACCAGTGTCCCTCACAGGACAGGAGGGAGTCCTGCCTCGGATCTCCAGGCAGTGGGAGCTCATGTTGCTGGTTTGCATGGCCAGGCTCAGAGCAGAGTGAAGGAAGATTCCACAGCTGGCTGACCTTTATTTTCATAATAATCCAATCAATGAAAGCTCCACCAGCACAATCTCAGTTTTGCAAGAAAAAGGCAAGGGCCAGTTATTTTTCCTGCTATGCTCTCAAACGCTAGCTTCGTGCTCAGAACAGAGTTGTTGCTTGGTAAAAATTTAATCTAGTGATTTATTTTTTAAAGATAGCCACAGTGTTCTGGGTATTGGAGATCTAGCAGCCAGAAAGGCATGACATTGCAATGGGAAGATGATGCTCTGGTGGGTGACAAGCCAGATGTAGAGACATTAACAAGCTTCCTTCAGGTAGTCCTTTGTGCTGTGAAAGAACCAGTGTGACTGAGGGCTGAGAGGAGGGGTGTGGCCAAGCTGTCGTGGACACATGTTCAAAAAATAAATCATCGTTATTCACGATAACAAAGACAGGGAACCAACCTAGCTGCCCTTCAATGGTGAACTGGCTACGGAAAATGTGTACATATACACCATGGAATACCATACAGTCATAAAAAGAACGAGATCACGTGCTTTGCAGCAACATGGATGCAGCTGGAGGCCATTATCCTAAGTGAATTAACTCAGGAACAGAAAACCAAATACTGCATGTTCTCACTTACAAGTGGGAGGTAAATGTTGAGTACACATGGGCATAAAGATAGGAACAATAGACACTGGGGAATTCAAGAGGGGGAAGGAAGAGAAGAAGGGGGGAAGGGTTGAAAAACTAACCGTTGTGTACCATGTGCACTCGTTGCTTTAGTGACAATATCAATCGTACCCCAAACCTCAGCATCACATGATATGCCCATGTAACAAACCTGCACAAGGACCCCCTGAATCGAAAAGAAAAGTTGAAATTATTAAAGATAAATGAATAAATCAATCAGTGCTGACAGACTCACCCACTAGGCCCAGGGGACCATTGTTCTCCAGCATGGCACCTCTGGGCTGGGCCTCACAGGGCCCACTGTTCCTGGGTGGCATCCACAGTAATGTCCTTAAAGGTTACTGATACCTAAAACATCTGAAACATTATGGGCCACCCAGGACCTTCCCTCTCAAGGGTCGGAGAGGACAATTGACTTCCCAGCACCAAGGAAAGGTCTATATGTAGAGGGGTTCAAACCATTCTGGGATTCCAGGTGGATGTCTCTGTGCCCACCTGGCATGTGCCTCACACCCACTCAGAGATATGTGTGCACCCTGAGCACACAACCACCTCATCATAAACGGATATCACATGAGCTCTAGTGTGAGGTCACCTGGACAGTTCCCAGTAAGATGGTAATTCAAACTTCCAGATGGCGATGGTAAGTTTTGGGAATACATATCTAAACTCCCCTCCTTAGAAATTTAAAGTCAATCTACACACTCATCCCAAGGCAAGCCATCCCCATGACCTGTGGCCTATCAACCATGACTCTGGGTGAACTATTCCTTCATAGGAGCCTCGGGTTCCTCCTCTGTGAAATGCTTCAACAATCTGTTGGGAGAGTTGAGAGATACAATGGACTAATAGTTGAAGGGCCTTCTGGAGAGCGAAGCTGAACAAATACACGTGAACAGTCCCTTATGGAGTGACACAAAGTGATGAAGCAACGCCCAGAACTCCACAGGCCTGGGCTGGCAGGTGCAGCTTCCCTCATTGCGCACAATCCTGTGTGTGCGGGGCTAAGGACTTTGAGGACAAGGATTGTAAGGAGAGTTTTATTTACCTTTTGAAATGATCAGACTGTTCAGGTCTATCCTATAAACATTTTAGTAGGTTTAAAACTAGGGAGCATACATAAGTGATTCCTCCTTGCCCTCTCCAACCCAACCCACTCTTCTGCTATCCTTGAAGGCTGCCCTGCCCTGCATCCCGCACCTGGAGTGCTGGCTGACAGGACTCCCCTGAGGACACACCTGCCACCAACTGCAAGGTGAGTGTCTCATGCAGCCCCAACTCCTGTGGTCACCTCATGCCTGGGCCCATGATAGCCACTGATATGGGCGATCCCTTGCTGAGGCTGTGGGCTGGATGAGAAAAAGAAACCTCTCCCATCTCTTCTGAGAAGACACAGGCTTCATGGAAGTTGGAACTCATAGAGGGAAAGGTTGGAAAAGAGATGATCTCCCAATCAGCCCCTGAGCTGCCACAGCCTCCCACAGTCCTGGAGAAACAACTGGCACTAAGACTTCTTGGACACATTTAGAAGATCCAGGCTGAGAGACAAATGTGCCCAACTGATGGTTAAAGAGGTACCATTCAGGAGAAGAGGCAGGTCCTCACTCACTGCAGGTGGGCTGTGGAGAACTCAGCCACCACCTGTGTTCATCCAGATTCTCCCCTAGGGATAGTCCATAATGATACAGGCAAAGCAGAGCAGAGACAAAGACGCCAAAGGGAATGGCGATTCCAAGATGGCTGAATGGGAACAGCTCCAGTCTACAGCTCCCAGCATGAGTGATGCAGAAGATGGGTGATTTCTGCATTTCCAACTGAGGTACTGGTACTAGGGCTTGTTGGACAGTGGATGCAGGATAGTTGGTGTAGCCCACCGAGCATGAGCTGAAGCAGGGTGAGGCATCGCCTCACCCAGGAAGTGCAAAGGGTCAGGAATTCCCTTTCCTAGCCAAGGGAAGCCATGACAGATGACACTGGAAAATCAGGTCACTCTCACTCTAATACTGCGCTTTTCCAATGGTCTTAGCAAACGGTACACCAGAAGATTATATCCTGCCCCTGGCTCGGAGGGTCCCATGCCCACAGAGCCTCACTCATTGCTAGCACAACAGTCTGAGATTGAACTGCGAGGTGGCAGCAAGGCTGGGGGAGGGGCACCCACCGTTGCTGAGGCTTGAGTTGGTAAAGTGACCAGGAAGCTCAAACTGAGTGGAGCCCACCGCAGCTCAAGTAGGCCTGCCTGCCTCTGTAGACTCCACCTCTGGGGGCAGGGCATAGCCAAACAAAAGGCAGCAGAAACCTCTGCAGACTTAAATGTCCCTGCCTGACAGCTTTGAAGAGACTAGTGGTTCTCCCAGCACAGAGTTTGAGATCTGAGAATGGACAGACAGCCTCCTCAAGTGGGTCCCTGACCCCAGAGTAGCCTAACTGGGAGGTATCCCACAGTAGCGGCAGACTGACGCCTCTCCCAGCCATGTACCCCTCTGAGAAGAAGCTTCCGGAGGAAAAATCAGGCAGCAACATTTGCTGTTCAGCAATATTCGCTCTTTTGCAGCCTCTGCTGCTGATACCCAGGCAAATAC
The DNA here is from genome assembly GCF_000001405.40 of Homo sapiens. Classification (NCBI taxonomy): domain Eukaryota; kingdom Metazoa; phylum Chordata; class Mammalia; order Primates; family Hominidae; genus Homo; species Homo sapiens. The sequence continues at coordinate 22,502,211 of NC_000017.11, read as the reverse complement.
CATCTGGAGTGGACCTCCAGCAAACTCCAACAGACCTGCAGCTGAGGATCCTGACTGTTAGAAGGAAAACTAACAAAGAGAAAGGACATCCACACCAAAACTCCATCTGTACATCACCGTCATCAAAGACCAAAGGTAGATAAAACCACAAAGATGGGGAAAAAAACAGAGCAGAAAAGCTGAAAATTCTAAAAATCAGAGTGCCTCTCCCCCTACAAAGGAATGCAGCTCCTCGCCAGCAGTGGAACAAAGCTGGATGGAGAATGACTTTGATGAGTTGAGAGAAGAAGGCTTCAGACGATCAAACTTCTCCGAGCTAAAGGAGGAAGTTCGAACCCATCGCAAAGAAGCTAAAAACCTTGAAAAAAGATTAGATGAATGGCTAACTAAAATAACCAGTGTAAAGAAGGTCTTAAATGACCTGATGGAACTGAAAACCATGGCACAAGAACTACGTGATGAATGCACAAGCTTCAGATCAACTGGAAGAAATCTATCAGTGATTGAAGATCAAATGAATAAAATGAAGTGAGAAGAGAAGTTTAGAGAAAAAAGAATAAAAAGAAATGAACAAAACCTCCAAGAAATATGGGACTACATGAAAAGACCAAATCTACATTGGATTGGTGTACCTGAAAGTGATGGGGAGAATGGAACCAAGTTGAAAAACACTCTGCAGGATATTATCCAGGAGAACTGCCCTAATCTAGCAAGGCAGGCCAACATTCCAATTCAGGAAATACAGAGAATGCCACAAAGAAACTCCTCAAGAAGAGTAACTCCAAGACACATAGTTGTCACATTCACCAAAGTTGAATTAAAGGAAAAAATGTTAAGGGCAGCCAGAGAGAAAGGTTGGGTTATCCACAAAGGGAAGCCCATCAGACTAACAGTGGATCTCTCAGCAGAAACTCTACAAGCCTGAAGAGAGTGGGGGCCAATATTCAACATTCTTAAAGAAAAGAATTTTCAACCCAGAATTTCATATCCAGCCAAACTAAGCTTCACAAGTGAAGGAGAAATAAAATCCTTTAAAGACAAGCAAATGCTGAGAGATTTTGTGACACCAGGCCTGCCTTACAAGAGCTCCTAAAGGAAGCACTAAACATGGAAAGGAACAACCAGTACCAGCCACTGCAAAAACATGCTGAATTGTAAAGGCCTTCGATGCTAGAAAGAAACTGCATCAACTAATGAGCAAAATAACCAGCTAACATCATAATGACAGGATGAAATTCACACATAACAATATTAACCTTAAATGTAAATGGGCTAAATGCTCCAATTAAAAGATGCAAACTGACAAATTGGATAAAGAGTCAAGACCCATCAGTGTGCTGTATTCAGGAGACCCATCTCACGTGCAGAGACACACATAGGCTCAAAATAAAGGGATGGAGGAAGATCTACCAAGCAAATGGAAAACAGAAAAAGGCGGGGGTTGCAATCCTAGTCTCTGATAAAACATACTTTAAACCAACAAATATCAAAAGAGACAAGGCCATTACATAACGGTAAAGGAATTAATTCAACAAAAAGAGCTAACCACCCTAAATATATATGCACCCAATACAGGAGCACCCAGATTCATAAAGCAAGTCCTTAGAGACCTACAAAGAGACTTAGACTCCCACACAGTAACAATGGGAGACTTTAACACCCCACTCTCAACACTAGACAGATCAATGAGACAGAAGGTTAACAAGCATGTCCAGGAATTGAACTCAGCTCTGCACCAAGCAGACCTAACAGACATCTACAGAACTCTCCACCCCAAATCAACAGAATGTACATTCTTCTCAGCACCACATCGCACTTACTCCAAAATTGACCACATAGTTGGAAGTAAAGCACTCCTCAGCAAATGTAAAAGAACAGAAATTATAAAAACTGTCTCTCAGACCACAGTGCAATCAAACTAGAACTCAGGATTAAGAAACTCACTCAAAACCGCTCAACTACATGGAAATTGAACAACCTGCTGCTGATTGACTACTGGGTACATAACAAAGTGAAGGCAGGAATAAAGATGTTCTTTGAAACCAATGAGAACAAAGACACAACATACCAGAATCTCTGGGACACATTCAAAGCAGTGTGTAGAGGGAAATTTGTAGCACTAAATGCCCACAAGAGAAAGGAGAAAAGATCTAAAATTGACACCCTAACATCAAAGTTGAAGTAACTAGAGAAGCAAGAGCAAACACATTCAAAAGCTAGCAGAAGGCAAGAAATAACTAAGAGCAGAGCAGAACTGAAGGAGCTAGAGACACAAAAAACCCTTCAAAAAATCAATGAATCCAGGAGCTGGCTTTTTGAAAAGATCAACAAAATTAATAGACCACTAGCAAGACTGATAAAGAAGAAAAGACAGAAGTATCAAATAGATGCAATAAAAAATGATAAAGGTGATATCACCACCAATCCCACAGAAATACAAACTACCATCAGAGAATACTATAAACACCTCTATGCAAATAAACTAGAAAATCTGGAAGAAATGGATGAAATCCTGGACACATATACTCTCCCAAGATTAACCAGGAAGAAGTTGAATCCCTGAATACACCAATAAGAGGCTCTGAAATTGAGGCAATAATTAATAGCCTACTAACCAAAAAAACATCTGGGAACAGACAGATTCACAGCCGAATTCTACCATAGGTACAAGGAGGAGCTGGTACCATTTCTTCTGAAACTATTCCAATCAATAGAAAAAGAGGGAATCTTCCCTAACTCATTTTATGAGGCCGGCATCATCCTGATAACAAAGCCTGGCAGAGAGACAACCACAAAAGAGAATTTTAGACCAATATCCCTGATGAACATTGATGCAAAAATCCTCAATAAAATACTGCAAACCGAATCCAGCAGCACATCAAAAAGCTTATCCATCATGATCAAGTGGGCTTCATCCCTGGGATGCAAGGCTGGTTCAACACAGGCAAATCAATAAATGTAATCTAGCATATAAACAGAACCAAAGACAAAAACCACATGATTATCTCAACAGATGCAGAAAAGACCTTGGACAAAATTCAACAACCATTCATGCTAAAAACTCTCAATAAATTAGGTATTGATGGGACATATCTCAAAATCATAAGAGCTGTTTATGACAAACCCACAGCCAATATCATACTGAATGGGCAAAAACTGGAAGCATTCCCTTTGAAAACTGGCACAAGACAGGGATGCCCTCTCTCACCACTCCTATTCAACATAGTGTTGGAATTTCTGGCCAGGGTAATCAGGCAGGAGAAAGAAATAAAGGGTATTCAGTTAGGAAAAGAGGAAGTCAAATTGTCCCGTTTGCAGATGAGATGATTGTATATTTAGAAAACCCCATTGTCTCAGCACAAAATCTCCTTAAGCTGATAAGCAACTTCAGCAAAGTCTCAGGATACAAAATCAATGCGCAAAAATCACAAGCATTCTTATACACCAATAACAGACAAACAGAGAGCCAAATCATGAGTGAACTCCCATTCACAATTGCTTCAAAGAGAATAAAATACCTAGGAATCCAACTTACAAGGGATGTGAAGGACCTCTTCAAGGAAAACTACAAACCACTGCTCAATGAAATAAAAGAGGACACAAACAAATGGAGGAACATTCCATGCTCAAGGATAGGAAGAATCAATGTCGTGAAAATGGCCATACAGCCCAAGGTAATTTATAGATTCGATGCCATCCCCATCAAGCTACCAATGACTTTCTTCACAGAATTGGAAAAAACTACTTTAAAGTTCATATGGAACCAAAAAAGAGCCTGCATTGCCAAGACAATCCTAAGCCAAAAGAAAAAAGCTGGAGGCAGCACGCTACCTGACTTCAAACCATACTACAAGGCTACAGTAGCCAAAACAGCATGGTACTGGTACCAAAACAGAGATATAGACCAATGGAACAGAACAGAGCCCTCAGAAATAATACCACACATCTACAACCATCTGATCTTTGACAAACCTGACAAAAACAAGAAATGGGGAAAGGATTCCCTATTTAATAAATGGTGCTGGGAAAACTGGCTAGTCATATGTAGAAAGCTGAAACTGGAGCCCTTCCTTACACCTTAGACAAAAATTAATTCAGGATGGATTAAAGACTTAAATGTTAGACCTAAAACGATAAAAATCCTAGAGGAAAACCTAGGCAATGCCCCCCATTGAGGACATAGGCATGGGAAAGGACTTCATGTCTAAAACACCAAAAGCAAAGGCAACAAAAGCCAAAATTGACAAATGGGAGCTAATTAAACTGAAGAGCTTCTGCACAGCAAAAGAAACTATCATCAGAGTGAATAGGCAACCTACAGAATGGGAGAACATTTCTGCAATCTACTCATCTGACAAAGGGCTAATATCTAGAATCTACAATGAACTCCAACAAGTTTACAAGAAAAAAACAACCCCATCAAAAAGTGGGTGAAGGATATGAACAGACACTTCTCAAAAGAAGACATTTATGCAGCCAACAGACACATGAATAAATGCTCATCATCACTGGCCATCAGAGAAATGCAAATCAAAACCACAATGAGATACCACCTCACACCAGTTAGAATGGCGATCATTAAAAACTCAGGAAACAACAGGTGCTGGAGAGGATGTGGAGAAATAGGAACACTTTTACACTGTTGGTGGGACTGTAAACTAGTTCAACCATTGTGGAAGACTGTGTGGCAATTCCTCAAGGATCTAGAACTAGAAATACCATTTAACCCAGCCATCCCATTACTGGATATATACCCAAAGGATTATAAATCACGCTGCTATAAAGACACATGCACACTTATGTCCATTGCGGCACTATTCACAACAGCAAAGACTTGGAACCAACCCAAATGTCCAACAACGATAGACTGGATTAAGAAAATGTGGCACATATACACCACGGAATACTATGCAGCCATAAAAAAGGATGAGTTCATGTCCTTTGTAGGGACATGGATGAAGCTGGAAACCATCATTCTCAGCAAACTGTCAGAAGGACAAAAAACCAAACACCACATGTTCTCACTCATAGGTTGGAATTGAACAATGAGAACACTTGGACACAGGAAGAGGAACATCACACACTGGGGCCTGTCGTGGGGTGGGGGGAAGGGAGAGGGATAGCATTAGGAGATATACCTAATGTAAATGACGAGTTAATGGGTGCAGCACACCACCATGGCATATGTATACATATGTAAGAAACCTGCACGTTGTGCACATATACCCTAGAACTTAAAGTATAATTTAAAAAAAAAGCAAAATTGGAAAAAGAAGCCATGGTACAACAGTGCTTCTCTCTGCTCTGCTCCCAGGCTCACCTGCCACGAATCTCACCCCTGCCCCCTCTTGTAGTCTCCCTGGTCAACCCGCATGCACTGAAGGGAAGTCGGAGCTCTTGCAAGTGGAAAGGCTTTGGCTATGGCTCCCATCAGGAAGATGTTTATGTCTCCATGTGATTGGCAGTAAAATGGAAATATAGGGCTTTATTATTAATTAGCCCTAGTGTTCAGGAGTGCCATTTAACTCCCCCCCAACCCCCTGCCCCATGGCAATTCCCAGGAGAACCTGACTCATCTCACATGAGGATTCTCATCTCCCTAACAGTAGACGCCATCTGAAATCCCTGATTTAGTGATTTTGGGTTAGCTCCACTAGTGTCGGTTCTCCAACATCCACCCCAGCACTTTCCTGCCCCCGCCTTCTGTGTGCACCCACCTTAGTCATCTTGACTGATCAAAGGATCAGGGAGCATCAGTGCTTCGGCTCCCCCTCTGTCCCCCACACCCTTGGACGTGTGGCCAGGCTATGTTGGAATCTATTCAGTGGCAGGGGAGACAATTTAATGACTCACCCCACATCAGAGGGTTCAGCAATTCTCATCACACAAACTTAGCACTAAAAACCCCAACACGTAACGTGTCATAATGCTTCTGCTCTGTCCACAATCCCCACTGGGCAGACAGGCTCATTGAGTGCAGATGAAGGCGTTGAATTTAGTTGACTTTTTGGGATTTTTTGTTGAAATGGCAGCTGGAGCTCTGTCCTAGTAATGAGCAGCAGGAATATCCTAGCATCTCATAATGTATGTATATGAAGGCATCTATAAGCCTGACAGTACCCCCAAATGGGGGTTCGGAATTAAATGTACTGCATGGACACACATTGATCCGTGTGTTGTTGAACACCAGTGGGACTACAACCCTTGGACCCCAAGGTTCCTAAGAAAGGAAAAATCTAGTTGCAGCATCTGGGATGCTGTGACCTAAACCATGGTGTCAGTTCTTTTCTTCTGCCTGATCAAATGCACTGGTGAGCCTTCCATTGAATTTTGATTGCAGTTATTGTGCTTTTTAACTTCTGAATTTCTTTTTATAATTCCCATCTCTTTGTTAATATTCTCTATTTGGTGAGATACTGTTTTCGTCCTCACCATAGTTCTTTAGAACATGGTTTCTTGTAGCTCTTTGGACATACTTAAAAGAGCTGATTTTAGGCCAGGAATGGTGGCTCATGCTTGTAATCCTAGCACTTTGGGAGGCCAAGGTGGGTGGAATGGCTGAGCTTAGGAATTCACGACCACCCTGGGCAACATGGTGAAACCCCGTCTTTACTAAAATACAAAAAATTAGCTGGGTATGGTGGTGGGTGCCTGTAGTTCCAGCTACTTGGGAGGCTGAGGCCCGAGAGTTGCTTGAACTTGGGAGGCAGAGGTTGCAGTGAGCCGAGAGCGTGCCACAGCACTCCAGCCTGGGCGACAGAGCGAGACTCCGTCTCAAAAAAAAAAAAAATCTAATCTTGGCCAGGTGCGGTGGCTGTTGTCTGTAATGCCAGCACTTTGGGAGGCTGAGATGGGTGAATCACTTGAGGCCAGGAGTTCACGACCAGCCTGGGCAATATCGTGAAACCCCGTCTCTACAAAAAATTCAAAATTAGCTGAGTGTGGTGGCACACACCTGTATTCCCAGCTGCTGAGGTGGGAGAATCACTTGAGCCCAAGAGTTTGAGGCTGCAGTGAGCTATAATCATGTTACTGTACTCCAGCCTGGGTGACAGAGCAAGACTCTGTCTAAAGAAATAAAATAAAATAAAATAAAAATCTAATCTTTGCAGAGGAAGTGTTTGCATTTTGAGGTCATTCCTTCAATGCTCAGCCAGGTGGTTTCCAACCTGGTCTTAACCTTCACTTCCTGCCTGTGTTGAACCTCATGATCAGCCAAGGGTGAGCTTAGAGCTGTCTGAGCTCTTCTCTGAGGGTGCACAGAGCCCTGGGCATGTGTGCGGCCTTCAAGATTCCCAGGAATTTGTAACAATTTTCCAAAGCCCTTGTTGCCTAAAACATCTTATTTCCAGACTTTTCTCCCAGTAAGTTTTGGTTAACCTGTTGTTTTCCCCAGCAACTGTCCATTCCCTTTGGAAGTTGGGCCTGGAACATTTGCCATATATGTTGTCAACAATTGCTCTGAGGTGGTGCTTCAGTTTGGGGTGAGTTCCAAGGTGGACAAGAGAATGGCAATCCTTTGGAGCTAGTCTTCTGGGGAGCAATCTGACAGATCAAAATGAGCAGTTCCAACTCTCTGAGAATATCTTCATTTCTGATCTGTTCAGTACCACACTGGGAACAACAGCTGTGAGTTTTCAAGGGAAGCAGGAGATGGAACCAGGATAAGCTAAAGCACCCTGGAGCAAGCTTTTCTTATTGGTGTCAGCAGTTTTTCTTGAATATGTGCTCTACTGCTTGCTGCAAGCTTTTCCAGAGTTCTATAAAGAGTGATTTTGACAGTTTTTTGCCAGTGGTTTCACTGTTTTGGTAGAAGGCAGGCCTTTGGAATTCCTAACTCAGAACTTTCCCATGGATGGTTTTAAAGAAATTAATTTTCAGATCTTTAACTTCTACCTGGGCTGTTTCCAAAATATGATCTTCCTAAGATCTAGCATGAGATCAAAGAGTCCCTATTTAGAATAGCCCTTCTCCCACTTCACAAGAGGTTCCCTTTCAACAATCTTGCATCTTACTATAGACCATAGATCCATATCTCCAGGGATTAACAAGGGGATAATTTAAAATACTGAAGTAGGTATTTCAGGTGAGACTGTCTTTAATTCCTGGATATCAAATCCCACTACGAGTCACATAAGTTTCAATTCTTCATTTGAACAAACTGAAGGTGGAACAAATCCAGTTGTCAGCAGATGGGTCATTTACAATAACTTTTATTATATATAACTGTGCTTTTTGGTCTATAACTTTGAAAGAGTTCAAATAATTGCATAAAGACCCTTTCCATTCCTATCTGCTTATTTATGTAAGCAAGGTTTCTCAGGACTTCAAACTGAACAAGTGAAAAAATAGGTGTATGACTGATGTTGAACTCTGTCACATTCTAGCAGGTAACTGTTCATTCACAGATTCATGGCAAAGCTGGGACAGAAGTCCATCTGTCTCATTAAGAGAAGCGTTCCAAAATTTTTTAATTTTTATATTTGCTAATCATTTACCAAAATTTATGGTGTAGCCACATTTTATTTGGTTTTTGTATTATATTATTTTGATGAATAATTCTAATGAAAGCTGAATCCATCTTAAGTGATAACAAAGCCTTTGGTAAAGTCATCACTTGCAGTTACTTAGATGGCAGATTATGCACCTGCTGCTGAACTTGTGACTATAAGGGAAGAGTTTGATAAACAATGTTAGTAGTGTGTGTTCTATATTGATAAATGCATTTGGCAAGTAATTGGAGGAAGATGAGTTCAATAATTTTCCCAGTATGTAAGTATAACTAAAAAGAAATCAAGAGAATCCAGAAACATCAGACTTTGTAAGGTGGAAAAACCTTGCTGCTTCTGGACCCCAAGTAGTAAGAGAGTATTTTAGAAGTCCAATCTACCAAGGCTCAGTCTTGAGAATTATGTCCAAGAAAGAAAGGCCTTTGGGGTGTGGTAATTGGCTCATGGAACTGACTGGAAACACAGGGATGTGAGTTAACCAAGGTTTGGGGTGGCTTGCAAAGCAGCTATGAGCATTGTCTAAATGCAGAGCAGGATCTAAAACCATTGGACCCATAGGCAAGTCTTGGTACCATCTTTGCAAGGAAGTAGGCTGCTAAACTTGCAGCTCCCACAGAGACTTTTTCCCCCAAACCCACTTCAGAAGTGACCAAGATGGTAACAGACAATGATGAATTCCTTGGAGAGGAGAGCCAGGCACAAGAGGAGAAAACAAAATGAAAATGGACTTAATTCCAGAGAGCAGACTTGATGTCCAATCAAGGAAAACATTCTTACTATCTTCCCATTGCCAGCCCCGTAGGCTACACAAATTATTCTGTGTTTCTCCTTGGTCCATGTTCTGCATGTTCTGAATGGGAATTAGGTTATTATTCTGTCTCCTGGCTGCACAGGGCCACATCTTGCTGCTTTGGAGAGGACTCTGTGTGAGCCAATGGTCCTGAGCTTTGAGCAGGATGGAATTACTAGAGAGTCCTTTGCATGGCCACCTTGGAGACAGAGTGAGTTTCTGTTTTATTGGTGTGTAGTGGCAACAGAAATATGATAATCTGCTGACCTGAAGGCATGCTGGTGCAGTCAGTGCTATTGCTCACCTAACCCACTCATGTTCCTCTTGCAGATCAGGGAAACTTCACCTCCCTGCCAGTAGCAGGAGCCACAGGACTGAGTCCTTGTCGGTATGATGTGGGCAGAAGCTCAGGCTGCCGCTTTGGGGCTTGGCTCACAGAACTGTCTCCTGTGTAATCCCCATTTCTTTTCTCCATCGTGGCAGCCTTGGAGGCCTCTTGTTGAAAGAAAGGGCACAGGTAAATGGAAGAAGCCAAACCTGCGGGTTGACTTTAGAGAGCCTCTGTCTCACCTGTGGCCCAGGGAAGCTGGAATAGGAATTTTCTGGGATGGCAACTGCTATAAAATTCTTTGTCTTAACGAGCATGAATCACAGGACATGCCCTGGAATACTAGCAGCAAAACTCCCATGGCCAAAGTCCTTTGGGATTTTCCCTTTTCCTCTCCAAGATTTGAGCCAGGAAGTCAATCTTAGTGAGTCCACTGCTATCCTCCATCATCCCTCATCTATCTCTCTCTGCTCCTGAGTCCTACCCAGAACCAGAAGTTTGTAACCCACTTGCTTGTGTGGCCTTCTCCTCCTATGTTTAGCGTGCTATTAATAGACGGATATGGGGAAATAGTATTTACTGAACATGCCAGGCATTGTTCTAAGGTCTTCACATCTAGAGCCCAGTTTATCAGAACCATTCTATGATTTAGCTACCTTTCTTTCTTTCTCTCTTTTTCCTTTGAGACAGGGTCTTGCTCTGTTGCCCAGGCTGGAGTGCAGTGGTGCAATCATAGCTCACTGTGGCCTTGAACTCCCGGGCTCAAGCAATCCTCCTGTCTCAGACTCCCGAGTTGCTTGGACTACAGTTATGCACCACCATGCCATCTAATTTTTATTTTTTATTTTTGTAGAGACAGGGACTCACTGTGTTGCCCAGACTGGTCTTGAATTCCTAGCCTCAAGCAATTCTCCCACCTCTGCCTCTCAAAGTGCTGGGATTACAGGTGTGAGCCACCATGACCAGCCTAGCTATTTTCTTAAACCCGCTTAAGATCTGGATAGCATATACCTAGAGAGGTAGGGTAACTTTCTCTAGGCCATAGAGGTGCATAGAGCAAAACTGGGATTGAAACACAGGTGTCTGCCCAGAGCCACCCTCTTCTTCCTTATACAGCAACTAGATTCTGTATATTGTGTGGTAGGAATAATCTGAGCATTTGCAAAGATGGATAGCCTATTTCCTCAACAATACTCAATGAACCTGTGAGCCATCCCTCATTTCTTTGGAAAACAACCTTTGTTCTGTTATCAGTTCCTATATATACATGAATATTTACAAGGACTTTTGGGCTATTTTGTTTATTTTTATGCCAGTATCAAGTTTGAAGCTGTCAAACTCTTTTTCTCTCTCAATTAAAGGTTATAGTATTTACCTTTAAAAATTATGATTTCATTATACTGAAATGTAATTCTTGTCTTTTTTTGGAAACAGGTTGGAGTGCAGTGGTTGATCATAGCTCACTGCAGCCTTGAACTCTTGAGCTTAAGTGATCCTCCTGCCTCAGCCTCTCAACTAGTTGGGACTATAGGTGTGTGTCACACCATGCCCGGCTAATTTTCAATTTTTTTTTTTTTTTTTTTTTTTTTTGCAGAGAAGGGGTCTTGCTATGTTGTCCAGGCTGGTCTTGAACTCCTGGCCTCAAGTGATCCTCCTGCATTTGCCTCTTCAAATTTTGGGATTACAGGCATCAGCCACCATGCCCACCCTGAAACGCAATTCTAATCATTATCGAAATCATAACCCACAATAAAACTTCTTAAAACTCATTTTTCCAAGTCTCCTTCATCTGAATTCTGTCCTTCCACCCCCAACAAATCTCCTCAGGGGCTCTGCCCAGCCCTGAAGAACTCTACAAAACGCACACTCCCTGTTGCCTCTTTCTAAGGCCAGAAAGGTGGTTGTGGTTGTTAGGACAGGTGAGAAACCCCAACACTCTCTGCCCACCCACCCCAGCCTGGCTGGCTTCCCAGCCCTCCTCCCCTCCTCATACAGCATCTGTCGGTTCAGGGAAGAGGTCTATTCCTGCACAGTCAAGGATCTGGCCCCACCTGCCGCAGTCCCAGAGTTCAAGTCACTATAAAACCAACCATGCATCCAGCACCAAGCTGGCCCCTGCAGGGAGGGGACTGCATCTTATATAGCCCTTCCTTGCCTCAAGTTCCTCCTGTTCCTGTGTAAAGAGATAAACGATGGTCCTAGTCAATCTTGTACTCATGTTAGACTCTACTCCTCCCTGTCTTTGGCCTTTGGGCAAGTCTCTCTCCTGCTCAGAGCCTCACAGCCCCTCTCAGGTTCCAACCACAGTAGAGAGGACAGGACTCCCTGAGTGTGTGCAAAACCCTCTGCCTAGCCTTCCCAGAGCTTGGTGGTGATTCTTCTACACACCCAATTGCATTGAACTGAGCTATTGTTCCTGCTTGCCAAGGGATTTTTTCTTTTTTTTTTTTCCTTTCATCTCAGCTTTTGAGTAGCTGGGACTGCAGGCATGCACCACCACACCCACTAATTTAATTTTATTATTATTATTATTATTTTAACAGACAGGGTCTTGTTATGTTGCTCAGGATGGTCTTGGGCTCTTGGACTCAAGCAACCATCCCACCTTGGCCTCTCAAAGCGCTGGGATTACAGGTGTGAGCCACTGTGCCCAGGCAGCCAAAGGGCTTTTCGCAGCGCAGTTCAATGTTTCAAGAATGTGGCTCTGCAGGGAGCTTCCACGTGGGACCCTGGCTCCACCCTTAGCAGTGGGCACCTGATCAATAACCAGTGTCTGTGCTTCCAGCTTCCCATCTGCAACGGGGGATAGTGCAGTGTTTATCTCAGAGGATTACTGTAAATGTTAGTTGAGTGAAAACACAGGAAAACTATAAAATTGTTCCTGGAAAATCATAAGTCAGGAAAGTTTGGTGGGGGGGGCGGGGCATAGGTGATGTCTTGAAAGGGGCCCTAGAGAGGCTTCCAGGTCCTGGGGTGATCCCATTTTCTGGTGTGAGTTCAACTCTCATAGTGTACTGTTTGTGAGAATCCATTGCATTGTAGGCTTAAGATATTTGTGCTTTCCATCTGTATGTTATACTTCCAAAAAAATTTGTTTTAATGCCTGAGAATTAGAAAAAATTCCTGGAGATCTTCAGACCTCCAAAGCTGGGATCCAAGTCTGTTTCTCTGAGGGAATCCCTGCTTATGTCTGGGTCATGGACAGAGTGAAAAGGAACTTACAGTAAAGTAAATTTGGAGACAGAAAATAGGTAGTGGCAGCAGGGTGGTGGGGCCTGGAAGCTGGGAGGGGTGCTGGGCCTGCTGGGGTGGGATCAGTGGGAGAGCTGATTGTTTTGTCTCCTTCTGAGCACAAGAGTAATCTGTAACCCTTCCACAGCCTGTGATGCGGGCCTGGAGCTCTGCACTGAGCTGCATGTTATCTGCACCCAGCTGCCGAGGCATCAGCTCACTTCAGATGATGGAGATGGAGAATATTTGGTGGCTTCTTCTGTGCTTGGAGAGCCCTGGGACTTTGGTTCCATTTCTCATTATTTTGTGTGGGGTTGGGATGTGCTTTCTGTCATGCAACTACATCCACTGCCATCCATATTTACCAATTCATCGGTAAGGGAACCCTAAAGCCAGCCCCCTAAAAGAGATAGTCTCTTTAGATGGGCTCCTAAATTGACTATTGGACCCCAGGGGCCCCAGGAATGAGAATGCTCAGGAGAGACTAGAACACTATCAGTCCAGGGGAGCAGCTTGGGCAGGGCAGGAGGTGGAGTGGAGACCGGGGCTTCTCTCCAGTGCTCACACCCAGCTATCTGGGTGTGTTCAGGATGCCAGGGTAAAGCCCCAAACACCACGACATCGGGGCCATGGATTGGCTTCTTAACAGAATTAAGAGCACCCGAAAAGAGCAGTCCCCCAGCATCTGGGCACTAGCCACCCTCCCTTCTTGGGCGTGCCTGGGCCGAGGCTCCTGACTGTGCTGGGCTGGCCTGGAGCAACGCTGACCCATGAAAGACTCTGATCAGACTGTGTTCATCTGTTTCCAGAAGCAACATGTGCGTCCCAGCTGAGATTGTACACTGTTCTTCAGCAGAGGGCTCCTGGCTAAAAGATTCTTTGATAAGCATGTGCAGAAAACCATATTCGCTGGAGCTTTATAGAGAATAGGATAAATATTTTCATCACTTTAATAATCTTCATGAAGTTAACCTAGAAGAAAGTCAACTTTTTCACGTCCGCTGCTCCTTTAGAAGTCAGCATCAATGCAGTGGCAGGAGGACATGCAAGTTGGGAATTTTAAAAGGTGAGGTTTGCCCTCCAGAGCTGGTCCCTGCCAGGTGTGACCTTCACATCTTCTTTCCACGAGGTCCAGGCCCCCATTTGCAGAGGCTGACAGTTCCCAGAGTGACTTTCATCAGAAAACAGGCTCTTAGAGGAGACAGTCAGAGGAGGGGGCTTCATCCTCTCCCCTGCACAGCCCCTTGTAAGGATTGGAAAGCTAGGGTCTCTGCCCATGAGGTGGCAGTCACCCTAAGCTGTGGTGTGGGAGGAAGCCTAGGGAATATAAGTTGGTGCTGGGACAGCATTTCCTGGTCCTGACTTGGAGAAGGTGTTAAAATCCCGACATTCCTGACTCCTTCTTTGTGGGAGCCCCTGCCCTGCAGATCTCACGGGGTTGTTGTGAGGGTCACCTGGGGTGATGGGTTTGGAAGTGCTTTGTGAATGACACAGTGGGCCTTCCTATTCCTGTCACTGGCCCTTTGACCTTGAATACTAATTGCCTGGGATCTCCAGGTTTCAAGGTCTAATCCTGGTAGGGTACGAGGTGTCCCCAGTGGAACATTCTACAGCACTTCCTGAGAGGTCCCTTGCTTCCAACTTTGCCCAGCATAACCACTGCTCCTGTTCCCTCAGCCTGGAGAGCTTGCCCAGGGGCACAAGATGGTACTGGACTGAACTTCTCTTTGGAGAAGGTGATTACTTCCTGATTTCAGCTGTCCCTCTTCCTAACTTGCCCTGTGGAATTCCAGGGCTCTGTGCAGCATTTACCAGACATGAGAGGGAGAACTTCTAGGGTAGGGATCTGCCCTGGGTGGGGACAGAGGAGTATTGTAGAGTCTGGGTGTCAGAAGTGTGAGCCCTGCCCAGGGGGGTGATGGAGTATATCTGGAGGCCAACATGCTGCTGTGTGGGGAGCCGGGGAAGACGCTGCTGTTCCCCATCACCTTTGGGATCTGTGGATTTGTCAATGCCAACCCCCAGTCTCCTCACCAGTGGCCTCCACCTTCCCCCTGACCTGTGCCACCCCTCATGTGAGGTTTTATCACCTGCACCAGTGCCTCCCTCTCTGCCTCCAGACCCATGGCTCATGGCCCTCTCTCTCCTCACCCCTTCCATGCCTGTTCCCTCTTCCCCTAGAGCCCATTTCCATCCATACCCCACCTTGTCTTTCACCACATCCTCACCTGACCCCACACCTCCCCATCCCACCTTTCCCTTGAAGGAGTGAATGCCATCCCAAAATATGCCAAATTGGTATATTGATAATTTTATGTCAAAAATATTGGAGAAATCGTAGTTTTAGAAAGGGTGAGCTGACCTGCCTCTTCCTGCATGTAGCAAGCCATAAAGACTCCTCTGGGGGTGGCACCCCCACACAAGGGCAAGAAGAGAGCCCTTAGCACTGGAGACTGGGGATTGGGGGCAGCAACTGACCCAAGTAAATGTACTTCATGAAGTAAGCCTTGTTGCCATTGATTTTATATTCCCGCATATCACCTAGAGGCTCCCCTGGAAATTTACTGCCCCTAGCCAGATTCTGCTTGGCCTTGTCATTTCTTCTCAAATTTATCATTCTGTCTAAAAAGTACAAAAGCATCTTGCTTTGGCTACTTCAGACTTCACTAACTTGGGAAGATCCCCATGTACCTTTAATACTAATACAATTTGTATGCTTTTCTCTTGTTAATATGCTTGATTTCAATTTGGTTTCTAGATCCAGCTGAGGAGCCCATGTAAGAGCTAAGTGGGGTTGGAGGTGATCTCTGGGTCCCTGCAGAACGTGGCACAGAGTCCGGGGCCCTCCCTCACTGACTGGGAAATTGCTTATTCTGGAGATACTGCAGCTAAGACCCGGGACCTCTGACCTAAGCCAGCAAAGGCAGGGTTCTTACTGCTAGCCTTCCAGGTCTCTGCTGTGGGGCTGATCTAGGTGAGAATGGTGAGATTTGTGTCTTTTTCTCTCTCTAAATTGGGATTGACAGGATAAAACATTGTGAAATAGTTCTTTGGGTAAAAAGGGACTTTTAGTGTTTAGATTTCTATTTGATCCTTTTGATCTCAAAGATGGTCTTTGTTTTCCTTTGTCTCTGTCTTTTTCTGCCGTTTGTCATAAGGAGAGGAAGTGTCGGGTAGAGAACACAGGCACAGGTCCTTCAAAGTCTGCTGGGTCCCCAGCACTTGGGTTTGTTGTGCTTGTCAGACCCATGTCTGCCTAAGCAAACTGTGCTGTGGGTCCCTGAAACAAAAAAACAAAAGGGATGGGGTACCCCTCTCACCTCGTTTTATGTCCTGAGAGCTTGGCTGTGTGACCAAGGAGGATGCCTCTCTGGTCTCTGCCATCGGAGGGGCACAGAGTGTGGCTCTGTGCCAGGCAGCAGTCTGACCAGACTGGGGACTCAAGACACATGAGACCCAGGTGGCACTCTCTCTGTCTGTATGTGTCAAGCGCTCACGGAGTTTTGTTGTAAGATGCCAATTCATAAGGGCTTTCTTCATCTTATCCTTGTTGCCCTGATTAGTGCTGGGAGACTCCTATTCCAGCATCACCTGCCCAGTGTCACAGTGAGTGGACCTGAGGCTGAAGGTGTCTCAGCTTCCATGGGAGACTGGAGGCGTGGTCTGCACAAACACTCTCCCTACCTGCACATGGCAATGTAAGTCTTTGCTTTCTTCATCCATCTCTGAGAGTGAATTTTTGGATCACGGGCTGCCTCTTCTGCACCTACTGCAGGAACACCCCTTGCATGCTGGTAATGATGGAAAGCCACCTCCTGGCCTTTCCCTGGAAAGGCAGATTAAGGCACTACTGGAACATATGCACCAGTGCAGATCCAAATCAGCTATGGCCAGAGACGGATCCATGTTTAAAACATGTTAGAGAGTACTCGTTCTAAACAACTGGTCTGCTGGCATCTATGGGAAGATCACACTGATAGAGGAACACAGAATGTACTATGGTTAGTCTTAAAACATCCCTTAACAAAATTAAGGAGCCAAAAGCTGACCTAGAGCAGACGTTGAAATCCACTCCCACCATAAATCCTCCTTCTCCACCCACTTATACCCCCAACACCCCCAACTCTTGTCCCTGACCCACCAGAGGATCTAATGGATTTCTAGATCTCCAGTCTGAACCTTCCTCCCCAACACACAGCCCCATCTCCTCCACCTCTCTCTCTTCAACAAAATCCTGTGACTCCCCCAAGCTTCCCCCAAACCCCTTAGACAGCTGCCTGCTTAACCTCCCTTTCCTGGCATGACCTACAGAAATCTTTCGGCCTGATCTGAAAGTGTGAGGTGCACACAGCATTTGTGGAAAAGCTGGCAGCCAGGAAGTAGACCTGGCACAGGCTCCAGGGACATGCAGTGAGGCTGGCTTTGCTGTGCCTTGTGCCCTCTCCTACATCCCAGGGCCTTGTCATCAGACTCCGTCAGCTCCCGACCTCCTTGTGCAGTAACTCCCTCCTCAAAGAATTCACATCCCTGGACAGCAGTGGACCTTTTAAACTATAAAGCCCATTCTGCTCCAACTTTCAGAAGATCCACCAAGTTTAGAGAAGAAGGTATCTAGGATTGAAAGTACAACATAAGAAGATATTCAGAATACAACAGAAGCTGTTCTAAGAGAAAAAATGTGTAGCTGTATAGTTTTAGGTGCATTGTGAGAATAATAAGAAATTTAAATCTTTTTAACCTCCAAAGATTACCATTTCCTAAGAAATTTAACATTTTAATAAGCCAACTTTAACTGAAGAAGTTAGGTAAACAAAAACTGGAACAAGACTAAAATCTGTAAAAAAAAAAAAAAAGTAAAAGGAAAAAGTAGAACAAAAATTCATAATGATAAAATGGCCAGGTGTGGTGACTCATGCCTGTAATCCTAGCAGTTTGGGAGGCCAATGTGGGCAGATCATGTGAGGCCAGGAGTCAAGACCAGCCTGGCCAACATGAAGAAACCCCATCTCTACTAAAAATACAAACATTAGCTGGTTGTGGTGGTGCGCACCTATAATGCAAGCTACTCAGGAGGCTGAGGGAGGAGAATCATTTGAACCTGGGAAGCAGAGATTGAAGTGAGCTAAGATGGCACCAATGTACTCCAGCACGGGTGACAGAACAAGACTCTGTTTCAAAAGAAAAAGTAAGAAAAAAAAGAAATTCATAATGGTAAACGATAAATTGATTAAAATATAAAACAAATTAGATTGATAAGAAATAAATCTGGTTAACTATACGGAAATATATAAGGGACAATGTTGGGAAAATATGAACAAGAAAAAAGAGAAAATAAAAAACCATTTATGGATTGTTGAAAAGAAAGCTCACTTCCAAAATTAAAGTAAATTAAGAGTAATTAAAATGAAATAACTTTGTGCAAAAATGTAGAAAAAGTATTAGGAAACAAAAGACGTTTTAAGAAAAGTGTTAACTAGTATTGTGGAGATGTTAATTTGATCAGTAATTACAGAAGATTTTAAACTTGAAGTCAAACATCTGCTTCTAAAAGGCAAATGGTCCTTCTGCTCATCAACCAAGTATGACCAGGCCTCCACGAAGAAATAATCCTCATAGCGTGCAGTATGTTCCAGTGAAAACAGGAACAAGGCATGCCACGGAACTCATTTGAGGAGTGCACCACAGACAAAATGTGAAAGCCAGAAAAGGAGGGTATAACAGACCACAGTACAGTGTCACTTGTACACTGTTGGTGGGAATGTAAGTTAGTACAGCCACTGTGGAAAATCAGCATGGATGTTCCTCAAGAAACTAAAAATAGAGCCACCATGTGATCCAGCAACTCCATTACTGGGTATATATCCAAAGGAAATGCATTCAGGGTGTTGAAGAGTTGTCTGCATCCCCGTGCTCATTGCAGCATATTCACAATAGCTGAAATACTGAATCAACCCAGGTGTTGTGGGGAGGAAACGCTTTCCCTCTACCCTCAGAGGGTTCGATAATTGAGTCTGTGAGATGAATGGACAGCAGGCAGATTAACAGGAGAATAAGGCTTACAAATTTACATGTGGGCACGGGAGGCATCACGTGAAAGAAAAGTGAAACCCAACACCCAGTGAGGCTGGAAGCTTATGTACTTTTCTGCAAAGGGGAGAAAGAGAGGGGACAAAGGCAACCAAAGGGAGAGTAAATTATTTGGGGGAAAGATAAATGTATCCCCGGAAGAATGAAGAATGAAAAAGGGACAGCAGTGACAAAGTCTGTCTGTGCTGCTGTGACATGAACAAATCTTCCCTTGTTGATGAGGTTCCCAGGAAGGGGATTCATGCCAGCTGAGTTCCCTTTGGAAGATCTGTCTTTCAACAGATGAGGGAGGTCCACAGAAAACCCTCCCTGCATTTGCTCCTCCACCACTGCCCTCAGTTTGAAGCAATCAACACATCAAACTGGCATATTCTGGTTGCGGGGAAGGAATTTCCTGAACTTCCTCAGTGTACGCACATGGATGAGTGGAAAAAGAAAATGTGATGTACATATAATGAGATAATAGAATATCATTCACCCTAAAAAAGAAGGAAATCCTGCCTTTTGTGACACTGTGGATGAACCCAGAGGAAGTTATGTTGAGTGAAATAAGCCAGACACCGAAAGGCAGATATAGTTGACCTTTGAACAACAGAGGTTTGAACTGTGTGGGTCCATTTATACGTGAATTTTCCTCAAAAAAAGTTACAGCAAGGGGGCCTGCTTCTCCTGCCTCTTCTCTTCCACCTCCTCTACCTCTTCCGCCTGTGTCTCCCCTGAGACAGCAAGATGAACCCCTCTTCTCCCTCCTCCCCAGCCTCCTCAACCTAAAGATGATGAGGATGAAGACCTTTATGATGATCCACTTAATGAATAGTAAACAGATTTTCTCTTCCTTATGGTTTTCTTAATAACATTTTCTTTCCTCTAGCTTACTTTACCATGAGAACACAGTGTATAATATGTATAACATAAAAAATGTATTAATCTGTGGTTTACATTAACACATAAGACTTCCAGGCAACAGTAAGCTACTAATAGTTAAGTTTTTGGGGAGTCAAAAGTTATACACACGTTTCCAACTGTATGGGGGTGTCAGCACCCCCAACTCTCACATTGTTCAAGGGTTGACTGTATTGCACAATCTCCCCTAACTCCTGTTTTTAGATGTGAAATCTAAAAAAATTGAACTCACAGAAACAGAGAGGGGAACAGGGGTTGCCAGGGGCTGGGAGTGGAGGGGATGGGGAAATGTTGACCAAAAAGTACAAACTTCTGGCTGGGTGCGGTGGCTCACACCCATAATCCCAGCACTTTGGGAGGCCAAAAAGGGCAGATAATCTAAGGTGAGGAGTTCAAGACCATCCTGGCCAACATGGTGAAACCTCGTCTCTACTAAAAATATAAAAAGTAGCCGGGCATGATGGTGTGCACCTGTAATCCCAGCTGCTCGGGAGGCTGAGGTGGGAGAATCATTTGAACCTGGGAGGTGGAGGTTGCAGTGAGCCAAGATCATGCTACTGTACTCCAGCCTGGTGACAGAGCCAGACTCCATCTCAAAAATAAATAAATAAATAAATAAATAAATAAGCACAAACTCCCAGTTACAAGACGAATAAGTTCTAGAATCTAATATACAGCATGGGGACTATAGTTAATAATACTTGACATTTGCTGAGAGCATATCTTAAGGTTCTCATCAGGCACACACAAGGTTACTGTGTGAGGTGACAGATGTGTTAATTAGCTTGGTTGTGGTAATGAGTTCACAATATATACATAGATCAAAACATCACACTGTGATCATCACATCACCTTAAATGTATACAATCTTACGCAACTATACTTCAATAAAGCAATTACACCTCACTTTGTCAATTATACCTCAAAAACCTTAGCAATGTGAAGCTGATAACATTCAGAGGGAACAAGGAAGAAGGCAATCTTTTAACTAGGTTTAAAAGGATTAAAGATAGGTAAGAATGGCTGCAGTCACTAGAAAATACCACATTGCCACCACAGAAGACAGGCTTGTTTGAAACACCAAGGGAAACTTCTGGAAGTGAATAGTGAAATCAGTGAAGTTAAAAATTAAAACACAACAGATTAGCCTCAGATGATGATAGAAATTATAAGAATATCCATATGTGGAATTGTCTAGAATATATAGCAATAAAGATTTGCAAACTGTGAAAGATCATCAGGAGACTGGAGAATTGAAATGAGAATATGCAAAACACACTTGACAATAATTACAAGAGGAGAAAATGCAGATAATGAGAGAACGGTCCTATTCAAAGGGATAATGGCTAAGGAATTTCTGGAACTGATGAAAACTATTGATCTTTAGATTCCAGAACCACAATGAGTGCCAAGAATAAATGAAAGTAGATAATATGCTGAAGTATTGTGATACTGAAGTAAATCAACCAAAACTAGTGTTTAAGAGACCCAGAATCTCAAAAGTAACCACCCACAAGATAGTTTGCACTCAGAAATGGAAATGGGAGAAGGTTACAGTGGAGAAAGCATAATTTTATAAAACACACTCACCCAGGTGGTTGCAGTCCAGGGAGAAAGCCCACCTCACCCTCACAGCAGGGGAGAAACTGGCTTCATGTTTCTTGTTAGTGGTTGCACTGAAAAAGCCCAGCATCCCCTCTGTAGTGTTCCTGCTGAAAGTGCAAAACCTGATTCTCAACGTGAGGACGTATCAGGCAACCAAATGGAGGGATGTTCTATTAAGTGACTAGCCTGTATCTGGAAATACATCAATATCAAGAAATCAAAGAGGTTGCAGAACAGTTCCAGATGAGACAACTGAATGAAGGCATGGTTCAGGATCTTCTTCCCCTATAAAAACAATATTGGAACCGTTGGCAAAATCTGAAGGAGATCTGAAGGTCTGAGAATTGTATTGTGTCAATGAAGATTTCCTGTTTTTGATCACTGAACTCTGATAATGTAAGAGCTGCCCTTGGTTTCAGAAACACACGCTCAATACTTGTAGGTAAAGGAGCATCATGTCTGCAACTGACTCTCACAGGGTCTAGGAAAATAGCTATAATATTCTACATCTGCACCAAGAGAAGAGCATTTAGCAAATGTAATTGAATGTTAATATGAGAGGAATCTGAAGGAATCATAAATGGAATTTTTCGCACTACTATTGCAACTCTTTTTTTTAGTTTCATTTTATTATTTTTATACTTTAAGTTTTAGGATACATGTGCACAATGTGCAGGTTTGTTACATATGTATACATGTGCCATGTTGGTGTGCTGCACCCATTAACTCATCATTTAGCATTAGGTATATCTCCTAATGCTATCCCTGCCCCCTTCCCCCACCCCACAACAGTCCCTGGAGTGTGATGTTCCCCTTCCTGTGTCCATGTGTTCTCATTGTTCAATTCATATCTGTGAGTGAGAACATGCGGTGTTTGGTTTTTTGTCCTTGCAATAGTTTGCTGAGAATGATGGTTTCCAGTTTCATCCATGTCCCTACAAAGGACATGAACTCTTCATTTTTTATTCTCTGTCACCCAGGCTGGAGTGCAGTGGTGCAATCATAGCTCACTGCAACCTCCGTCTCCTGAGTTCAAGCAATTCTCCTACCTCAGCCTCCTGAGTAGCTGGGATTGTAGGCGCCGCCCACCATGCCTAGCTAATTTTTGCATTTTTAGTAGAGGTGGAGTTTCACCACGTTGGCCAGGCTGGTCTCAAACTACTGACCTCAGGCAATCCACCTGCCTCAGCCTCCCTAAGTGCTGGGATTACAGGCATGAGCCACCACACCAGGCTGTGACTTTTAAAATGTCTGAAATTACATCAAAATAAAAGATAGGAAAAAATAGAGAAATAAATTTAGGCAAGACAGATATCTCAACATGCACACAACCATGGAAAGATTTATTTATTTATTTTGAGGCAGAGTTTCACTCTGTCACTCAGGCTGGAGTTCAGAGGCATAATCTCAGCTTACTGCAACCTCTGCCTCCTGGGTTCAAGGGATCCTCCCATCTCAGCCTCCCGAGTAGCTGGGACTACAGGCATGCACCACCACACCCGGCTAATTTTTGTAATTTTGGAGAGATGGGGCTTCGCCATGTTGCCCAGGCTGGTCTCAAACTCCTGAGCTCAAGCTATCCACCCACCACTTTGGCCTCCCAAAGCGCTGGGATTTCAGGCATGAGTCACTGCACCGAGCCAGGTTTCTTTAATATACTGAGGAAATATAACTGTCAACCAATATTTATCTGCTTACATGGTGATCACTCAAGATTATGAATTCAATCAAAACCTTTTCAGGCAAAAAAAGACTTGAAGAGTTCATGGCTAAGGGAAATTGCATTGAATTAAGTAGTAAGGATGTAGTTGAAGGAAACCAAAATATTTCACCCCACTATATACTTGGACATATTTTGAGATGGCTCTTTAGAGGGGCCTTCAAACAGAGGCCACCCTGCAAAGCTGCCTTTTGAGGGGAACGTTTGCATCTGTAGAGAATCCACACTGACACAGGCAAGTTTCCTCTGAAGCCTTCCCTTGTCTGGATCTAGGAAGGAGTCCCTCAGAGTCTGACATGTTTAGCCATCAGAAAGAAATGTTTACCATCTATTCTCTCTGAGGACTGCTGTCTGTGTGGTTCTGTCTGCATTCTGAGACCACCTTTGCGAGCCAGGCCTCCTCCTCCCTCTCCTCTAACCTGTCTTGCCATCATCCCAGCCCCTGTTCCTTCTGTAGTCTCAAGGCGGTAAATAAGCTTCTGCACACCACTGCGGGGTTGGGATCATTGCTCTGGTCCTTCTCCATGTGCACATTAATAAATGTGCATGCCATTTCTCTAATTAATCTGAGTTGTGAGTTGATTTTTCAGTGAAACTTTCAAGGGCAAAGGGGAGGTTTTCTGTTGGCCCCTACAGTTTTGGTGTCCTGAACAGAATACCAAAGCTGTTTTGCTTTTCTGGAAGCTTCAGTCAGGGGACCCAGGACCTGACGAGCTGGCAGAAGGGTAAGAAATTCTTACCAGCCGGGCTCCTGGCCGGTCTCTCTGTGGAATCTGGGTGAGCAGATGGTAAAAATCAGTCGTTTTTCCTCTGCAAGATGTTGATTAGTGTGAGAAAGGATCTGTGTGAACAGTGTTGGGTGCAGCGACTCTGGTGTACTTTTTGGTGTGAATACTCATATTGTTTAGAGCCCTTCCTTCCGGGAGGATTATTCTCGTCTGTCTTGGTCTTCCTGTGTTGTTCTGTCCTGAAAAGGGGCCTTGTAGGGTAGAATGGGGGCTGAAGATCCTGCCAGCCCATTGTTCAGGCCAGACCTGAAGAGCAGCCAGTCTGTGGCTGTGATCAGATGGGCATTCAAACTTTGCTGTGGGTCCTCAAAATAGAAGCCAAGCCGGGTGCGGTGGCTCCCAGTCCTTTGGGAGGCTGAGGTGGGCAGATCACTTGAGGTCAAGGGTTCAAGACCAGCCTGGCTGACATGGTGAAACCCCCCCCCCCCTACTAAAAATACAAAAATTAGGCAGGCATGGTGGCAGGCACCTGTAATCTCTGCTACTCAGGAGGCTGAGGCAGGAGAACCACCTGAACCCAGGAGGCAGAGGTTGCAGTGAGCCAAGATCACACCACTGCACTCCAGCGTGGGTGACAGAGTGAGAGACTGAGTCTCAAAACAACAAAAACAAAATAGAAGCCAGATGAGGACCCCTCTCATCTTGTTTTATGCCCTGGAGTGTTTGACTTGTGACAAGTGGGAGCACTGTCTCTTGTTTCCGCCATCTGGGGTGTGATTTTTGGGTCCCATCAGGTGTTTAGCCTGAAGATGCCTGGGAACCTGAGATACAAGGTTTTAGGCAGCAAACTTTTTGTTCTGAATGTGTCCAGCTGTTGGGAATGTTTGTCTTAATAAGAAGTCCCATCCATAAGGAATTTTTGTGGTCTGGCCCTTGTTGCCTGGTTAGTCCTGGGAAAGTTCCATCCTAGGAGAGCTGTCCAGTGTCATGAATTAAGGGGTCTGTGATGGGTGTCCCCAGAAATGTGTGGGTCACCAGAGGCACTGTGCACACAAACACCATCCTAACCATGTGTGGCAACAAGAGTCTGTTGCTTTGCAGGGACATGGATGGAGCTGGAAGCCATTATCCTCAGCAAACTAACAGAGGAACAGAAAGCAAAACACCACATGTTCTCATTTATAAGTGAGAGCTGAACAATGAGAGCACATGGACACAGGGAGGGGAACAACACACACTGGGGCCTGTTGGTGGTGGGGAGGGAGAGTATTAGGATAAATAGCTAATGCATGTGGGGCTTGATACCTAGGTGGTGGGTTGATAGGTGCAGCAAACCGCCATGGCACATGTTTACCTATGTAACAAACCTGCATGTCCTGCACATGTATCCTGGAACTTACAACTAAATTAAATAAAATTAAATTTTAAAAAGAAAGAAAAACAATAGACAAGAAATAGGAACTAAGGTGCTAATTTTTATTTTATTACTTCAATCAATAAAAACTGTGAGTTAAAATAAAAAAGAAGTCTCTTGCTATCTGAGCCTGTTTCCAGGAGTGAATTTTACTGGAGGAATCTTTGGAACTGCCTATTCTATGCCCTCTTCAGGAAACAAGTCTTTCTTAAATGGTAATAACCTACTCTAAGCCTAGAAAACCACATCCGGGGCTTTCCATGAAGAGGCTGTGGGATGGAATTGATGTTAGAATAAGAACATTATTGGAAATTCTAGTCATTAGCGGCCAAAAGATGGATTCTTTAAGTTGAAAAGACCTCTAAATTACAAAAAATAGTTTAAAGATTTCTTATTCTAAACAACTGCCTTATTTATATTCATTGGAAGATTAAATTAAAAGACACATCATAGTGTCATGGCTTGCCTTAGAAATCCTCTTGATGAGATTAAAGAGCAAAAGTCTGACCTGAAACAAAGCTAAAATCCTTCATATGCTCCAAATGCCTGCCCTGGGTCCCTTGTGGAATCTGCAGTGCCAGCCACTCCACCTTGCAGTCAATTTTTTTTTTTTTGAGACACAGTTTCGCTCTTGTCACCCAGGCTGCAGTGCAATGGCACAATCTCGGCTCACTGCAACCTCCAACTCCCAAGTTCAAATGATTCTCCTGCCTCTGCCTCCAGAGTAGCTGGGATTATAGGCACGTGCCACCACGCCCAGCTAATTTTTGTATTTTTACTAGAGACGGGGTTTCACCATATTGGCCAGGATGGTCTCAATCACTTGACCTCACGATCTGCCTGCTTTAGCCTCCCAAAGTGCTGTGATTACAGACGTGAGCCACTGCACCTGGCCCCACCTTGCAGTCTTGTTGTTAAAATTCCACACATTCACTGCCATGGCCTGGGTGCAGGTCCCAGTTGGGAAGCCAGTCGCTTTTGGTTTGATATTTGTGTGACTTTTGACTTTGTGGCTTACCCACTTGTCATTGATCCTTTCCTCTTCCATAGACAGCTGTTGGTTTTCTGGCATCTTCTGTTTGAGGGATTACACGGGGCTCTTAGGCTTTTGTGTGTAGATGGTCAGCTGAGAGGCTGAGACCCTGGAAGATATGGCTGGCAGATGTGGGTCATACCCCATTTGTGGCTAGCAAAACTTTCCCTTCTTTGAGCTCTCTTTGAGGTGGTTCTGGATCTGGTGAGGACTGCTGTGCACCTCTCTGGAGATGCCTCATGTGTCCTTGGTTAAGTCATAATCTTGATTAAGCCTTACTGGTTTTGGTGAGCCACTTGAGGGGGTACCTTTTTTAAAAAAAAAAAAAGATCCAATGGTACAATCTCCTGTAATCCCAGCATTTTGGGCGGCTGAGGCAGGAAGATCACTTGACCCCAGGAGTTCGAGACCAGCACTGCAAAACAAAGTGAGATCCTGTCTCTACAAAACTACAAAAATTAGCCAGGTGTTGTGGCATGGGCCTGTAGTCCCAGCCACTCAGGAGGCTGAGCTAGGAGGATTTCTTGAGCCTGGGTAGTCGAGGCTGCAGTGAGCTGTGATCGTGCCACTGCACTCCAGCCTGGGCAACAGAGTGAGACTCTGTCTCCAAAAAAAAAAGAAATTTCCCTTCTTTTTTTCTTTTTTGAGACTGTCTCACTCTGTCACTTATGCTGGAATGCAGTGGTGCAATCTCAGCTCACTGCAATCTTCACCTTCGAGGATCAAGCAGTTCTCATACCTCATCCTCCCAAGTAGCTGGGATTACAGGTATGTGCCACCACTCCTGGCATTTTATTTTATTTTATTTTATTTTTAGTAGATACAGGGTTTCTCCATGTTGGCCAGGCCTGTGTTGAACTCCGGCCTCAAGCGATCCACCTGCCTCAGCCTCCCAAAGTGCTGAGATTAAAGGCATGCACTACATGCGGAGTCATAAAGATAGTTTTTAAGTTATTGCTACAGTAAAATAGAAGGGCAAGACATGGTGGCTTACATCTGTAATCCCAGCACTTTAGGTGGCTGAGGCAGGAGGATCACATGAGCCCAGGAGTTTGAGACCAGCCTGGGCAAAATAGCAAGACCTCAATCTCTAAAAACAAATTTTAAAAATTAGCTGGTTGTAGGCCTGGCACGGTGGCTCATGCCTGTAATCCCAGCACTTTGGGAGGCCGAGGTGGGCAGATCACCTGAGGTCAGGAGTTCGAGACCAGCCTGACCAACATGGAGAAACCCCATCTCTACTAAAAATACAAAATTAGCCGGGCATGGTGGCACATGCATGTAATCCCAGCTACTAGGGAGGCTGAGGCAGGAGAATCATTTTAACCTGGGAGGTGGAGGTTGCGGTGAGCTGAGATCATGCCATTGCACTCCAGCCTGGGTGACAGAGTGAAACTCCGCCTCAAAAAAAAAAAAAAATTAACTGGTTGTGGTGGTGCATGCCTGTCATCTCAGCTACAACCCAGGAGTTGGAGGCTGCAGTGAGCTATGATTGCACCACTGTACTCAAGCCTGGGTAACAAAATGAGGCCCTGTCTCTAAAAATAAATAAATAAATAAAAAGAAAAGTAAATAAAACAGAAACATCTTCAGAATTTAATTTAGACATTTTTTGCCTGGGTCTAATTAGGTAGATTTTTATTCTCTCTGTTAGGTGTTTTAAAGTCATACAACTGAATGGACAGCTGGGGAAAAAAATAGAAAAAATGCAAGAAGTTATAAAAGGTTTATGAAAATCTTATTTTATGTGATCAAAACTGAGATTGAAGGGATCTGTTTATAAGATTTTATTAAAATTAGCTTTAGCATTAATACACTGTTGCAAAGGTAGAATTTGGTTTTCTCTTTTAAACACTATTTTCATGTAGTATTAATAAGAGATAGCAAATGATTTTTGTTTTCCTTGTAAGTAAACTGCACAAAAAAGAGGGGAGAGATGGATTTTGTTTGCTTCATGCTGTCTTCATTAGGTCTTTTGATTATTTGGGAAACAGAGTCTCCTTTCTATCAAGGAGTAAAAGTTTTTGGTTTTTAAAATCTTTATCACTTGGGGTAATCATCACTAATGAATGACCATTACTTTATAGTTGCTTGTGATTCATCCTGTTTTTTTTATCAAGTGTTTTAAACTGTTGATATTTGGAAAACTTCCAAAAATCTAATTTCAAATTATAAAAGTAAGTATTTTCATGAAGAACTCCTGGAAGTCCAAGAGGGACATATTAGTCTTATTTGGTATGCAAAAATCATATGGAAAGACTGGCCACATAAAAAAATTGTATTTAAATGTCTTTGAGTTGTAGTTATAAAAATGTGTTATTAATATGTGTTCCTAAATGGAATGGGGTTACTAAAATTCTGATATGTCTTCATATGTGTTATCAGTAATAATTATGATTATTATATTAAATTGCTGAATGTCACATAAATAACCAAATTTCCTTGTCAATTGTTTCTCTAACCCTGGTTATTTTAAGTCTTTTGTCATCCACAGATAATTTTTGTTCTACTTTGACTCTTCTCAGAAAGCAGTTTATGATTTACTATAGTCGAAAGCTTGCTTCTTCTTTAAGGAAATTTACCAAAAAGTCCTTGACAAGTACTCTTGGATACAGATTTATGGTAAGTTTGGATATCATACCGTTGGAATAGGCAAAAACTTCCAGAACTCTGATAAGAAAAGGTGATGGGTTCCTGAAGATTGCTAACCCAATATCAAGCAGAACAAGAGTTAATTACATGGGACTGAACTGATAGAGGACTGAAAACTTTTTTTTGACTCTTTGGTTTGAATCATTGTGGATTCTTTCTATGCTTTGATTTCCAGAATCAAGAAAACTTTTTTCTCTTAAGCCATCTATAGCTTTTAACAATTGAACAAAATTGAAACATTTATCTCTCTATCAGATTTCTCTAGAATTTGGAAATTATTTGTAAGTATTTTTAATTTATGTCAATATAGTTCTTTGCATAAGCTCAGTGAGAATTGGTTTTTTTTTTTAAATAACAGGACAAAATTGAGACACTGGTTATTTTACCAAGGTTTTGACAAGAATGGCATATTTTCAGATATGATGAGCCTATTCAGCAGAACTAAAGTTGATTTTATAGATCTAATAAAAATCCTTGCAGAAAGACTGGCCAGGTATCTTGTCTACACAGTTCCCTTACAAGGTTCTGTACCTTGGAGTAAGTATAGAATGTCACTTTCTGAAGGGCCCAAGAACCTCAAGATATATTGG
This sequence comes from Homo sapiens, assembly GCF_000001405.40. Taxonomy (NCBI): domain Eukaryota; kingdom Metazoa; phylum Chordata; class Mammalia; order Primates; family Hominidae; genus Homo; species Homo sapiens. The sequence continues at coordinate 22,472,620 of NC_000017.11, read as the reverse complement.
GACCTCAAGAGGAGAGGAATTCACCGAATTTCTACAGGCATTACAGGCACAGTCTGATGGCAAACACTTGGCTTGGTTTCCTAGACTTTAGAGGATTTTAAAAGTCTAATCTGAAATTCCTTATGAAAAAGTTCCAGCAAGGCCAACTTAAAAGAATGGCCAATCACCACCTTTTCTGTACTTTATTCAAACAATCAGGCCAATTATAACAAAATGAAAACTTATTTTGCAAATAAATTGGTCCTATTGTGATTTGTCTTTGTTAGAAATGGGGAACTGGGGAGAGAAAAGTTATGTTTCAGAAGAAAACTATAGTATACCCACTATTCTACTCTAGCCCTGTCCATTGTTTTTCAGTTTTTATTATTTGTCTACAACTGGGACTGAATTCTGAATTCTTTTCTGGCTACAAGTCTCCAAGCTAATGTTCTCACATTTTCTCACATTTTTCTGACTTGGAATCACTAGAAATAAAAAAACTGTGCTTTTCTTAAAGCCCTGCAAATTGATGCTAGAAAACTTGATATAAACTTTAGGAGAAATCACTGTAGCAACTTTACATGTAAACAGCCTTTGTACCTGTTGATGTATAGACTACTCAGAAAGTTTGCTGGAACACCTGATTCCAACTAATACCCAGAAAAATCTGTCAGATTACCACTACAATTTGAAGATGCTTCAGCGACTCTGGAAAAACTAGTCCATACACTATTCCAGACATTAACCTTTGTTTTTCTTCTGTTTCCATAGAAATGTCCCAAGATCTGAGACAAAATATTTAAATTTGTTCTTTTCTGCTCATTCAAATTTGTCATTTCTCTTCTTTGCCTGTCTCTTATTTAACAAACTCTAACCTAAATCTCTCCAAAGGGATCAACTTGCCTTTTTATATGTGAAACATTTGAAGTTTCAAAGTGGGGAGCGGAGAAAACCAAAGATATTTTATCTCAAAATATACTTTGGTGCATTGGAAAAAAGGACTCTGGAAAAAAAGAAAAAGGATACTTTGGCATATTTTGAGATGGCTTTTCAGAGGGCCTGCAAACAGAAGTGGGCCTGCAAAAGTTGTCTTTTGTTGGAGAGATTAGAAAGACAAAAGCATCCCACAAATACAATTTATTTATAAAACATTATGTGTTGTCTAGTCCATTTTGTATTACTACAACAGAGTACCACACTGATGGGGTAATTTATAAAGAAATTTATGTCTCACAGTTCTTGAGACCTGTAGGTCCAGTATTAAGATGCTGACATCTGGTAAGGGAAGGCTTTCTTGCTGCATCATCCCGTGGTGGAAGGTCAAAGAGAGGGGGAGGGAGAGAAGAGAGAGAGAGAGAGAGAGCGAGAGAGAGAGAGGTACTCACTACCATGATAACTAACCCACTCCCGAGATAAGGGCATTGATCCATTCACGAGGGTAGAGTTTTAATGGCCTAATCACGTCTTCTTAAAGATTCCACCTACTTCAGCTCTTCCTCATGGAACCTTTTTATTTTAAAAAATAAAAGGTCCCACCTCTTAATGCTGTTGCACTGGGGACCAAGTTTCCAACACATGCTTTTGGGGGCCACACTCAGACCGCAGCAGGTGTCTAGCCCTACTGTGTCTTGCAGTCAAGCAAGCAAAGCCAGGAAGGAGTCAGGAGTCCTGAGCCACGTGGCCTGTCAAGGAATCACACGGAAGTTATGTCTGTTTCTCATTGCTGCTGTGGCTGAATACCACAAACTGGCTTAAAACCACACATGTTTGTGCTACATTTCTGGAGGCGAGAAATCCCAAATGGGTCTGTCTGGCTAAAGTCACATTGTCTGCAGGGCTGTGCTCCTTTCTGGGGGCTCCTGGGGAGACTGTTCCTCACCATCTCAGCTTCTAGAAGCTGTCCACATTCTCCAGCTCACAGCCACATCACTCCAACCTCTGCTTCCACGCCCACCTCTCTTTCTATGACCTGGCCCTCCTGCCTCCCTGGTTAGGAACTTTGTGATCATCTTGGGCCCACCTGTGAAATACAGGACATCTCCAGAGCCGCACCTCAATGCAGGGGCATATCCTCATTGCCACATATGTAACATGGTCGCTGGTTTCATGGCCTGGGATGGGAACAGCTTTTGAGGGGCATTGCTCTGCCTACCACAGTAACAAAGAGCTTGGGACAGCTGCACTTGTTAACATGTTGGTCCACAAGAACTAAGGCCCTAAAGGATTTGACTGCTTCCCGCTCCCTTCTCCTGACTCCAGGTAGCAGTGAATCCACAGGAGAGACAGGGATCAGTGTCCATTGTCAACTCTAATTGATGAGTAAGGGAACAGAAGCCTTGAGAAAGTACCACAACAGTCTCGAAGTCCTCAGCCAGCCAGTGTCTGTGACCATGCTGCCATTCAGATTTCTGCCACTTGTTTTCCAGGCTGTAGATTCTTCAACACATGAAACCAATCACGCAGTGGGACACTCAATGGTGCTGCTTGCCCTGCTTAGTTTGGCCTGGGATTCCTTGCTGCAAGGCAAGCTCCACCTGCAACTCTGTGGAGGCCATGTCCCCCTTCTCCTGGCTGCGTCAGTGTCTGAAAAGCAGACCTGATATTAATCCTTATGTCTAACAGCGTCCTTGATATCAACACACCAAAAGGAGGAAAAACTCATCAAACTGGAGTTTATCCTCAATTTTTTGTTGGAGTATGTCTTCACTTGTCACAATATGATGACAATAAAATAAAAGTTTTGTAAGATCTCTCAAACTCAAGGCTTTGGAAACAAATTAAGCCTCAAATGAGGGGTTATATGTGCCAGATAAATTATAGGCCTGGAATTTGGAGGGCCAGCCCCACCTGGAGCTACCACTTGGCGGCCCCTTCACTCCCATAGCAACCAGCACAAACTAAGCAGAGGTGGGCACCTGCCAGGGCTGTGTTCTTCCCAAAGCCCACCCTGCCCCAGGGGTGACACCCTGAGGGTCCAGTGCTCAGTCCAGCCCTGCAGTTAGCCCAGCCCATACCCAACATCCTGATTTGCCTTCCAACAGCCTTTGGCTGGTGAAATCTCACCCCAGATCCCCAGCTGGAAAGCTACTCTGGAACCAACAAACTCAGATTCCAAGGAGAAGAGAGAAACTCACAGGAATTGCAGTCTGGAGAGGGTAAGCTCACTCCATATCTTGATACATAGACCAGTAAGATCCAAACTGGTCTGCAGCCTGCAGAGGCATGTGGCACACAGCACAGCTTCCTATCAGAGTTGTTACACCTCTGGGCATCTCATCTGAGATGTCCCCGTCTCTGCCATGATGACCTTCCCCTCCACCCGTGCCCTCCATCCTTCCTCCCTGCGGTGCACTCAGCCATGATCCATCAATTACCTCTCCCTCTCCTTTACATAAAACTCAGTTCTTCATCATCCACTTCCTGTCAGCCTTTGCAAAAGGTGAACTCTCACACGAGAAATAACCGAAGTTCTTCTATGCACCGCTGACGTGAGTGTAGCAGGCGGCTGGAATGTGAAATGAGAGCTGCAAAGGCAGGTGGACCGGTGCATGTCTCCAGTGGGTGATGGTACATGCATGTGCATGTCATTATAATTTTTAGAGTATAAAAATAGACTCTATATCCTCTACTGAGTATAAGATGTCTTTTCACAGTAATGAGAAATAAACAAAAGCAACCCCTCTCCCACATAACCAGTGTAAATTTGGGCTCTTATTTAAGTCAGCTCGGGTTTGAATTCTAGCCAACTGGTAAGAAGCAGCATGATTTTGGACAATCACTTAACTTCACTAAGCTTGCTTTCTACCTAAAGGATCAAGCACCTGCTCCAAACAAACAAACAAAATATCAGAAGGCAGAGCTGTGATCCAAGCCCTCTTTTTCATGTTCAGAGCATACATTCTCCACCTTCATCCTACAATAATATCCTAATTAATGGAAATAGTTATTTCTATTTTTGATTGCTCATGACCTTTATAGCAGCCATGCATGAGGACACCCTGCACCCCTACCCTTGTTACTAACATGTACAACTGAACTAAAAAATATCAAGACATAATACTCAACAAACAGCCCAGTCCCTGCTTCTCATGTTAGTTAAAAGCACACCAACGAGTAACTGGGAGATTCATAAGGTGTAAGTAGCAAATATTCCAGACCAACTACTCCTTGTGGGAGGGGCAGCGATGGTCTCTGCTGCTCTCCATGCAATGGGAGGCCTCCCTTGGACTGGTCATTAGTGAACCTGCTTCGCACCATCTGCAGCTCTTCCTGCAGTCTTCTAAGGGTCCCAGACTTGCCTCATCCCCTCTAACAGGAGTTCTCTGTCTGCCTGTTGATGCTGGAGGTGCAGGTGGGAGCTTCTCGGGCCATCTGCTGGGGTCTCTGTCTCCTTGGATCTGCTGCAGGAGAGCATCTTCCTGTAACCTCATCCTGTGTGTCTGCCCATTGGCTCTGCCAACTCACGGGGTGGCTGACGTGCTCTGGACAAGACACCCACCAGCATGAGTTCACCTCTTCTTCATCACGGCAGTCAGGCTTTGTTCTAATTGTGTCACAGGAGCATTAAGGAGGACAGAGGCAGCAAGTGTGACCTCCCCCTTGGCCATCAGAGGCACAGCTCTGCCCTGCTGCAGGCCACCTGTGGGCAGACCATGGCTCTCTGATGCTCTGCATTTGAAAGCAAGTCTACAGTTGTCTTCCAAAATGCTGACTCTTTTGAAACGTCATCAAAAAGAAAAAAGAGGAGAGATTGGAAGAAAAGCTGTGGGATGATGGAGGCCTGAGAGAGAGAACTGAAGAAGGGTGGAGGACCTCAGGCCAGGGCTGAGAGGGGACGTTGCCGTCGCCAGCACTCAAGCCAAGGGTGGGCAGGAGCAGGGGGTTGTGGATGTCCCAACTCAGACAGTGCTGCCCTCTTGCACAGTCCCTCAACATACAGGTGGGGAGTGTGACCGCCTGTGCCAAGGTGGGCAGGAAGGGGAACTGCCTCCTATCAAGGTGTGGGAATTTCCTCCTATGTAAGGAAGTGGAGAACCTATTATTTTTGCTACAACAATATTGTCCCTTCTCATCTTGTCTCCCTCAAATGGATGCTGGGATCCTGGCCAGGAGGTGCTGTCTTCTGGTTTTCTGTCTGTCCCTGGGCTGGAGTCTCGAGTGACAAGACAGGACACCTGGCAGACTCCTGAAACACCCTGACATGCCTGCAGTGTGCCCTGAAATGGACGCTGCCTTCCCCTCAATGGGGACACATGCTCCTTTCTCTAGAGTTACAGTGCCATCAGACTTTTCATCTTCATGGAGGTCAGTTTTTGCCTTTAAGTTATTAATTTTCTTACAACATTTAGCATCTTGGCAGCAGGTTGTGATGCTTGAGTGGTGCTCACACACTGAGTTCTTAGACCTGATAATGCTTATTTTAAAGTTGCAAGGTCTATTAAACTGACCCAAGGAATAAAGTTTAAATCATAAGTTTCCCCAACTGACTGATAGAACACTCTCTTGGCCAAAGGGACCCCAGAGAAATCTTAAAAACTGAGCTCCTGGCCAGGACGGGATGCAAGGTCAGACAGACTTCAGCATGTCCCTTCCATATTAACCTTTAGCCAGAACTCTTTCCTAAGGAGTAAGCAGAAACCAGCTCTGGTAAACAAGAAACACAGGACTCCTTCCTTTATCATCTTTAGCCAATCATCTGAGGCCGTGGCTGGACTCGCCCTACCTCTTTGCAGTTTTGGAGTGACAGTCACCAGCTTCACAGTGCATCCTTCCTAAAATGGACCACTGCCTCTGGACCAGTTTTGGCTGGCTCACAGAGGATGCACAGTGAGTGGTTTTTGGCCCCTCCTTCGCCTTTTGATGTCAGAGGCTAAAAACTACACCCTCCCATGAACACATGACCCATGAAGAGTCATGAAACTCAATGACACATTCACGTTTCTCCTTTCATAAATATTCATTGCTCCTCCTATAGCTTATTGAATATGTATGTTCTGCCAACCCATTCAGCATAAATTCCACACAGAATACAGTCACTCCTTCATATCCATGGGTTCTGCATCCATGGATTCAGCCAACCTCGATTCAAAAACATTTGAAAAAAAGAATGATTGTGTCTGTACTAAACATACAGACTTTTTTCTTGCCATTATTCTCTGAACAATACAATATAACAACTATTTACATAGTATTTACATTGTATTAGATATAAGTAATCTAGAGGTGATTTAAAGCAACTTGTCCAATCTGTGGCCTACCCTCCAACACAAATTCGTAAACTTTCTTAAAACATATGATTTTTTTGTGTGTGTGATTTTTTAAAGCTCATCAGCTATTGTTAGTGTTAGTATATTTTATGTATGGCCCAAGACAATTCTCCTTCCAATGTGGCCCAGGAAAACCAAAAGATTGGACACATCTGATTTAAAGCATGTGGAGGATGTGTGTAGGTTATATGCAAATACTATACTTTCCTATATAAGGGACTTGAGCAGCCAGTAATTTTGGTGTCCAAATCACCAAAACCCTTCCAGGGGAGGAGTTTTGGGACCAATCCATTTGAAGATACCAAAGGATAATTGTGTTTCTCTGATCACCGGTCACTAAAATGTGTAGAGACTTCTCCACATCAACCACTCCTTCAGCAGATAACAGCTGAGTGTCTCCTAATTCAATTCCATTCTGAAACTCTCTACCTGGACAGTGTCAGACCTCACAGGTTAAGGGCTCAGTCCCACCAGACTGTCCCCGCTTCAGATGTCAGTCACAAGTAGTAGGTTGTGACCTGCTCTTCTGCCCAACTGGCTGCAAATCAGGATTCCCAGTATCCCCTCCTCAGGTTTGATTAATTTGCTACAGTGGCTCACAGAGCTCAGGGAAACACTTTACTTACACTTATTCATTTATTACAAGGGATATTTCAAAGGATGAAAATGAAGAGGCAGATGGAAGAGGTGCACAGGGTGAGGCATCTGGGAAGGGGCTTAGAGCTCCCACACCTGCTCCAGACACACCGCCCTCCAGGCTCCATGTATTCAGGTATCTGGGAGCTCTTCAAACCCTGTCCTTGCGGGTTTTCACTGAGGCGGCATTACAGAGGCATGATCGATCGACCATATCATTGGCAATTGGTGATCAGCTCAACCTTCAGTCCCTCTCCTCTCCCCAGATGTTGGCAAGTGAGGTGAAAGTCCCAACCCCCTAATCCCACCTCTGTCTTTCTGGTGGCCAGCCCCCATCCTGAAGCTGTCTAGGGTCCCCAGCCACCAGTCATTTCATTAGCACACAAATGACACTCTTAGTACTCTGCAGATTCCAAGGGTTTTAGGAGCTTTTTGCCAGGAAGTGGGGATGGGGATGAAGACCAAATATCTATTTCAAAATAGCACAGGAGTCTAAATTCGTAACAGGCTTCCTAACACGCAATTTGTCAAGTCATTGCATGACTTAAAAATAAGCTATTCGAAAGCTTTAGAAAGCTATTCGGAGGGAAAAGTTGGTGGGTGTTCATGAAAAGATATGGATGAGGCTGTTCATTTCAGCCTTATTTATTTGCTTATTTATTTATTATTTTTTGAGACAGTCTCACTCTGTTGCCTAGGCTGGAGTGCAGTGGCACAACGATGGCTCACTGCAGCCTTGAAATCCTGGGCTCCAGTGATTCTCCTGCTTCAGCCTTCTGAGCAGCTGGGACCACGTGAGTGGGCTCCTATGCCCAGCTAATTTTTATTTTTTTTATTTTTTGTAGCGACGAGGTCCCCCTATATTGCCCAGGCTGGTCTTGAATTCCTGGGCTCACACGATCCTCCCACCTCAACCCTCAAAGTGTTGAGATTACAGGCATGAGCCACTATGCTTGGCCTCAGCCTTATTTGTAATCACAAAAGAAAAACAATCTGATCCATCCTATGAACTAAAAATAAAATCCTAAGCCGCACCCATTGACTGAACAGACCCCCTCTTGACCAAGGGGATCCCAAGCCTTGTTACACTCCTTCCCTTTTGGAGTTTAGGTGCAACTCTCCAACATTAACATTAGAGATCTTAAGACTGACAAGGCAGATTCTGTGTCAATAAAAGACCAAATTATAAACAAGACCTAAGGCCATGCCAGGCAAGGGTTTATTCAGGCCTGCAGGCCATCAACCTTGCTACATAGCATCCTTAACTTAAAACATGCCTTTCTCCTGACATCAAATTTTAGACAGAGCTCACTCCTTTAACCAACTGCAAATCAGAGAATCTCTGAATCCATCTATGACCTTTAAACCCCTGCTTCAAGATGTCCCACCTATTCAGGTCACACCAATGTATACCGTCCATGCGTGGGTTGACTTATGTCTTTGCCTAGAACTCTTTCCTCCTTAAAATGTATACAACCAAACTGTAACCTGACCGCTTCGGGAACGCTTCCTCAGGCCCTCTGAGACTGTTTCCCTAGGCCACGGTCACTCATTCACTCACAGTAAACCTCTTTCAAATATTTTACAGAGTTTGGCTTTTCCATCAGTAATCCATGTCTGAGAATTCTCAAATCAGCATTCCTCAATTTAGATTATTTATTTGCTCCTGTCACTGTTTTTGACATACCCTGATATAACCTATGCTTTTACCTAATTCTTCTTGCATGTCCCCAGAGACATGTTCTGTCAGTGTCGCCTCCCAAGTGTATTGTGCATCTGTCCAGTTGCCAACATCTCTCTGCTACCCCCTTACTGGGAGTCCTGTCCTTCTTACTTGATGATAAGTGCTTTGTGCTTCTTGCTTCTTGACAGTAAGTGCTTGTGAATGGTGCTTCTTCCAGCCAATTCTCTTATACAGCAGCCAAAATCCTGTTATGGAAAAACCAAGCTTGTTCCTGACTCACAACTTTTTTACTAGCTGCAAATTCAGGACAGCCAGTGTCTCATTAATTACTCAGATCACAATTCCTATTTTTAGATCAGAGGACCCTTTAATGGCTGATGTCCTGTGCAGTTCTAGCACCTCCACACACACAGCTCCTCCCCTGAGATGTCACCCTCATAATCCTGATAGCCATCTGCCATCAACTCATGTATTTCTTAATAAGAGCTTTAGTGAGACGTCATTTGCATTTCAAACAATTCACCACTGAAGTGTACAATTCAGCGGTTGGTAGCATATTCACAGAGCCGTGAAGCCATTATCCAGTCAATTGCAGAACATTTTCGGCATCCTGACAGGATGCTCCCCATCCCTTCCAGACCTAAGCAACCGCTCATCTACTTTCTATTTCTACGAATTTGCCTATTCTGGACACTTCCATGAATGGAGTTATTTATGACGGGCTTCTTTCACTGAACTTGCTGTTTCTGGTGTTCACCACGGTGCGGCATTCCTCACGTGTGAATGTCGCATTGTGTGGATGGAGCAGGTTTTGTTTATTCATCAGTCAGTGAACATTTGGGTTGTTTCCTCTTCTTGGCTATAATGAATGATGCTGCTAAGAACGTTTGTGTGCACGTTTCAGTGGGAACATGTTTTCAAGAGTTGTGCTCTTAATACATTTGAGGAAGTTTTGGTGGAAGAGACCACAAAAAATGGCATATACATCTCAGGCTTCTGTTTATATAGAAAATATTTCTTGAAAGATACATTAAAAATTCTGGCAGCTTGAGTGTCTCTGGATAGTGGCCCTTGGGCTAGGTATTATTTAAGAATTTATTTATTCTTTGCATTAAAGAGAAAATATTATGATTCTAATTAAAAATATTATAAGGAAGTAACATGCCACACTTTGCCTAGCTTGGTTTGCTGGTTCCACAAAGTCACTGGCCTGGCATGCTAGGCCCTGAACCCTCCTGCCTCACTCTTGGATTTGCCATAGAAGTGCCTGCCATTTTCACTCCTGCATATGGAAGCTGTTTGCTCCGGCTTCAAGCCTTGTGCATTTGTCTTCTGCCTGGACGACACTTCCATCCACGCCTCTGAGAGACCGAACACTGCTCACCTTTCCCACTCGCCTGGGGAGCCTTCCCTTAATCCTTGAGACTAAATTCTCTCAGACACTGCAGCCATCACTCTCCTCATTCTTACCCTCATGTTGACTCGGTGTGTGTGTGTGTGTGTGTGTGTGTGTGTGTCTGTCTGTCTGTCTGTTAGAGCTGTGTGGTGCTCCTCTTGGAAACACTTTCTGAACCCATCTGCAGGCTTGCTGCAGGAGCTTCAGAAGGCACATGGGGAGAGGGTTGCTGGAGTGAAGAAGGCCTATTTATTGGATGTTTTCTTTCTAATTTCAGGTGGTGACTTTATGCTTGGTGGATCTGAAGCCACATCTTCAAGCACAAAATCGTTTTTATGATGTAAAGATCCATCTGGGGGAGCACCTGGCACCTGTCAAACCCCATTCAGCTCCACCTAGAACCTGGCTGTGTTTGACCCTGCTCTCTCCTCAGACTGTGCTCCATGTGGACACCTGTGGCTAGCTGGGTGAGGAGGAAGACTGCGGGATAAAGAGAGAAGGAGGAGGCAGGAGAAATGCACCTGGGTATGCTGCCACCCCAGGCACGCACGTGAAATCTTCGTGGATGGGCAGGAAATGCCCATCCGTAGTAGCATAGCAAGCAGCATGGAGATAAGCAAAGACCACTCAAATGAGAGACACAAAGGCCCCAGCAAGGGAGTCAGCCATCGCCAGTTGCATTTTGGTAGAAATTTCCAGGCAGGCAGAGGATGGGAAAGGTTCACAGTGGAAAAAGGGGAGGCTCCAGGTGCACTCCGAGTGGAGGCTGTTGGCTTGGGGAAACTGGGGTGGCCGACCAGAAATGGGGCCTCCTGTGTGGTCGGTTAGGGCAGTAGATTTCACTTTTTCTGGTTGGTTCTAAGTTGGAAGCCGGGACAAAAATTAGGGAAGCTGTTATTAGTCAAGTTCTGACTGTCTTGGGCTGATTGTTACAGGGCGGTGTTAAGCTCCCTGGATTGACTGGAGATAGCGGGCTGGCTTCCTGCACGTCTGACTTCTAGAGGGCTGGCTTCCTGCACATCTGACTTCTAACGGGCTGGCTTCCTGGGCTGTGGCTGCAGATCTCGGGCTGGCTTTGGGGCTGGTTGCTGCAGATTATGGCTCAGAGTTTGATTTTTTATGTAGTCTAGCCACTGTCATTGTATATTCAGTCTCTCACAGGTCAGCTTATCAGCACCTGCTGGGCCACTCCAGGGCTTGCTACTTCAACCAAGGGATAGGTCTTGCAGATCTACCTTGCTAGCCCCCATTTCAGATGTGACACTTGAGTCCTAACAAATGAAGGGCACATGTGTGGAGGCAGCTAACAGCACAGAGCCAACTTCTAGGAGAATAGGATGAGGGAACATGAAGATGTATTGAAAACCGTAACTCTTGAAAACCATAAAATCTCAATTCTCAGGCAGTGTCTGAAATAATTACAACAAAAAATTCTTTAGAAGTAGAGAAAACCCAAAAGGAAATAATCTGTAAAGAGGCAAAACCAGCAAAATCAAGGGAAAGACTGAGAAATTTGAACCACAGCAATGGGACCCCACGCGATACTAGGATTGAGACCTTAAAGGGACTCTCGAGGACCTATGCCTAACCACCCACCTCCAGGCTGAACCTTTCTCACTGCCTTGGGGCCTTGACTGCACTGGGACCCATGCATGGCTTAGCCCCTGCAGGAAGCCCAGGGCATCCTGCTGGCCTCCAGTGCAGAGTCCTTGGATGGAGCAGTGGCGGTGGCTGACTGCAGACAGCGTGGCCTCATGCACTTTCTGTGTTAAATGCATAGGTGGTGGAGTGGAGAAGAAAGTGACTGGCAGAGAATGACACATGCCCCCTCCCTGGTCTGCTGCTTCTCAGAGGAAGGTCTGCTGGGGTGATTAGGGGAGGAGGAGGCATGGCTCTGCAGCCTCCCTGCTGGCCACTCCAGGCCCTCCCAGCCCCCTGGCCTCTGGGCCCCACAGGTCCCTGAGCACCTTGCCGGGAGATCCCTGTGTCCTGGTGGTGGTGACAAAGCTCCTAAAGCCTACCTGTCAAAACTCCCAGCTCTGTGTTCAAGTATGTTTTTCAAAAAACATTGGAATCAAACTGGTAGGGTTTGCATGATCCTCACAGTGGAGAAAAACGTTAATGACGTTGCTGGTTGGAGCCGGTGAGTGCAGTACCCCCTGCTCAGGACACACAGGTGTTGGTGCTGCTGTTGCCAGTCCTGTCCCAGCCTAGCTGCCTTAGAGAGGTGCCGGAGGCTTAACCTCTGCAAAACTGCAGTTTGCCACTGGTGGGTGGCTCAGGACTCAAGGCTAGCCCCCAGCCCCAGTCCTACAAACCTTCCCCACAGACCTGGCCTGACTACACCCGTCACACCCCCACCCGCTGGGAGCACTGAGGCCCAGTCCTGGCTGCCACACTCGCTGTCTCCTTGCTCCCCCTAGCCAGAGGGAGGCCCAGCACCTCATGGCCGCTTTCCGTGTTGGGGGCCCCAAGTGCCTGGGGGACGTGTGTTCAAGTAGAAATGGTGCACCCGATGCCCCAGCCGGCCGGTCCCAGAAGCGCCCCCACTTCTCACGAAGGCTGGCAGCTACAATTCAGGTGAAGTCAGCTGGCCCATCTGCACCTGAGCAGCGATACTGGCCCAACAGACTCCAAATGCCTGGGTTTGCAGTGCTAAACCTGAAGGCCTTACCCTGCAGATGCAGAGGCCGCCGTGATGGATCGCAGCAGGCAGAACTCCAGGCTGCTCTAACAAGTCAGCGCTCTTCCCTGGCACCACACCAGATGGGGCTGCTGACCACCTGGGTTTCTGCTGTGCCACACTGAAGAACATTTCTCCAGGGGACACAAACGCTTAGCATTCTCTACTGAGGTTTTCTCTTTTACGTTTAACATCGAGGTGTGCGATTCATCTGGAGTGCATATTTCTGTGCACCATGAGCTGGTGCCCGCGGTTTGCTGGCCGGGGGCCGGGTAGGCAGGCATGGACAAGGAGTCCAGCACTTGTGGAGGAAGCTTTGGCAGCTCACTGACCAGGCAGCGGGTGCCCGACCTGGGTCCCTCTCCCTGCACATCCCTCCCCTGTTTCTCCTCCCAGGGTCCTCACTGGTCTGCCACACCCTGTTAGGGTAATTTCCCTTTCCTCCTGCTGCTCACCCCTTGCCTTCACAGAGCATGTTGCACGTGCAAACCTGGGACTCTGACCCCAGCCCACCCTGGGACCCAGCAGGAGTAGGTGGTCATTCTCCAGGAGCATTGTGGAGGTCTGTACCCTACCCTTTCATCCCCCAAGGTTAATAATAATAATAGTTATTGTTGCTGTTGTTCATCATTATTGTAATGATTACCATTATTATTTGTTATTGTTATAAAAACACTGAATGAGATTTTTCCATCCACAAAGGGTGTCTGGTTGACTGAAGTTGAGGAAAGAGGAGTTTCAGGCTGGGAAATATTCTAATTCCTGCTGTAGCCCAGGGTCAGAGGTCAGGGGGAGTCCTCGGCCCCAGAGGCACTGAATCAACCCTTCAAGCACAGCAAGTTCCCCTGTCTCTGGGGTGAATGCCCAGGGGTTTGGTTGCTGGGTTACATGGTCCTTATGCAGGGGAAGCAAAACTTTACCTCTACTGTTAGTGTTTCTGGCTGGGCCTAAGAGGTAAGTGGACATAAAACACATTAACAGGAGAAAAGCACACAGATTTGCACATGTGAATGGAACCCTGTAGGAAAAAGAGATCCGAAGAAGCAGTTAGGCCTGAACACTTATATACTAGGTTGGACAAAGAGTAAGTTGTGAAAACCTGAAGACAATGGAGTCTGGGATAGGGCAGTTCATCGTGGAGAAGTAATGAGGCAGATGAGGGTTAGTTTAACGAGATTTGTTTGTACAGATTCCCCTCGGCCCCAACTCCCTGCCTCTGGTGGTAAGAATTGCTTCCTTCCTCCTGGTACAGGGAGGGCACCTTTCCCATGGGAGATTCACCTCCTACTTTCAGGAAGAAAAAGGGGAGGTCAGGGCATCTTCCTTGTGTCTGCTGTTTTTCAAGTGCCTTTAGCTCAAAATAACCCTTATGCTAAAGTGGCATATTTTGGGGTGGCATATTCTGCCACGCTTCACTTGCATGTTTTTGTTGTTGCTGTTTTCTTTTTTGAAACTGCCACACTGTTTTCCAGAGTGGCAGTACAATATTACCTTACCACCAGCAATGTGTGAGAAAGCCCGTTCCTCCACAGCCTCACCTGCATTTGATGCTGTTCCTGTATCTTGTTGAAGGCATTTGATGGATGTGTCATGACGTCTCACTGTCATTTTAATTTACACTCCCACAAAAGGCTAACGTCTTCTCATGTGCCGACCTGCCATCTGTACGTCCTGCTCAGTGAAATGCTAGTTCGTGTCTGTGAGCTAAGTTTTCTGAAAAGGAATGTGGAAAGTGACTTTATTTCAGTGAACAGTTTGTAAATGGGGAAGTTGCAGCCTTCAGTGTAAAAGGAAAGTAAGTTCTAGAAAACTAAGAAAGGGTTTGGGCTCTATGGTAAAAGTTTCTGTCCAGGTTTCCAACTACTTTCATTTATGTAAATGAAGGACTGAAACTCATGCTGTCCTGATCGGTGGATGTAGCTGAATCCTGATTAGTCGATCCAGGTGAACCCTGATTGATGCAGTTGAGTCCTGATTAGTCAGGGCAGGGGAGTTCTGACTTGTTGTTCTTTAAGCCTTAAGCAGAAGACTGTCAGAAATTTCTTATAAATGGCTGTCAGGGGTCCAGGGAAGTGGTGCTCCGGATACAGTTATCTTGACACTGACAACAGGAACTGGTTTGGTTTGGTTGTGGAAGGGAGGTCTTGTGATACTTTTATAACATCTTTCTAAGAACACAGAGTACATGAAGTCTCTGTCACCCAGCTACAGCCGCCTGGTTCCATTTTAACTTTGAGCAACTCAGTTAGTCTCCTGGGAGTCATTTTGTCTTTCTGCAGGGGGCATACTTTAACATGTCTTTCATCAATTTTGTAATTGGATTTTGAAGAAAAATACCGTTGCGTTTTGAGTTTTTTTTTTTACACATTCCTGTAGAATATATGGTTTGTAAATATATTCTTCTGATCTATACTTTGTTTTCCTCCTCTTAAAAGGACATTTCAGCTGGGTGTGGTGGCTCACGCCTGTAATCCCAGCACTTTAGGAGGCCAAGGCAGGCAGAACACAAGGTCTGGAGTTCAAGACCAGCCTGACCAATATGGTGAAACCCCATCTATATCAAAAATACAAAAATTAGCTGGGAGTGGTGACGCACGCCTGTAGTCCCAGCTACTTGGGAGGCTGAGGCAGGAGAATTGCTTGAACCCAAGAGGAGGAGGTTGCACTGAGCTGAGACTGCACCACTGCACTCCAGCTTGGGCTATGGAGCCAGACTCCTTCTCAAAAAAAAAAAAAAAAAGGGACCTTTCACAGAGCCTGGGGTTTTAATTTTGATGACTTCCAATTTACCCATCTCTATTTATGAATCATGCTTTTGATGTCAAGTATAAAATCTCATTTTTTAGCCTAAATCCCAATTTTCTCTAAGATTTTTTTTCCTAAAATTTTATAGTTTTACATTTTACATTGAAATATGTGATCCATTTGGAGTCAATGTTTGCATGAGGTGTGAGGGTAAAACCCCCACAATTTATCCATTTAGAAACATGAGGAGACTTTATTTCTCATAAGGATTACAGCCTTTAAGGTGGCCATCTCAGCCAAGGGACCAGAAACGGCACTTTGAAGGAGGAGGGGTTAGGGTAGGAGCTTTATGCTGGGCAGGTTGGCTAAACATACATATTCAACAGGTTATAGGAGGAGCTATGAATATTCATGAAGGTGGTCCTAGCACATGCATATTGAACAGACATGCATGTAGCATATGATCCATGTTCACTTTGGGGTGGAGACTTAACATTTAAATGTATTACAGTTAGGTCCTATATGTCAACAGGTCTTTTCAGGGCATGAAGTCACACAAGTGTGCAGCCTCTGTAAACCAGCCAAAGACAATCCATAGTTGGTGGTCTTATCAGGAAGTTATGGCTGGTAGAGCAGGGGTTTAGTAAGTCAGTGGGTGGTGGAGCTGGAAATTGTTTTAATCTTGTCTATCTTGAGGCCAGTGGTTGTTTAGCTGCCAGAGAAAAACAAAAGCCTTGTGGTCCTTGGAACACAGTTTATTCTTTAGGCGTAGTGTTAGTGACTTAACCCTTGCCTGGCATGGCCTTAGGTCCTGTTTATAACTTGGTATTTTATTGCCACAGAGTCTGTTCTGTCAGTCTTCTGATCTCTATGTTAACATTAATGCTGGTCTAAACCCCAAAAGGCAGGGGGTATAATGAGGCATGTTTGACCTCCCACCCCAGGCAGACTAGAACTAAACTTTTAAGATTTTCCTGAGGTCCCCTTGGCCAAGAGGGGGTCCATTCATTTGGTGGGGGCCTGGGATTCTAAAGTTGACAGTGTCTAGGTCAAGGGTTTTGGTTTGCCTGCTTGTTTGCTGCCTGTGATGTGCAATTGCCCTACTCCCATTTGATGGAAAGGCTACCTTTCCTGCCACAAGGTGCTTTTGCATGCTTGTCAAAAACCAGCTGGGTGCATTTGTTTTGGTCTCTTTTCGGTTCTGTAGATCATATCCCTCTGTCCACACCACACAGTCTTTACTAGCTATTTAATGTGTTGAAATAGAGGTAACTTAATACTTGTTTTAAATTATTCATTTAACATTTCATCATCAACATTTATCTCATCTAAAACAAACAAAACAAATTCACACAGTGTATGGTGTGGATGTACTGGAGTTTATTTAACCTGACCCCTCTTAATCAATGGCTATTACCCCCACCCCAGTTTTTTTGTTATTATAGTAAATAATGCTGAAATCTTTTTAAAAAGATTTTTTAAAGTTTATTTTTAATTGACAAATCATAATTGTATACATTTATGGGATACAATGTGATGTTTTGATATATGTATACATTGGTGGAATAATTACTTTAAGCTAATTAAGACATCCATCACCAACACATTTATTTTTTGTGGTGAGAATATTTAAAATTTACTATTTTGGGGATTTTGACATATAAAATGCATTAACTACAGTCACCGTGTCATGTGGATCCCTAAAACATATTCCTCTTGTCTAACTGAATCCTTGTACCCTTTGAACAACATCTCCTCCCTCCTGCCCTTCCCCCGGCCTCAGGTAGCCACAGTTCTACTCTCCGTTTCTATGAGTTCAACTATTTTCAGATTCCACATACAGGAGAGACCAAGTGGTATTTGTTTCTGTGCCTGGCTTACTTTGCTTAGTACAATGGCCTCCACGTTCATCCACGTTGTCGCCAATAGCAGGATTTCCTTTTATTCAAAGGCGGGATAGTACCCCCTGATGTACATACATCACATTTTCTTTTTCCGTTCACCCACTGGTAGATGCTTAGCTTGCTTCCGTATCTTGGCTATTGTGAATGAAATCAATATTCTTATCTTATGCATAAGCGATCCCCACACTCATTTGTTATCTTTTGACGTTGCTTGTGAAACTTTATGTTGTCAAGCTGATCAATCATTTCCTTGATGGCTTCTGGGTTTATTTTATGCTTTAGAAAGGCTTTCCCACTCCGAAAAGACAGAATAAAAGCGATTCACCCACGTTCTGCCTTTCACAGTTTCAACTTCAGGGTCCCTCCCGCCGCAGGCGCCCCGCAAAACTTTGGAATCCTCGGGGAGCCCGCGACCCCGCTGCACTGGGAAGCCGAGGCAGGGCGCCGGCCTGCGGGGATCTCCGGAAACGTTCCCGGTTCCCGCGGAAGATCGCCAGGCCCGGAGCCGCGTGGGAGGTCTGTCCTAGCAGGTAGCAGTAACTCGGAGCGGAACGGTGGTTAGGAAAAATTTTCAAGTCCCCTTCGGCTGCGGGGTCGCGTCATTCCAGGCCGTGCCAACTGGGAGCTCCTCCACCCGGCCCAGGCCAAGAAACGCGATCCCAGGTGGTCAGGGACTAGGAGAGGCCTCGCCCGCTGGCTATGCCGATCCGATCCGCGGCTGCTTGCGCCGGCTGTTGGGCGCCACCTGGCTGCACTGTTAAGGTTTTCTCTCCGGCGCTCTGGCGAAGCCGGCAAGAAAGGGGATTTGGCCACAGGGCGCCGTGCAGAGTTCAAGGGGACTGGCAGCACTGGCAGGATGAGCCCGGCTTTGCCGGGTGTACTCTTCGTCCTTTCGTCGGAGATTAAACCTGCGGGTCAGCGTTGGAGGCGCACTATTGAGCTCGGAGTGCTGTGGCCTGAGCGGGTCGACTAGTACACGCAGGAATCGACGGGCCTTCCGAGAGTGTGAACGGGGGATGGGTTACTCCGCCCGGACTCCGACTGGCGTGGGGCCGGGTCCTCAGGCCTTCCATTACACCCATTATCTCCAAGCCCCGCCCTGGAGGCGAGGACCCGCCCGGCCATTACAGGAGGACTGCGAAGAATAACATGGGCCCGTCCGTGGCCACGCGTGGGTCGTGGTCATCCGACTTGAGCTTCACACCTTTTTCCGAGTCTTGTCTTGGAGGTGGAGTCTGGCTTGGGCAGTTCGAGAAAAAACGGGGAAGGCGCAGTGGATTTAGCCGCGGCCTGCAAAATGGGATCTTGTGGTTGGACTTTGGGGCCCCACCCTCCCCACCGGGGAAGAGCGTACAGCCTCTGGCTCCAAAATAGAGAGGCGACCAGATGTCCGATGGATGATCTTTGTTAGAGCTGCTGGGTCGATCAGCCTCATTTCTGCAGTTTTGATGTGGCCTCAGAAAGTTGATCAGATCGATCAGCAGCCCAACCAAGCAGATGGGCAACTAGAATTTGGGAGAGGAGAAGGGGCCAAGGCGAGGGGAGAAGGACGTGGCAAGGTGCGAAGGGGAGGGTAGGGGCAGGGGGATGGTGGAACCTGAGGTTTATACAGCAATGGTAATTCTTATAAGCAAGTATTATAAACAAATAATTTATTTACATTTACAAACTATATGAATATAAATAATATAAATTTGTAGAAGTATAAATTATACTTTATAAATAATCAATCTACATAAATAGCAATTAGATATAAACAGTTATAGTTCCGAAGAGGACGCAGGAGGGGCTTTCGGTCCGCAGAAATTTCTACATGCCCCTGGGGAGGCTGAGGCAGGCTGACCCCGGTGAATTTTGAAGTCCACTCTGGGTGGGCAGCTGGCCCGGGAGGCGCTGGGGAGTCTGTCCCCTGCCCGGCAGCTGTCCCTGGCCCAGGGCGCTCCCCCCAAAATTTTCCAAGGCTTCTTTTGGCTACCAGGGATCTCACGGTTCCACTCATGCCTGCCAGGGTGCCCCGAGGTGGGAATGTGACCTGAGGTGGACCCGGACGAGGCCTGGCGTCCTACCTGCCCACCCGCGATCCCGATCTGTTCGGCAGGCTTTTTAGCTAGTTGTCTTGCAACAGTTGGCAGCCGCCTTTATATATAGCAAGCTCGACCAGCGGGGGCAACGTGGGATTAGGTGGCTGGATGGTTAAAGGGGTATATTCTGTTATGGTGGGGGGCGGGGGGAGTCCTGAGGCTTATAGTAGTCATAGTAATAATATTCTTCTTATTATTATGTAATTTATAAATATAAATAGTCATAAATACACAAATAATATGTAATTATGTAGATACTATAAATGTCATGGTATAAATATATGTAATATATAGATTATATATTTTAATAAATATTTATGTATAAATATTAAATCAGTAATTATAATTATTTGGTCCTTGCTGGGATTCATCATTACTATAATTATTACCATTATTATAAATAGTAATTGTAGTAGTAGTAGTAGTAATAGTAGCAGCTTTTTTTTTTAATAACACTGAATAAACTGTCAATCAAAGAAAGATGTTCAAGTGACTGGAGATAATAAAGAAGGGTTTCAGTCCGTGGGATTTAAAAAATCCACCCGAGAGCCTGGTGACACTCTGACCCACAGTCTGTGAAGTAACCAGCTGGAAACTGCATACAGCAACCCTAATGGTCAGGACTGCACTGACGGCTTCCCTCCTTTTTGCCCTTGCTTCGAACCTAGGACCAACAGGGAGAACCAAATAGGCACCCTCTTACCAGTCAGGTAGGATCCCCTGACTGGATACAGGAGATGGAAATAAATTATTTAGGCAGATAGGGCAAAAAAGTCCTTGGCAGAACTTCTGACAAAAAACAGCCCAAGAAATCATTTCTTTCTAACAAAGAGCAGCCTGAAAGATGGAGCTGCAAACATAGTTAAGGAAGCTGGAAGCTTGCCTGGGGGGAGGCCTGCAGCCACACTGATAAAAAGGACTACCTGGGGCCAGGCATGTCCACCATGGGGGGTTCACCTTCCCTAATTTTTTTTTTTTTTGTTGTTGTTAACACATGCACAGTAAGAAAGAAATAAGCAACATGGAGTAGCTACTCACCTGCGTAATAAATAGAAGATTGGTGTGGGGGCGTCCAGAGATTCGTGCCCTATGCAGATGGCACACCTGGTCCTGTTTTTTCACACCCGATGTAGATCAGACACTGCTCCCCACTAGCTCATCTATAAAAATCTTTGCATTGCACTGTGCATCAGCGACCTATTTTTCCGGGACCCCTCTCTGTAGCAGAGAGCTATTCTCTTTCTTTCACGTATTAAATTTCCACTCTTAACCTCACCCTTTGTGTGTCCATGCCCTTGATCTCTGTGGCTGTGAGACAATGAACATTGGGTGTCACCCCAGACAATGAGGCCACTTCACTAGCAGCCGCCTCTGGTGGCTGGCAACCCCATCAGGACTCCTCTTCCCCTTTTCCACCGCAGATTTCCCATTCCTCTCCCTGCCTTTGAGTCTCTGCCAAACATTATTGAGCTGCATGAAAGAACCTTAAATGCATATTACTAACTGAAAGAAACTGATCTGAAAAGGCTGCATACTGTAAGATTCCAACTCTGTCACATTCTGGAAAAGGCAAAACCATGGAGACAGTAAAAAGAGCAGTGGTTGGCAGGGGTTGGGGGAGAGAGGGATGAACAGGCAGAGCACAGGGGATTTGCCAGACTGTGAAACTACTCTGTATGATATGACAGTGGTGGATATGGCATTAGACATCTGTTCAAACCCAAAGAATGTACTGAGGACTAAACTGACATTTTTTCTCTCTTGCCCAAATTCCTATCTAAGGGGCCTGGGGAGTCATACCCTAGAAACTGACATCTCAACAGATGGGCTTTATTTAACCTTATATATAACACAGCTTACTTTCCCACCTGACTCTCGTATAACATCATATGACAGATAAAGAAGGAAATAAAAATATTTTACCCCAAAATAGGATTTTTTTTTGCATATTTTGAAATGGCCCTGCAAAGCTGTCTCTTGTGGGGAAAATTTGCACCTGTAAAGAATCTCTATTACCATAACTAGCTCTTTTCCCTTCCAGGCTGTCCCAATCCTCTAGAGATTAGCTGAAAGTCTAGCACCTTTTAAAAGTCTGAATAGGAAACATTGGCCATCTATTGTCTCTAAGGGTGACCCCCATGAGACTTCATCTACATGGTAAGAACCTTGGTCTCCACAACCCCTTATCTTGACCCAGATATTCCTTTCTATTGATTGCAGGTTTTTAGATAATAACTCTTTCAATCAATTGCCAATCAGAAAATCTTTGAATCCACCTATGACCTGGAAGCCTTCCTCCCATTGACCCCCTTCGAGCTGTCCCACCTTTCTGGACTGAATCAATGTACATCTCACATGTACTGATTAATGTCTCATGTCTCCTTAAAAGGTATAAAACCAAACTGTAAAACAACCGCTTTGGTCACATGTTCTCAGGGCCTCTTGAGACTATACCTTGGGTCACTCATATTTGGCTCAGAATAAATCTCTTCAAATATTTTACAGAGTTTGGCTCTTTTCACTGACAATACAACACCAAGAGTGACCCTAATGTGAACCACAGACTTTGGGTGAAAATGATGTGTTGGTGTGGGTTTAGCTGTAGTAACAAATGTGCCCCACTGATGTGGGACATGGACAGTAGGGCAGGCTGTGCGTGTGTGGGTGTGTGTGTGTGCACATGTGTGGGCCGGTGAGGGGTTCATATGAGAGTTCTCTGCACGCTCAGCTCAATTTTGCTGTATAGGTTTAGAAAAAATCTTTCCTCCACCCATCTTAGGTTTAGTGCCTTGGCCCCACAAATTTAGACCAATGAAAGCCAGGTTAACAAGAGAAAACAACACATTTATTAATTCATGCATCGCAAATACACATGGGAGAGCTCAGTGATAATAACTCAAAAAGGCGGTTAGAACTTGGGCTTATTAGCACCCTAATGAGAGAGCAATGTATTTGTAGAGAAGTGGAAAGACAAAGGAAGGGGACCTTGAGCTTCTGTGGATAACAAGTTGTGGGAAGGTAGATATATGGCAGAAGCTGACAGATAAGGTTGATTTGGCGTGCTTGTGATGTTGATTTTTCTGGTGCCACCTCTGGGCTGGTAAGAGCCATCCTGCCCTTCTGGTAGATGGGGACAGGGCAGAGAGTTTGTCCTGTGTCTACTTGGTCTCAGTTGTCTTCAGCTCAAAATAATCTTTATGTCAGAGTGGCATATTTTGGGATGGTATACTCTAAGCCCCTTCAGCTGTGAATTCAAAACAACTCTAAAAAGTCAATTAAAAATTATATTCCTATAACATGGCCCTTGCTGGTGGGGCTCAGGACACACCACCCCAAAATATGACAATACAAAACCAGATATGTGAACACAAAATATACTTCTTAGGCAAATTTTGATCTTGTTATTCTAAGAAATTGCAGACACAGGAGTAGCTCTGAAAAGCTGCCCTTTTGTAAAAGAAATTTATAACTATAAAAAAAATCTACATTAGTGAATTATCTGTATCAGGAAGAGGGCTGGTTCCAGACAACTTCTATAACCCCAGAGACTTTTCTCTGCAGAACAAGACACCTTTTATTCACCAGACATTGCCTCCCCTCACCCTCCCAGAACTTGTGCCCATCCTCAGCAAGCCCCAAGCCCCTGTTCCTTTCTGTAACTCAGGACACTATCTAAGCTTCATTCATCTGGCCCTTCTCCTCATCCATATTTTGTGGGACTCCTGTGCATATAGACGTAATTAAAGTTTTTTATTCTCCTATTAGCCCGTCTTATGTCAATTTAATTCCTAGCCCAGCCAAAGAACCTAGAAGGGGAAGCCATTTTTCCCTCCACTACCTGCTTTTCAAGATCACAGTTTATTGGAACCACTTCAGAGTTAACCCCCTGTAAATACTTGTCAGTCCTCATCTTTTCAATGTTTTCACCTGACATTCACTCTTTATTTCACTCTTAGGTCTCCCAGCAGGTTGCTCAAGAAACTCTCCCTTGCTGTGGACACTGCTGACTTCTGTAAAATACATTTACAGGAGGCCATTAGTTTGGACTGAGCTTCTGCACTAGGCCCAACAGACTGAGACGGAGCATGGACCCCTATTAGAGGCCTGCTGGGCCTCCTCCAGCATGGAAACAAAGGAAAATCTTGATTTCCTTCAAGGGAAATTCCAGGTACCTAGCTGGCCTTGAGAAGTAAATGAGCCACCTGATAAGCAAGAAGGGAATAATAGCTTCAAGTAACAGCCACTCAAGTAAGTCAGAGCCACAAGGTGTTTGGTCCCCTATTGAAACTAAAGATTACATCTTAGCATATGTCCATGAATGGTTTTTCAGAAACCCGGACCCACGTCAGATGGAAAATACTGACCATCATCACAGAGACCTCAGATGTCGGGGAGCTGAGGGCTGCACTCTGATGGCTGCTCTTTGTTGTAAATTTCTTTCTCAGGGGCCTGGAGGGAGTCATGCCCACAGGCCACATCTTAACATTCCTTTCTGCTGACCCCAAGTTTTCAACAAAGCCTGGCTTCCTTAACCAATTGCAATCAAAGAATCCTGAAACCGCCTATGACCTGTAAGCCCCTTGCTTCAAGAGCTTCCACCTTTTTGGGCCAAAACAATGTATACCCTCTGTATTGATTTATGGTTTCCCTGTAACTTCTGCTTTCCTGAATTGTTCCCCTGCCTTTAAAATCCCTTGCTTGTAAGCCATCCAGGAGATTGGGTCTGAAGTGTAAGCTGCCCCATTCTCCTTGCTTGGTGTCCTGCAAGTTAACACCCTCCTTTCTCCTGCTGCAAACCTCAGTGTGGGTGTTTGGTTTTACCACACGGGGCAAGCAGACCCAGGTTCATTTCAGTAACAAGACCAGACTGGATTGGAGTTCCTTGCGCTAAAGTTCCACTTTTCCAAACCAAAACGAAGTTGTTGATCTGACTTTCTGAGAAGTCAGGACACAGAGAGATAACAGGCAAATCCCCAACAGGCCAGGTTTAGCCAGCATGATAGGCAGTCCCTCCCCTCTGCTTTAATGTTTACAAGGAAAGTAACTTTGCAACCAATCTGTGTTTTGTTCTCTGTTTCTGCTTCAGCCTTTTCTATCCATAAAGCCCATCTCCCCATCTCTGATCGGAGGAACGCTCAGTCTGTTTTATGGAATGAACTGTTGCCTGATTCTAGAATAGCAAATAAAGCCAATTAGGATCTTTAAACTAAATCTGTTGTACTTTTGTCCTTTGACAGTTCCATGATGGAAAATCTAATGGCCACTTTCCATTTACCACGTCAAAGGAACAGTCCAGGTAAGTGGCTCCTTTTTGTTTCTGGGGTCCATCTTGCTCCTGGCTCCTGAAGCCAATGCTTCTCCTTCTCATCCTGCCTTTCTGGATGCTCCTCCCCAAGGTTTGCCAGCATGCTTACAACCCCTGCTTGGGATTTAAAATCTGAAGTGCATCATAACTCACCCCTGAACTCTGCTATTCTTTTATTGGTATGCCAGAAAAAAAGAACCCCAAGCCCTCTGGGTGACCAAATTGATTTTTAAGGCACTAATTATTAACTCTATTCTTACAACCTCCAGATTTTATCTCCACTCAGAATTATATGTACAGCTGCCTAGCTGATTTCCAGACTGAAATACCTCTTAGACATTACAGATTAGAACTGATCCCACTCTATAGTCTAGGTCATCTTCCTGGACTTGGCTGTGACCCAGACTTACTGTCTAAATAAATGGTGTGACAGCTCACCTAGGGACTCCATTCCAGACTCTAGAAAGAGTTTCTTCAGCCTGTAACCCCCCCACGTCATAAACAATCCATTACTGAGTCCTGTTCATTCTTCCAATACATCTCTCCAAAGGCTTCCCTTCATTTCCACAATGACCCCAACTGTTTTGCCACTCGCTCCTTGAAGAACATCTGGATTTGTTTCTGGCTTTTGGCTATGAGGAATAAGCCTGCTGAGAACATTCAGCTCTAGGATTTTGTGTGAATGTAAGTGCTTTAGGGGTGGGGTGGGACCCTGCAGGCCATCCCTGGGTTGGATGATTCCCTAGAGGGACCCAGAGAACTCCACCAAGCTGACCTAAGCCCTTGAAAGTCAAACAGATACCACATGGCCCAATGCCTGCACTATAGCTCACTTGTTGGAATAAACTGCCCAAGAAAAATGGGGGTACGTGGTTACATTATCAGAGGCATCCCAGGTGGATCCTGGAGACATGGACAGTACCCATAGTCACAAAACTGACAGCTGGAAGAAGCCCGTCTTGTTCAACCCCTGTTTGGCATATTCCTTCCTTCTCCATCCTCACTTTCTACCCCTCACAGGGACTGAATTTACAGCTTACCAAGCCAGGCCATTGCACTTTTGGACAACTCTACTAAATGGATTTTCCTCATGCCATCGCATAACTGCTACCTGCCACCAGAGCCTTAGAAATACATGGCTTTCCATCAAGCACTCATGGAACATGTCACTGTGGGCACTTCTAGGGGGGATTCATGATGGATCCTCCAAGATCAACTAAATATAAAACAAACTCCCAGGTAACAGAACCATTTCAGCTATTAAATAAAATCATCTGTATTAACCTAGTTTAATTATGAGGGACATCTCTCCCAACATAATATACATACATATATATATATAAAATTTTTTTTTCTTTTTTTGAGACAGGGTCTCACTCTGTCACCCAGGCTGGAGTGCAGTGGTGCCATCACAGCTCACTGCAGCCTCAAACTTCCAGAGCTCAAGCAATCCTCCCACCTCAGCTTCCTGAGTAGCTGGGACTATAGATGAATGCGACTATGCCCGGCTAATTTTTTAAAAACTTTTTGCAGGAACAGGGTTTTACCATGTTGCCCAGGCTGGTCTCCAACTCCAGGGCTCAAGCAATTTGCCTGCCTTGGCCTTCCAAAGTATTGAAATTACAGAAGGAGCCACTGTGCCTCCAACATAATCATAATTTTTTTTAAAGAATAGTTGGTATTTGGGGGCTGGGTATGGTGGCTCACACCTGTAATCCCAGCACTTTGGGAGGCAGAGGCAGGTGGATCACTTCATTTCAGCAGTTCGAGACCAGCCTGGCCAACATGGTGAAACCCATCTCTACTAAAAGTATAAAAATTAGCCAGGCATGGCGCACACCTGTAGTCCCAGCTACTCGGGAGGCTGAAGCGAGTGGATTGCTTGAACCTGGGAGTCAGAAGTTGCAGTGAGTGGAGATCATGCCACTGCATTCCAGCCTGGGTGACAGAGCAAGACTCCATAAAAAAAATAGTTGGTATTTGAGCCTTTCTTTCTGAAAATCATTGATAGTGGCCCCATTCATCTGTTGAGGTTTTATATGAAAACAAAACCTTTTTACCATTGTGTGGAGAAAGGTGCTGACTGTCCTCTTTGTGGTGGGGTGAATATGGCTTCAGCACACCCAGCAGCTGTTTTGAGTTCTCAAGAAGTGAGGCCCAAAGTAGTTCAATCGTAATAGGGTCTCTCAGAAACGCAGCCAGCTACTCCCCTCCCTCAGGGGAGTTTGTGACCTTGCTACTCACAGCGTGGTCCATGAACCAGCAGCACTGGGGTCACCTGAAGCTTGTGTGAAATGCGGCATCCCAGGCCTGCTGCACCAAGTGCATCAAAAGCACACATGTTCTTCCTATTGCTGAGAGGGAGGAGGGACAGCAGCACAGGAGCAAAGCCATCACTGTGACTGCTGTTAGGGACAGTGCCAGAGCACCCAGCCCAGAGCCCCACCACCACCACCCCATTTCCTTAATTACAGAATTCACTTGAAATTAAAAATCCCCGCTCCCTAAATACCCACCCTCTCCTCTGGCTTTCTTTTTAGCTGAGGTGGCTGCTCTGGCCTCTTCTTTCACTCACTCCTGGCAGCACAGCAATCCCTGCAACTTACTCAGACCCTCAGGACTCCTCATTCAAGTGCAGTGGAGGACCATGCAGATGGCAGGGAAAACCAAAGAAAGCTCAGGTGGCCCATAATGGCTGCCATCAGTGGAAGAATGTCTCTATTTAACACTGAACCTTAGTAATGACATGCTCTCCCCTTGTCCTGGACCTTCATTTTAAAACAGAGCATTCAGGTGGGAGGGGAACCACAGGGGCACTTCGATCCTGAACCTGCTCTGGGTGGTGGCTCTAGCCTTTGGGATTTTGTCTTCATTTACTTTTTTTTTGAGATGGAATTTTGCCCTGTCACCCAGGCTGGAGTGCAGTGGCATAACCTTGGCTCACTGCAACCTCCATCTCCTGGGTACAAGCAATTCTCCTGCCTCAGCCTCCTGAGTAGCTGGGATTACAGGTGCACACCACCATGCCCAGCTAATTTTTGTATTTTTTGTAGAGATGGGGTTTCGCCATGTTGGCCGGGCTGTTCTCAAACTCTTGACCTCAAGTGATCCACCCTCCTCGGCCTCCCGAAGTGTTGGGATTACAGGCGTGAGCCACCATGCCTGTCCTGTCCTCATTTACTTAAAGAGAAGTTACTCATCCCCAATTCCCCATAGATGGTGGCCAACTTCTTTGAAATCCAGAGACATTTTATAATGCTCAACCCTTTTTTCACCAATTCTATCTGTTTCTAAAATAAGTGTCACTCAGGATGGATATGCTTTTAGAGAAACACTGTGACAAAGACCCTTTGCTCCAGAGGAAGGACCTGCAGTGGCCCCAGGCTGTGGCTCCAGCATCACTTAAGACAGTGTGAACATTTGGACACAATTAAAAACAGGACACTTAATCAAAGAGCACACTTACAAAGTAAAGGGGCAGGAAAGCTGGGAGGCAGGAGGTGCAGGACCCCACGTGGGACAGGCAGCTGTGTGTTGTTGGTACCGCCTTCCTGCCATGGCTTTCCTACACCAGCAGAGAGAAAGCCCATTTCTGCTCTCTGCTGCAAGACTCTCTGGATGGAAGGTCCAGTTCCACAGGAAGGAAATCCTGGTAGCTGAGGCGTGGCTGTGCACAGCCTGGATGGCACAGCCTGTGGCCGGCAGGTACCCAGGGCCCCTGGTGGGGGTCTCACCCGCTTGGGATGGCCTCAGCTCCCAGGCTGCAGCCACCACTGCCATTTCAAAGGTGAGAAGGAACTGTCTGTGTGGACCTCTCATCCCGCACAGTGAGGGAGGCGGGAGCTGGGTGGTGCAGGGAATTAGGAAAGGCAAACCTGGGACCTGCTGTGCCCTGCAGTGCAGTTTCCAGAGGAAAGCAGCCCGGGGTGGCAGACATTTGCATTTGGATGTTAGAAATGCTCTTCCTGGCTGGGCACGGTGGCTCACACCTGTAATCCCAGCACTTTGGGAGGCCGAGGTGGACAGATCACGAAGTCAGGAGATGGAGACCATCCTGGCTAACACGTTGAAATCCCGTCTCTACTAAAAATACAAAAAATTAGCCAGGTGTGGTGGCGGGCACCTGTAGTCCCAGCTACTTGGGAGGCTGAGGCAGGAGAATGGCGAGAACCCAGGAGGCAGAGCTTGCAGTGAGCTGAGATCGCACCACTGCACTCCAGCCTGGGTGACACAGCGACACTCTGTCCCAAAAAAAAAAAAAAAAAAAAAAAGAAATGCTCTTCCTGACTTTTCAGAGCTGACTGAAGCCCCCAGTTCTTGGCTTGTGTCTTTTCCTCGCCTATATATATTCAACTATATGCAATCAACAAGCTTAACTGAGAATCAAGAGAAGCCCAGGACCTGGGGAGCCTGGGACCCCCTTCAGCATCCACTGTGCTTGGGATGGGGCTCCCAACCCTGCTTCAAGTCACCTATTGTTCTCCTGCCCCAAAGAAGCTGGCACACCAAGCGATGCTTCCATTTGTCCACTGCCTTTATGGGAAGGGACAGCGGTCTCTCCTTGGTGCCAGTGTTAGAAGGAAGAATTGGCACTCACTCGGTCCTGCTATGTGTGGGAGTCTTCTCTGCACCCTGCCCTACCCTTGTCTCTTATCACCACTGAATTGAGCAATACCAGACTTTGTTTCCAGGCTTTGTTTCCTGGCTCTTAACAATAAACAGAACAGTCTCCCTAAGCCTTTCACACCACATAGACCCCTCGGGATGAATTGCTCGAGCAGCTCCTGCTGATGCCGGGCCTTGGGAAAAGAGGGCCAGTGGGGAGGGCCCACCCCTGAGCTGAGAGCTCCCTTTATAAAGGTAAGTCCAAGCCCCAGAGATTTGGGGGTCAGCAGGGGAGACAGCAGGGCTGAAGGTGTAGAGGGGGCACCCTGCACTTTATACCTGGGGCAATGCAACAACAAATGTGCCAGGTATGTGGACACACACCTAGAGGAAGAGTGCTGTGCACCCTCAAAGCCTGGTGAGGATCAGCAAAGCAGCCCCTCTGGGAAGCTTGTTGGAAAGGCCAACTCTCAAGACCCTCCCCACCCCTGATGCACCAGAACCTTCAGTCTGACATAGCTCTGGGTGACTCCCCTGCTCCCGAGGTCTGGGATGAGCTGCCTGAAGCACTGGCTCTCAATCTGCCTGATTGTCAGCACCACTTGGAGAGCTGGAGAAGTTCTAAAAAGACAGATCTCTGGGTGCTTCCATCCCTGGGATTGTGATTCAGTAAGTAAGGGGTGAAATACAATAATTTATATCTATGTTTTTAAAGCTCCCCCAGTGTTCTGGATGCTTAGCCAGCCTGGGGACCCTCTCTCTGCTCTTCGGGTATCTTACAGGTAAGAAAGATGTCATTGTAAGCTTTTATCCTTGGAAACACATTCATTCCAAACATATCGAAAGAACGTACTAGGCTGTGTTTGGTGGCTTATGCCTGTAATCCCAGAGCTTTGGGAGGCCCAGGTGGGCAGATCGCTTGAGCCTAGGAGTTTGAGACCAGCCTTGACCTCCTTGACTTCTGGGAAGTTTATGAGGGACCTGGACACTGTCAGAGTGGTTTTTTGTTTCCCTTTGTGTACAGTTCTGAGTTCATTATTTATGTATTAGGGTTTGGAATAGGATCATATAAATATTTCGTATCTTAAAATAGCTGTGAGAGTGTCACTAATCTGCCCCTGAGCTGAATATCCACCCCCCACCACCATTTTAATCCTCCAGTCATGTGAGGGAGGATGGGAGTCTGTGTGAACGTCTTTCTCACTTGTGTTCAAAGATCATATCTGCCTGTCTCATCTGTCAAGAGTGTAGAGTTTGTTGTGATGGTGTATTCAAAATAGACGAAACGTGTGGTCATTGTACTTAGCAAACAGCTTTTCACATCAGGATGTTTCTGCCCCCGGCTCAGGGCTGGTCCAACTGTGTGACGAATGTGGCTCAGTGCAGGTGTCTGGTCTGCCACCCTCAGTCCCACAGCTGCAGTGTTAGAAAAACAGTGCTGTGGGCACCCAGCGTCGGTGACATGAGGAATATGGAATAATGAATACTTAATTCACATGTGCTTATAGAAAAAACTTTAAACAATAAAAATAACCAATTGTTAGATTTACATCTTTTTCTGTCACTATATATAAAAGGAATCAAGAATTTTCATGCAGCTTCCGGGTATTCTTGAGACTGGTATATCGTTTCTTTTTGAAAAGTGCATTATTGCATAACAACACCTAAATATATTTTTATATTTTTATATATTTGTAAGCATATTTTAGCTCAAAAATAGCAAAAGTATACATAGCTTATAGCACAGTTTGGGAAATGCTGATGTATATGGTAATAATGCATTGTTTGAGATGATTTAAAATTATATTAGGATATTAGGAGCCCAATATAGTGATCCAAATTGAGATCCTCTTGTCTAGTATCCTTTAAAATGACAAAACATCAAATCTAGAAAATAGATAAGAAGTGAATTTTAAGATAAAGGTACAACAGATTTTCTATTTTTACAAAAATCATTAGTGATTTTCAAAAATATATTCTAGAATTCAAGCTGTTAATTTAAAAAGTGCATATTTAATAATAAAGTGAACAAAACTGGCTGTTAGAAAAAACACTTCATCTTGCTGTCTCCAAATCTTGCAGCTTTTCGAAGTTTCAGAATTTTGTAAAATATTTTGAATAGCCCAGACTTTCTGAAAATGGGTGTAGCCTTTCAAAGTATTAGAATTGAGAAGCTTTTAAATGCTAATCTTATTTTATAAAGTGTTGACTTTTCACTGTAGACTAATAGCAAACAGTTTGTAAAGAAACGTAAATAAAAAATGTAAATAAATAAAATAGGCTTATTAGTTTTCAAAAAAATTTATTTAAAAGGAAGGGGCAATGTAGATTGGAGTAAGGAAGTATGTGAAAATGTATTTTGTGAAAGAAATCAACTCACGCACACACACACAAATGCACACACACACACACACACACACACACGCCTCAAAAGCAAAACTCCAACAATGCAGCTGTTGTTCCTTTGCAGCAATATTTATCTCACCTTGAGTGAGTGAGGACCATGCTGCTTGGAAGCGTAATAACTTAAACACCTTGCCTATGTCTAGTGATTAAAAACTAAGCTCTACTCAGCTCATGTAATGCCCCTGACCTCCACCAGAGAGAAATTCTAGGTTATTCCTTGTGGGCAAATGTGTCCATGGATCAGCGGATCAGGGACTGCTGAATCAGATGTGTGTCCCTCTCTACATGTCATGGTTTGTAGAGATCAAAATTTTCCCTGAAAACACACAGGTTTGTGAAGCCAGGTGGTCAGCCAGTTTCTGAGGCCTAATAGGGAGGCCAGAATCCTGCTCCCAGGACAGGGCTGGGTTGGGGATGTCTGTGGTGATATCATCTCCAGCCATAAGCTCCAGGGCAATGCTGTCTGCGATGAGGGTCTGGGGCATCCTGAGCTCCTGGAGAAAGCTGGATGCAGTTAAGAGCTCTATGAAGATTGTATGTGGTGGCAACGCTGTTGGGGTACCCCATGGGTAGCCTAGAGAAGAAGTACTGTGTCCCACTGCAGATGAAGGTGAATTAAGGCAGAGAGGCTATTGAAATAGGCACTGAACAGAACATGATAGCCGAATCTATAATAGCAAAATATTTACCAGTTGTAGTCCCAGGTACTCAGGAGGCTGAGGTGGAAGCATCACTTGAGCCTGAGAGGTGGAGGCTGCAGTGAGCCGTGATCATGCCACTGCACTTCAGCCTGGGAGACAGAGAAACACCCAAACTCAAAAAAAAATTACTACATATTTATACATACAAAATTGCACACACACTCACACACATACATACACACAGACTCACATAAAAGTAAAATAAATACATTGTATCCATCACCTACACCACTACATTTGAAGCCGTCTTCATGGTTGGCCCTTTGGAAATGTAACCATTTGCCTCCCCATCTAGGACAATCATTCATCTGAAGCTTTACAAAACATATTATTTCCCTGACTTTTATACTTTTATTACATAATAACATCTCTAAATAATATATTGTTTATCTAAATAATATAGTGTTTAACTTTGTAAGTTTTTACACTTTCTATAAATGTGCTATGTATCTCTGTAACTTGCATTACTCATTCCACATTGTATTTTCGAGAGCCTTCTATGTTTTAGCTTCTTGTTCAATTCTATGTATTGCTTACTAATTAGCCTTTAAATTGAATATACTAAGACCTACCCGAGAAGGAATTCTTGTGGGATAATGAGTATACAGTGCTTAAAGCAGTGCCCCATTCATTATAGGTATTCAATATTATATATGTAATACTATATACAATATTTTAATACTGAGTAATTATATACATATTATGGTTGCTCCTTTCTTTGTGGATGTACATTATTTCATCAACTGCACTATGAACTAATAGTTTTCTTTTGGGGGAGGGGGCAGGGTCTGGCACTGTTGCCCAGGTTGAAGTACAGGGATGCAATCATGGCTCACTGCAGCCTGGACCTCCCGGGCTCAAGGATCCTCCCACCCCAGCCTCCTGAGTAGCTGTGTCAAACGGCAGTGCCACCACTCCCAGCTAATTTTTAAATTTTTTGTAGAGATGGGGTTTCACCATGTTGCCCAGGCTGGTCTCTAACTCCTAGCTCAAGCAATCTGCCCACCTCAATCTCCCAAAGTGCTGGGATTACCTGTGTGAGCCAGTATGCCTGGCAAGAGTTTTCAAACTACGGTAAAATTCAAGTTACAGAGACCTTTGGGAAATGCCTCATTCTAGGTATTTGAAGCTTCCAGATAGCTAAGATTAAAAATTCTTATGTACTAACTTGTTTCTAAGTGTATGCTTTTACATTTAAACAAACTAAAAACATGAGCTTTATTAAAAAAATTCAGCCATTTCCAAATTCTCTTCCAAACTTGTTTAGAAACATACATGACAGAGCTTTGATCAGATTGTGCAAACTGCTGTGTGTTCTGTTTTTAAAATATTACTTAACTTGTACACTTCCACACATTGGCATTGCACATCATTGCCATTTCCAATACGTTCCTGTGCTTCACCAATTTCCATAGCTGTCAGAGGGAGAGCAGCCCAGGTGACAGGAAATGAAGTTGTCTGGCTCCGAGTCCTTACCAGGAGGACTTCTGAGATCCAGAGTCTTTGCATGGGGCAGATGACATATTCTGAGAGGACATTCCTTTTTTCCACTGTAGCTGCTAGTTCCAGTTTCCACTCCACTGCCTGAGGGCAGGTTGATCTTGAAAGCCCTCACCCATGGATTTGTGGTCACACCTGGAACCCTGTGCCAAAAAGGACTGGGAGGTCCCGTTCAGGAGGGAATCCTCTGACTTATTACTGGCATCTGAGCATTCCCCATCATGGCTGTTCCTGTTTGTAATAAGGTGATGTCAAATGACTCCAGGGCAGTGCTCCGGTTCCCATGAACACATCTGGTCACTCTGGGAGCTTCTGAGTTAGTGAGCTCTCTCCTTACATCCTGATACACTGTTGCTTGAAAAAATATATTTTTATAGGCAAGGTATTTGTGTTTTGGATTTGCACCCTGACATAGGCATTAATTTGTTTAAAAGGATAATCTGACATTTTCAGGAAGCTGAACATCTTTAAATTCTCTTTCGATTATTTCTAGTTTTATTGCATTATGACCCAGAAATGTGTACAATTTTTGTTCTTGTATATTCACTAAGGATTCTTTTTGTTTTCAGAGTAGGACCAAAGGTATTTCTATTCATTTGCAAGTCTGTTGGCTCAGTTTCTAAAGAGTTCATTTTGCTGCCATGTTCTTTTGAGTATATACATACAGGTTAGTTATGTTTCCAGTTTCCTGTGCTTTTTATTTTTTTTAAATGAACTTTTCTGGCCCTTCATTCTCTCAGACTTTTCCTTCCATGCCTTATGCTGTAGATAGAGTCTATGATCTAATGCCTGTCAGTTAAGATTGTTTTCAGCTCTGGAGACCGGAAAATCTGACCCACATAGCAAGAACAAGCAAGGGTAGGAGATGAGGCTTAAGAGGCAGGCACCAGGTTGTCTGAACTTTTATTCTACTGCAATGAGTAGACAGTGGCAGGGTTTACACAGGGGTGGGGGTATGCTTATATCATGTTTTAACATTTTCAAGAGATCACTCTGGATGCTTGAGTGGAGGCTGGACTGCAGGAGGGCAAGATAGGATGCAGGGAGGTTGGAGGATTTTTGGCAGTAGGAGGATTTTTGGCAGTAGACCAGTAGGAGAGGAAGATGACTGAAACTGGTTGTGGAAATGGAGATGGTGAATCAGGTTGCTGGTTGCACTCAAGAGCCACAGGACTTGCTGTATGGTTGCATGGGGGTTGGGGGCGAAGGGAAAAGAGTCAGGGAAGACTCTTGGTGCTCCCCTCAGGGAAGAGGCCCCAAGCCTAGTGGTTATCAACAGATGGATGGTATTTAAAGCTATGAGACTATGTGGGATCATTCTGAGAGGATCACTAGAGATCTGGTAGAGGAGGAGCAGGAGGATGAAGAAAAAGGTGAGAGGGAATCCAGGACGGAAGGTCTTTAAAATCCAGAAGAAAGAGTTTCAAGGAGGAACTCCTTAATTGTATCATCTGTGTCAAATGCAGCTAAATGACTGAGATAAAAGTCGTTTCAGCAAAGTACCCTGGAGAAAAGCTAGAAAGGAGTGGGTTCAAGAGAGGACATGAGGTGAGGTAGTTGCATGGAGCAGAGAAACAGAATGGTAAATGGAGAGAAATCTGGGGTCAAAGAAGGTCTATTTGTTTAACGCACAGCATTAAGGAATGCTTGTGTGTGGACACTAGCAAAATATCAGTACAGAGAACCCCAGAATTCTGGGGTCATAGCCCGAAAGGACTCCTCAGCTCCAAATTTACTTGAAGTTACAGCTTCCATCTTTAAATTAAATGGGATTCTTTTGCCATCTATTTCATCATACAGGATGTGACACAGAATATATCCAAAATTATTACTTTCCTGGGAGAACACATCTTAGTTTTTAATATCTAAACTGTATAGCAGCTATTTATCTCACAAAACATTTTTCAGGCTAGGTGCGGTCGGTGACTCACGTCTGTAATTCCAGCACTTTAGGAGGCCAAGTCAGGAAAATTGCTTGAGTCTAGAAGTTCAAGACCAGCCTCGGCAATGTGGGGAGATGTAATTTCTACAAAAAATTTAGAAATTAACAGGCATGGTGGCACACACCTGTGGTCTCAGCTTCTGGGGAGGCTGAAGCAGGTGGATCGCTGGAGCCCCTATCATGGTGCAGTTCAGGCAAAAGAGCAAGAACCTGTCTCAAATTTTTCGGCTGATGGTTGTAGAGATAATGTTTGAGCTTTCAAAAATTACAACATTTTAAACTAAATACTTTGCTGGAAAAGCCACATGTTGCTTCCAGAAACAACTGGTAGACCATCAGGATCATGACGGTCACTTCAAAAAGCTTTGGTGTGTTGACAAAGGAGAGGTTCACGTGTGATGTTGCTGGTCTCAAGCCAAAGCTACTGCATCCAAGGCAACTGCATGTTAACAACCATATCAAATGTGGGTGACCACGTGGTAACATTTAAGCATTTTACCTGCTAACTTACGTGCAACTTAAACCTACTGCCACACTGTGAATTAGGAAATTGGTAGGTTTTTTTCTATTGACTTGCTGTGCCCTATAATGTTTCCTATTTAAAATAATGGGAAACAGGTTCTCAGTTTTTTTCTCAGAGAAAGTCTGACATTTCAGGCACAGATATGTCTGACAGTTATTACCAGGAGAAGAGTTTCCAGCCTTTTCATCATAAAATTTTAATTACTTATCCTGGAAATTACTTAACTTTGTTCCTTCCAAATCTGGTAGTAAAATGGGTGCTCCAGAAAGATGTAGCGCGGATATTCTGCTGTTTTGCTCATCCCTGCACAGACCTGGGGCTTGAGGAGCCTGCAGCCACGAAGTACGGGGACTTTATCAGAATGGAAAAGTGACCCAGGTGGTCCCGCAGGTGCAGGGCTGGGGTGCAGAAGTGCAGCCTGAGCACGGCTGGTGGGAGGCCCGCGAGCTCGCCGGGGCTCGGGCCTGTGTTCTTGTGGCCCAGAGGCCCCCACAGGACAAGGAGGCCCCGACCCAGACTATTGGAGCCAGCAAAGGGGGTGAAGCCCCAAGGGGCGTAAGGGTCCTCACATGTGCAGGCCGAGCTTCCCGTCTGCATGGCGAGGGGCTGGGCCTTTCCGTCCTGATTTTTCTCCCATTATGCCGGGCGCGTAGCGGGCCCTGGGGCGGCGGGGCCGGTGGGGGCGTTGAGCCAGCCCGGGGTCCTGGAGGCTGGCGGGGGGATTCGCAGCAGCCAGAGGGACGGCGGGACGGCGCAAAGGAGTCTCTACTTCCAGGTTCCCAGTGATCACTATGTTCATTACAAGCAGTAAACTGACGACTTCAGACACCGGCCACGGAGATCCTCGCACATTCCTCCAACAGCCAGCCCCGCCTGCCGGGAGCACCGCGCATGCCTCAGGGGGCGGGACGGGGCGGAGGGGACGAGGCAGGGAGGAGGGGAGGGGTCGAGGCGGGGCAGAGGTGACGAAGCCGAGCGGGGCGGGGTGGAGGGGACGGGGCGGGGCGGAGGGGGAAGGGGTGCGGCTGGGGCGGGTCGGAGGGGGCGGGATGAGGCGGGGCAGGGGGGGGGGTGGTGTCGGGGCGGGGCTTGGCGGGGCCGGACCCGCCCAGCGCTGAATACAAATCGTATCTAAGCCATTTTCTAGCTCTGATATCGTATACATCACTGCATACGTGAATAGCATGCAAAATACTGTATAAACCAATATTGATTTTTTTTCTTCTCAGGAGGTACTATATAAATAAAGTACGTACATCGTATCTAATATCAGAACATTCAAATCCCATGTTGAAAAGATTATAAATTGACCATAATCCTATAATTCTATTTAGCAACAGTGCATTCCTTCTCGGTCTTCACTTTTAAAATATCTAAGAGGCTCGATGTCTTGAGGCTTTTTCTTTTTAAGCCCAACATCCTTTTTCACATTTATTAGT
Source organism: Homo sapiens (assembly GCF_000001405.40). Lineage (NCBI taxonomy): Eukaryota > Metazoa > Chordata > Mammalia > Primates > Hominidae > Homo > Homo sapiens. The sequence goes on along the minus strand of NC_000017.11, from coordinate 22,434,825 downwards.
TTAGTACTTTGGTTTTACTCAATAAAAAGTTGGGGTTAAAAAAATCTGAAGTATTCTGCAGTGTTTCAGGCAACAGAGGCTGGAAACAGCAGTGTTAAGACGGGGGGACAATTCTTATACTCTGTTAGTCTTCTTGTTTAATTTTCATTAAATTTCCAGAATAATAAGTGTAGGATAGCTAAAGTTTGTCTTTGCATCGTAGATTAGTTAACCTTTACTGAATTCACAATGTGGCATCAGAGATTTAATCTGCATTTCCTAATTCTTATAAATTAAAGCTGAAGTTTAAGCTTCATTTGCACATCAGAAATACCACTTGCCCACTTGCCCTGAATAAATAATGTTTTTGAAGTGAGCATTCCTGATCTCCCTGTTTGTTAAGAATTGCTTTCTTTTTTCAGCTGCTACTCTGCTAAGATAGAGTTAGCCCCTGAGCTATGTTATCAGTTCAAGGCTTTGCAGATAGCACTGTATTGTGGGGGAAAAATAAACATGGTTTTCAAAAAGGAGAAGAACATTTCTATAATGTGTTGAGATTTTTAGTAATCAGGACTATTGATGTCAGATGGCTGTTGGGACAAATGACATCATAAAAAATACAAAATTTAAAATTATGTTGGTTTATGTTTGTTTGTTTTTAGATTTCTTAGTAGTAAAGGGGTTGTGTTTTCACTCAGGCTTATATGATGATGACATTTCTCAGACCAGCAGCTATCTGCTAGCATTCTGTCCTGGACTTGGAGTGCATCTGTGACAGTAGCTGGGCCTGTCATCCAGTGAATAGCTCATAGATGACTCCTCTCCATCAGTGTAAGCATGGGTGTGGGTGACTGCATGGTAGAGGGGTCTGGGGTAGCCAGGGGCCAGAGGTTAGTGAACCAATGGGTAAGATGTATAACTGTTACTCAGGCTCATAATTTTTCAAATTTTTCAGATAATAATAACAAGAAAGTCCATCCTTACCAGTCTCTGTTTTAAGTAATATTCATATATTACCTCATATAATTATCACACCAACCCTATGAAAAACTGAGGCTCAGAATGTAAATAGGCTATTGAGGTCACATTGCTGGTGGATCTTAATCTCAGGCCAGCTTGGCTCCTAAGTGTGTGTTCTCACTCTATTGCCTCTGGAACAGGAAGGAATATATGGATACTGTAAATTGTTAAAGAACAAGTTGAAATAATTTTATTTCCGGCAACATGGGCTGACAAGGACCAGAAAACAACAAAAATTTCTGGAATACATATCAAGAACCATTTTAAAAAAATGTATCAATGAGGTGCAAAATAATTAAGAGTTCACAAAGGCAAAAAAAATTAAAATTAAAAAGTGAAAGTAGAAACCCAAAGAAGTAATTAGATGCCATTTTTCACCCTTAAGATAGTTGCCAAGTGTCATACTGAAACTTGCTTTTCATAGTCTGGGATGATGATAGGGCAGCAGAATAGCAGACAAAGTTTAGATCCTGTCCAAGGTAGGAGGATTAGGAGAAGACATCAAAAAGTAGGACACCTCAAGAGATTGAGACTATCTTGGCCAACATAGTGAAACCCCGTCTCTACTAAAAATACAAAAAATTAGCCAAGTGTGGTAGTGGGCGTCTGTAGTCCCAGCTACTCAGGAGGCTGAGGCAGGAGAATGGCGTGTGAACCCGGGAGGCGGAGCTTGCAGTGAGCCGAGATCGCACCACTGCACTCCAGCCTGGGCGACAGAGCAAGACTCCGTCTCAAAAAAAAAAAAAAAAAAAAAAAGGACACCAAAAAGATAGGTTTAGTGTAGGAGGGAACTATGAATCAACCTGTCTGCCTCCCCTGTCTCCTGCCACCTCTATCCCCTGCAGCCCCTGGAACAGTAGACAAAATTGTCCATCCTGAGGGAAAACATCTCGCCCGAGAGTGAGGATACATTAATACATAACCATGGGCAGCCCTTTCACTGGTGGCTTCACACACAAGCTGTATAATCCTAAAAAGTCTCAAGCTGCAAATTTAAAGTGACATCAGGTTTTTAATGCCTTCCAGGTGCCTGGCAAAAGCAAAATGGAAGACAGCTTCATGGAATGTAAGTTTTTATTCAAAAATTACAAACATGTATAATGTGCAAGAGCCAGCAGGAACAATGTACAGAGGAAAAAACCTACAGAGACTTAAGATATTAGAGTCACCAAACATCACATAAAGTGTGTCTTACACGTAAAGAAACAAGGGGATTAAAGAGCATGAGTATGAAAATAATCAAGTAGATTGGGAAAAATTACCAAATAGAAATCTAGATTTGAAAAATACCATAATTGAAATGGAAAGTTTAATGGATTAGTGTCACAGCCAACTAGATACTACCAAAAAGAGAATAACGGATATGAAGAAATAAATACATTTTTAGACTTGTAAAGACTTAAGACTTTCTTACCTGGAGACCTGCACTACAAGAAAAATTAAAGGATGTCTTTTAGGCAGTAAAAGTAAGAAGGATACCATATTGAAATCTAGATCTGCACAAAGGAATGAAGAGCACCAGAAATAGTAACAACATGGACAAATATATGATTTGTTATTATTACTTAAACCTCTTTAAAATATTATTGTTTAAACAAAAATAATAAATTACTATGGAATTTATGACATGTAAAATAAAATGGATGACAGTCATAGCTTAAAGACTAGGAGGGAAGAAGTATACGATGTAGGTTTCTTATACTAAAGTGATATATTATCACTTGAAGGTAGACTGTGATCAGTGGAAGACATGCACTATAAATCCATAAGCAACCACTAAAATAACAAGCCAAAGAATTGTAGCTGCTCAGGAAAAAACAAACAATCTCATCAAAAAGTGGGCTAAGGACATGAATAGACAATTCTCAAAAGAAGATATACTAATGGCCAACAAACATATAAAAAATACTCAACCTCGCTAATTATCAGGGAAATGCACATCAAAACCACAACATGATACAACCTTAATCTTGCAAGAATGACCATAATAAAAAGATCAAAAAATTAAAATAGATGTTGGTGTGGATGTGGTGAAAAGGGAACACTTTTACACTGTTGGTGGGAATGTAAACAAATACAACCACTATGGAAAACAGGGTGGGGGGTTCCTTAAAGAACTAAAAGTAGATCTACCACTTGATCCAGCAATCCCACTTCTGGTTATCTACCCAGAGGAAAAGAAATCATTACATGAAAAAGATACTTGCACATGCATGTTTATAGCAGCACCATTCACAATTGCAAAAATAAGGAACCAGCCCAAATGCTCATCGATCAACGAGTGAATAAAGAAAATGTGATATATATGTGTATATGTATGTATGTGTGTATATATGTGCGTGTATATATATATACATATATACATGTATATATATATACATGTATATATGTATATATATATACACAACATACATGCCATGGAATACTACTTAACCCTAAAAAGGAACGAAATAATGGCATTTACAGCAACCTGGATGGAATTGGAGACCATTATTCCAAATGAAGTAACTTGGAAATGGAAAACCAAACATTGTATATTGTTACTTGTAAGTGGGAGCTAAGCTATGAGGATGCAAAGGCATAAGAATGATACAATGGACTTTGGGGACTTGGGGGAAAGGGTGGGAGGGGGTCGAGGGATAAAAGACTACACATTGGGTACAGTGTACACTGCTCTGGTGATGGATGCATAAAAATCTCAGATATTGCCACTAAAAAACTTATATACAAAACACTGCCTGTTCCCCACAAAAACCTATTGAAATAAAAATAAAGAAGGGTAAAGAGGAACCAGAAAAAGAAACTGAAAAGCAACCAGTAAAGGAGAGTATGATGTTCACAAAGCCAAAGGAAAACATTATTTCAAGAAAATGGTGGCCAACTTTATCAAATGCTGCTGAAAGTTGACATAAAATGGGACCTGATAAACAGCCATTGGATTTAGTAAAGTGGCTAGCCCTGATGACCTCACAAGAGTCCTTTGGGTGAAGTGATAAGGAGAAAGCTTGACCAAAAGGGATTTCTGAGAGAACAAAGTAGAGGGGTTGAATGCAGTAAGCACAGGCAACAATTTCAAGAAGCTTCACTCAAAAAAAGGAATGGAGAAAAGGCAAGTAATTATAGAGGAAGTAGAGTCAAGATCGTTGTGTTTAATGTTCTATAAGAAGAGAAAAAATAACAGCATGTTTGCATGCCAATGGAAATCATCCACAGAGAGGGCAAAATTGATAATGTAGGACATACAAGGAAGTATTTCTGGAATAATGTCCTTGGATTGGAAGTTAGGAAAAAGAAATATTGACTTTAGATGATAGATCATTCCATTCATCCATAGTAAGTGGGATATGAGTATATGAGCACAAACACAAGTAGATGGATAGATGTGTTCATGCCAACTCTTAAGGTTGCTTTCATGAAATAAAGGCAACATAGTACTTTTTCTCCACTTAAAAATTTACAATAGTTAATAATGTCTTATAGAATTATGTGGAATTCTTGAAATATTCAGTGATTAAAAGATTATTTACTGAAGCATGCGTTCTGCCACATATTTTTCTAGGCATTGGAGGTAAACCAGAGACAAGATTCATACTTTTGGAAAGTGGGGACAAACAGATGTATATCACAGGGCACATAGCAAAGCCAGCTTTCATAGGGAAGTGAGGAGTCAAGTTCAGAGAGAGTGGGCCCCGGGTCCACCATTCTTTCAATATCTACAGAACTGGGGTTGTAGAGGGGATGGTTTGAGGTCTTCTAGTGACTAATTTGAAATTGCCATTCCAGATTCATCTCTCATTCAGTCTTTGCCTACATACATAGCTTCAGCGACTGCCAAATCTAACCACCCCAGTACAAAACTACACAAACATTCCCATGTGTACTGGTCTGTTTTTTTTTAAACTAACTCCTTAGCCTCAGTGCCCTTTTCCCCTTCTCATAGCTTACCATTATTTTAACACCCTACACAAATAACACCTCTTCAGCACCTTACTTCAAATAAAATGTATTATCTTAAGGTTTACAATTAAAACAAAAAAGAATTGTAGGCTGGGTGCAGTGGCTCACGCCTGTAATCCCAGCACTTTGGGAGGCCGAGGAGGATGGATCATGAGGTCAGGAGATCGAGACCATCCTGGCTAATACGGTGAAACTCCGTCTCTACTAAAAATACAAAAAATTAGCCAGGTGTGGTGGCGGGCACCTGTAGTCTCAGCTACTTGGGAGGCTAAGGCAGGAGAATGGTGTGAACCCAGGAAGCAGAGCTTGCAGTGAGCCGAGATCATGCCACTGCACTCTGGCCTAGGTGACAGAGTGAGAATCCATCTCAAAAAAAAAAAAAGAAATGTGGCTGTTTAACAAGAGAGATAAAATGAGATAAAATGGTATGATAAAAATACTTGATTAATTCAAAGGAAAATGGAAAAAGGAAATAAAAAACAGATGAGATGAATAGAGAACATATGCAAGGTGAGTGGCTCAACCTAATCATATCAGTAATCATATTAAAGGTAAATAGTCTAAATACCCCAACTAAAAGGCAGAGAGTGTCAAATTACATTGAAAAACAAAGACCCAACTATATTCTGCCTATAAGAAAGGCACTATAAATATAAAGACACAAATAGGTTAAAAGTATAAAGATGGAAAAAGATATACCATGCTAAAACTAGTCAAAAGAAATTTAGAGTGGCTATATTAATATCAAAATAGATTTCAGAGCAAAGAATTATTTCTAGGAATTAAAGGTTATTTCATACTGACGATGTGGTCAGCGAAGAAGATATAACAATCCTTCATGTTTTTGTACCTAATAAGCCTTCAAAATGAATAAAAGAAAAACTAATAAAACATCAAAGAGAAATAGAAAAATGCATAACTATCAGATATTTTAATAGCTCTCTCTCAATAATTAATAGAACAAGTGGGCAGAAAATCAGTAAGAATGCAGTAGATTTTGCTGGGTGCAGTGGCTCATGCCTGTAATCCCAGTACTTTGGGAGGCCGAAGTGGGCAGATTACCTGAGGTCAGGAGTTCGAGACCAGTCTGGCCAACATGGCAAAACCCCATCTCTACTAAAAATACAAAAATTAGCTGGACATGTGGCAAGCGCTTGTAATCCCAGCTACTTGGGAGGCTGAGGCAGGGAGAATTACTTGAACCCAGGAGGCAGAGGTTGCAGTGAGCCGAGATTGTGCTGCTGCACTCTAAACTGGGCTACAGAATGAGACTCCATCTCAAAAACAAACAAACAAACAAACAAACAAAAAAGAATATAGTAGATTTGAACAACACTATCAGCTAACTTGACTTGATTGATATTTGCAGAACACTTCGCTCTACAATAGCAGAATACAGATTTTTCCCAAGTGCACATGGAACATTTATGAATCTAGACCACATTGTGGCTGATTTTTAAAAGTCTCAATAAATTCAAAAGCATTCATCATACACAGTGTGTTCTCTGTGGAACATACTGCATATGACGAATTAGAATTAAATTAGAAATCAGTGACAGAAAGATCCTTGAAAATCCCCAAATATCTGACATCTAATACACTTCTAAATAACCCATAGGTCAAAGGAGAAATCTAAAGGGAAATTAGAAAGCAATTCAAAGTGAATGAAAATAGAAAACAACATAGAATATATGGGCTGTCACTAAAACAGTACCTAGAGGAAAATTTATGTCATTAAATATTATATTAGAAAAGAAGAGAGGACTCAAATCAGTGACTTCAGTTTTCACTTAAAGATGGGAAAAAAAAGCAAATTAAATCCAAAGTAAGCAGAAAAATGGAATAATAAAGATCAAAGTGGGAATCAGTGAAAGAAAATAGGTTAGAGGAAAATCAATGAATCCCAAGTCTTGTTCTTTGGGAAAATCAATGACATTGATACATTTTCAGCCAGATTGATCAGGGAAAAAAGAGAGAATTACCAGTAGAAGGTATGAGAGAGGTGACATCACTAAAGATTCTACAGATATAAAGGGATAGTAAAATAATACTAGGAATACTTTTATGCCAATTAAATTCAACACCATGGATAAAATTGACAAATTAGTTCAAAGACAAATTACCAAAGTTCACCCAAGAAGAAATGGATAACTTGAAAACCCCTGTATCTATTAAAGAAACTCAAATTCATTTTTTACACTTGATCTTAGGTAAAAGGCCTAGAAATGATGAAAAGTGTTGTTTTAAAACCTCCCTATAGGCTAGGCACAGTGGCTTATGCCTTTAATCCCAGCACCAGCACCTTGGGAGGTTGATGCAGACAGATCACCTGAGGTCAGGAGTTCGAGACCAGCTTGGCCAACATAGTGAAACCTCATCTCTACTAAAAATACAAAAATTAGCTAGGTATGGTGGCAGGCACCTGTAACCCCAAAGACTTGGGAGGTTGAGGCAGGAAAATTGCTTGAACCTGGGATGGGGGGTGTTGCAGGAAGTCAGGGACCCTGAATGGAGGGACTGGCTGAAGCCATGGCAGAAGAACATAAATTGTGAAGATTTCATGGACATGTATTAGTTCCCCAAATTAATACTTTTATAATTTCTTATGTCTGTCTTTACTGCAATCTCTGAACATAAATTGTGATTTCATGGACATTTATCACTTCCCCAATCAATACTCTTGTGATTTCCTATGCCCGTCTTTACTTTAATCTCCTAATCCTGTCATCTTCATAAACTGAGGATGTATGTCGCCTCATGACCCTGTGATGATTGCATTAACTGCACAAATTGTTTAAACAATATGAAATCTGGGCACCTTGAAAAAAGAACAGGATAACAGCGATGTTCAGGGAACAAGGGAGATATCCATTAGGTCTGGCTGCCTGAGAGCCAGGCGGAACAGAGCCATGTTTCTCTTCTTTCAAAAGCAAAGAGGAGAAATATCACTGAATTCTTTTTCTCAGCGAAGAACAGCCCTGAGAAAGAGAGTGTGTTCCTAGGGGGAGGTCTCTGAGATGGCCGCTCTGTGAACATCTGCCTTTTATGATCGTCGATAAGGGATGAAATAAGCCCCGGTCTCCTGTAGCACTCCCAGGCTTATTAGGATGAGGAAATTCCCGCCTAATAAATTTTGGTCAGACCTGGTTATCTGCTCTCAAACCCTGTCTCCTGATAAGATGTTATCAATGACAATGCGTGCCCGAAACTTCATTAACAATTTTAATTTCACCCCAGTCCTGTGATCTCACTCTGCCTCCATTTGCCTTGTGATATTTTATTACCTTGTGAAGCATGTGATCTCTGTGACCCACACCCTGTTCAT